>NC_000014.9:34157167-34460197 GCF_000001405.40 Homo sapiens
CTGATAGTGGAGAGGAGCTAGGAGGCGTGGATATCCACTTCACTTCACTCTCGTGGGAGGGAGACAATGGAGGATTCCTTTCCGTGCTTCACATTCCAGCCATCCTCTAATATGTTTATTTCCAGGTCATTCCATGTCCCTCCTCAGCAAAGTCAAATGAGGGTCCTCTTCTTGTAGAGTTCACTGCCTTCATTGTGAGAGTTACTGCTGGCCAGAATGGGGTCTTTTTCAACTGTTTAAAAAGCATGATCAGCCATGCATCTTCAGGTTGGTTACATTAGCAACACAGGTCCAGACAGGAAATCAGGAAAGCCTGCTTCAATCTAGATCATAGGCCAGTGTAACCCCTGGAGTACTTCTCAGTGTACAAGATGATGGCTGAGGCAGGCTCTCTCAGATCCATTATCTGCTTCTTCAAGGAGAATAAGACTGTGTTACGGAAGAGGTAGGGTCCCGAAGGATAAGTCAGTTAACCTTCAGAATCTTGGCTATGGTGACCATGCACCTCCTGCATTGTCAGATCCTCTAGTAGGATTTTACTAAGGGTGTCGGTACCATCTCTCACACCAAGTTTCAGAAAGTGATTTTCCCCTTGGTTCCTTTTTGACTGAAGGATGGGACCTCAGGCCACCCAAACCCACAGCTGCTAGACACCACACTTTCTAGAGATCATTCTTGACTCCATGCATAATTGACTCACCACTGAGCCCCACCCTGGAACCAGGGACCTGACCTAGAACATCTGAAGCGCTCCCTAATTCCAGGAATTGGTTGGTGCTCCACCTTGGACTAGAAGAGCTTGACTTGCTTGATGTGGGAAAACCCAAATGACCTGGGGAAACAGCTTCACCAGGTGATATGCTCTAAGTCTTCAGGAGCTTTTTTTTTTGGAAGGTCTCTGGTATTTGCCCATTAATTACTAAAAGTTTCTTAGCTGCAGAGTAGTGTGGCAATGGTAAGAAATTAAATGTGTTGGCTTTTTAAAATGGGTTCTAATATCTGCCTGTAAGAAATCTTAATTCTAGGGCATTAGTCACACCATATCAGTGGTTTAAAGTTGAAGAACTGTCAGATGAGAAAAGAGGAAAAAGATATACATAGCCTTAAAATATCATTCCACATAATATTTATTATTACAAAGGGAAAAATAACTTTACAGTGGTGACATCTAGAGAATAGATACCAACTCAAACCACCTGCCTCCTGACATGAGGGACTGAGAATACAGTAACACTCCTGTAATATGCAGAGGTAAGAATGTGTGAGATCCTCGTTCCTCTTACTTCTGGGCTGCTCTTAACCTCCATCACTCATATGCGTGGAACCTCTTCTTTCCGGTCTTAATTCCTTAGTAGGCTGGATATGATTTGTCTTAATACCTTTCCTCACTCATTCTGCCTCCCTCCAAAGTTTACATTTTTGGCTCCCCATATGGTCTTTTGTTGTTGTTTTGAGATGGAGTTTTGCTCTTGTCGCCCAGGCTGGAGTACAATGGCACAATCTCAGCTCACTGCAACCTCCACCTACTGGGTTTAAGTGATTCTCCTGCCTCAGCCTCCCTAGTAGCTGGGATTACAGGCGTGAGCCACCGTGCCTGGCCTCCATATGGTCTTTTTGTGTTGTTGTTTAAATCTCAAATTATTCTGCATCTTCCATGGCAGAGTTGCTTATCTCTAAGATCCTGGACACCCAGGATTGCAGTGAGTGCAATGAGACTCTGCCAGGTACCATTTAGGAACGAATGGGTGAATTTCCTGTAGGGTGATGGGGTTCCTTTAGAGACTCACTAAAGTTCATTATGAATAAAATTCTGCTGGTACTGAGTGGTGGCTCATGTGGAAAATTACAGAAAATACTTACTACATGTCTGCCCCCATGGTTAGAATCCAATTTTATATCAAAGCTAGGTCTTGTCTATTTATTACAATCTTTAGAGTTAACATTTTGGACCAGCAAGAAGGAGCCAATTTTCCCTAAGTTTTAAGTCTAAGCATATCCATTCTGGAGTTAATTTGCACTCATATTTTTCTGGGCTGCTTAAGAAGTCTGGGTAAAGAATGAGTTGAAGGGCTTTCAACTTCTACTTGTCACTATCCTGAGACCTTTCAAAACTTTGCCTGGATGTCTGAAGGAAAAAATTTATTTGCTTCCTTCCTTCCAGTTGGTTGCTAATAACTTAAAACCACCCTCATCCATACTGGGTCCCAACACATGAGGCTTTCCCTCCTACTGCTCAGTAGACGTTAACTACAGAAAGCTAGGAACTGCTGGAAAGGTAAACCAAAACAAAAGGAAACAAACAAAACTGTAAAACTTACACCAGGGAAATCAAAACTATCTGGGAGCTTTTCAAACTTAAATATTCTTATAAGCTTTTTATCACATTAAAAAAAAAAAAAAAAATATATATATATATATATATATATATATTTTTTTTTTTTTTTTTTTTTCCAAGACGGAGTCTCACTCTGTCACCCAAGCTGGAGTGCAGTGGCATGATCTCAGCTCACTACAACCTCCGCCCCCCCGGTTCAAGCGATTCTCCAGCCTCAGTCTCCCAAGTAGCTGGGACTACAGGCACCCGCCACCACGCCCGGCTAATTTTTTTTTTTTGATAAGGAGTTTTGCTCGTCGCCCAGGCTGGAGTGCAATGGTGCGATCTTGGCTCACTGCAATCTCTGCCTCCCAGGTTCAAGTGATTCTCCTGCCTCAGCCCCCCAAGTAGCTGGGATTACAGGCACCTGCCAGCACACCCAGCTAATTTTTGTATTTTTAGCAGAGGTAGGGTTTCACATTGGCCAGGCTGGTCTCGAACTCCTGACCTCAGGTGATCCGCCTGCCTTGGCCTCCCAAAGTGCTGGGATTACAGACATGAGCCACTGTGCCTGACCAAAAATAATTTAAAATTAATTTATGTGGTAAGACTTGAGTTTGACCATTGAATGAGGAAATGAGACCAGATTCTGGGATATTGCCAGAGCTATGAATTTGATGACTGAAGTCTTTCAAGTCCAGGTCTGGTTAACTGTTGGGAAGGTTGTTTTCTCAGTTAGATAAACCCAAGGAGCTTTATAAGTTCCAGGTTTGTTTTCTTGCTGAGTCTACGTAGGACTGTCTTGAATTGAACAGTTGATTTGTAAAAACTAAAAATAAAATTAACCAAATAAGGTACCTATGGAGATGTTCCGCTCTCAGAACTATTAAAGGAGTGCTTGGAAGGTGTGCTCAGGTTCCTGTTTGTATATATTTTTATTAACTCTACAACTGTTCAACCATCCAGCTAAAACCACCATGAACTCTCTCACGGTTTTTAAAAGGGCATCTTTACTATTCCCAAATTGTAGAACTAGAGAGTTAGCAACAGTAGCCCCCAAAGCAGTCACCCAGTGGTGGTGGTATCCTCTGGGCAAGCTTCTGCAGCACACGTGTCCTAGGATCAAGGAGGAGGGCATTTTCATGGGCATCATTGATGAGTCCTACTTTGCATCAGGACTATCCCAATCCTGAATGCCAAGAAACTCAAGAGAAGAAAAATATACATCGAGGCTTTCCACGGCTCTCCACTCCTACTCAGTCACAGCTACCCAAGCTTCTTATTACACAGCTGCAGCTACATGTTCTGCTTCTGTAGTATCAAAAGCTAATACCACAGGGGACCTGCATGCCAGAAGAACCCAGCCACAAACAGCTACAGGTTGTGGCCACAGGAAAGGACTCTATAGATGGAAGCATGCCTATTTCTTTCTTCATAAATTGAAAGTTTAGGCCCAGCAAGCCAATAATTTATGCAGGAGGTTATTTCACTACTGATCATTAACAAACTCTGTATTAACTTGCAAAGAAGTCTCTTTGGAGTTATGCAAGATTTGTGTTTGCTCTTTATATATCTATTTCTTATCTATATTTCAGTAGACAGGAATTGATTGTGGAGATCACATGATCAATACATTTTTGATCCTAATTATCAACGATTATTGAGAACTTGCTTTTAATTAACTGTAAGAGTTGGGATCTACAACTGATCAGGTGGAAAGTGCATGAAATATGCCACCAGTTTTTACTTTGTGTATTGGTACCACTCTTAACAGGGATTAATATGTGCCTTGTCATGGAATACAGAAGGAGAAACACATTCAAATCATATTATTTCATTATTTGTAATACAGTGGCCAACTATAAGGTTACTGCCACAAAGAAGGGCTACATACAGGTGAACTATTTGAAAAGAAAGTCACTGTTTTGGGTAGGCATCTCACTAACATTTACACTTGGGAGCCAGTCCACATGGGTTTGAGTCCCAGTTCTACCACTTACTAATCGTATGACTCATCTATAAAATGGGGATGGTAATAGTATCTGCCTCATGTGATTGTTCTGAGAGTTAAACAAGTTAATATGTGTGGCATACTTAGTGCAGCACATAGTAAACTCAAATGTGTTAGTTTGAATATTATTATTTGACTAGAACACACTGTAGTCAATTATCTGGTACAGTAACTCATTTAGGTACCTAGAGATTTTTTAATAACTAACTTATGACCAAGGTGATAGTTTAGCAATATCTGATTTCAATTTTTTCCCAAGATGAAATGAGTGCACCCAGGGCATTGACAACTCTTTTGACTGCGCTCTGCTACACGCCCACAACTGTTCGAGGAGAGATGTGTGGTCATGCCCTCAAGTATTTCCTGGCCTGTGTGGAGGCAAGGTGATCTTCTATTTATGCTCCTCTGATTTCAAAAATATGTAAGAATATGGCTGTATTCCAGGTACCGCTCAGGAAGTATTACATCATACTTACCTACCCTCAAAACTTATCAAAAGTTCTACTGGAAAAAGCATTACTTATGAAAGTTTATCTGAAGGATATACATGCCTCACAATGATAAATTAATCAAATGATAATAATAGCTCTACAAGGATTTTGTTAGGGTCATTGTCATTTCCATTAAACAGCATCCTCTCAAAATAAATCTAAGAGGAAATTTTCTTTCTGGTCTCAGTATCCAAAATGATAATAAAGGTTAATGTTTATTGAGTGCTACCAAGAACCCATCACTTTTTAGAGTATTTTATAGGTTTTAATCTGTGAAACACTTCTATGAAATTACCTTTGATTTACAGGTGAGAAAACTGAAACAGAGAGGTTACATAACTTGTCCAAATCTACAAAGGTCATAAATTGTAGAGACAGGATTGAAACGCAGGTAATCCAGCTCCAGAGAGCAGTCTCTAAACCATCACCCTATAACACCTCCTAAAAAACTTGTTCTGCTCCTGAACAGCTAGTTTCATTTTGTACCATTGGTTTTTCTGAATCATGAAATTGATTTACATTCATTGTTAGGAAGCTCAGAGCCAAATTCCTAGCCATGTAAGAGACCTTGTGACATAAATTTTATATTTCAACCTCTATCCAAACTCCTTTCTTTCATATTTACATTTTTTCTTTGTCCTATTATCCTGACTCCACTTACAAAAATAATCCCAGGGGGTAGGGTGGTGTGGGGGATGAATAGGCAGAGCATGGAGGATTTTTAGAGCAGTGAAATACTGTATGTGATACTATAATGGTAGATACATGTCAGTATACACACATCCAAACCCGCAGAATGTACAAAGCAACAATGAATCCTAATGTAAACTATGAACTCTGAGTGACTATGATGTGTCAGTGTAGGTTCATCAATTGTAACAAATGTTCCATTCTGACCAGGGATGTTGATAACAGGGGAGGCCATGCGTGTGTGGGAGCAGGGGGCATATGGGAAACATCTGTACCTTCCCCTCAATTTTGCTGTGAACATAAAGCTGCTCTAAAAACATAAAGTCTTAAATAATAATACTACCTGCCTGATAGCAAAACCTGTCAAAAGTGGTAGGGAAAGGAACATTACAAACCAGTCTTACTCATGAACATAGATGCAAAAATATTTTTTAACTGGCAAACTGATTTAAGCAATGTATTTTTAAAATATTATATTTAGTTTGAATATCTCAAAAATGCAAGGATGATTTAGCATTACAAAATATGCGAATAATGTAACTCATCATATTAACAAATGATAAATCTATAATCACCTGAATTCCAGAGAAAAAACTATATGATAAAATACAGAACCCATTCATGACTTAAAAAAAAAAAAACAAATCTTCTTTTTTTTATCTTTTTTTTTATATACTTTAAGTTTTAGGGTACATGTGCACAACATGCAGGTTTGTTACACGTTTACATGTGCCATGTTGGTGTGCTGCACCCATTAACTCGTCATTTACATTAGGTATATCTCCAAATGCTTTCCCTACCCCCTACCCCCACCCCACAACAGGCCCCAGTGTGTGATGTTCCCCTTCCTGTGTCCAAGTGTTCTCATTGTTCAATTCCCACCTATGAGTGAGAACATGCGGTGCTTGTTTAAAAAAAACAAATCTTAACAAACTTGAAATAGAAGGGAACTTTTCTAACTAATAAAAATAATTAAAGATAAACCTATAGCAAACAACATGTCCCAAACACATATGGATGTTTGATGTCTGGCATAGTTAGTTAACCCTGTAAATCAGTTAAGAAAAAAAAAGCTGACTTTTCAGTAAATAGTGCTGGGGCAATTATCCATAGGGAAAAATATAAAACTGGACTCCTACCACAAACAAATATCAACTCCAGGATTAAAGTTCCAAAAGCAAATGGCAAAACATAAAACTTTCAGAAGAAAATATACACAAATAGCTTAATTACCCATGGATAGGAAAGCAGATTATAAATAAGATGAAAAGTATAAACCACAAAGTAAAATATCAACAGATTTGAGTGAATTAAAATTAAGAAAATCTGTTTATAAAAGATCACATCAAGGAGAAAAGTCACAAAATTGGAAAAATTATCAGCAACTCATATACAGGATGAAAATCAAAACCACAATATATCAATAACTTGTATAATTCAATTTTTAAAAAAAGTAAACAACTCAGAAAACAGCCTTGAATAGACACTTTCACAAAAGAGGAAGCCTGAATGACCAATAGGATGCTCAATTTCTTTAGTAATCAAGGAAATGCAAATTAAACCACAGTTGGTTACAATTTTATAGCCAAGATGGACAAAATATTCTGAAGTCATTAAATGTAAATTTTTAAAATAACAAGCCTGGGTGAGGATGCAAAGCTAAAGGATTCCTCACCCACTGAACGTAAGAGCTAAATTGGGAACAGTCACTTTGGAAAATAGTTAGGAATTCCCCAGTGTAGAAAGGCAGTAAAATCAAACACCACAAGATCATGATGTAAAGGCACAGAATTGGCTTTGGTGAGGAAACAGAGGGTCAGCAAAACGGGCATGGTTCATGGTTAGCTCAGTCTCCCGCCTAAAAGTGTGAGAGCCAGGGTACTACTGTACATACCAGGGGGCTCTACTCCAGAGGCAGGACCCCATGAGAATGGCTTGACCAGTGGGTAGGGAGGGAGGGGAGTTGATTGGTGTAAGCAGTCTGGATTTAGATGCCAACTATTCAGAGTTGTCTGGCAACACCACTGCTAGCATCCTGTGACCTCGTGTGAAACTGGGTGGGGAAAGGGGTAGTTCCTAAGCCCAGCTCTCTTGGTGCTTGGCAACCTGAGCCCCCCGAGCATTTATCAGACAATCATATTTGCCTCTTCACAACTTGTAAAGTTGACCACGTGCTGTATAGCCCAGCAATCATTCCTAAGATTGATTATACCCTAGATTATACCCTAGATTATCTCTCATAAATGTATAATATTGTATAGGTACAATAATAGCTGTATTGCATGTAATAGCAAAAACTGGAAACAACTCCAAACATCTATCAATAGACTGGATAAATAAATTATGGTATTTTCAAATATTCAAATACTGTAGAATAGAGAAAATGGATAAAGTTTAGTTATATGCACCAATATTTTAAAATCTCAACATAATATTAAGAATAAGAAGTGAATCACAGAAATTTTTAAAAAGGCAAAAGTGAAATTATTATTTTGAGCTATACTTACAAGTGGTGAGATTATAAAGAAAAGCAATGAAATTATCACAAGGTGATAATTTTAATATTATTGCATATGTATTAGAGATTTGGCAGGAGGGTAGTAGTGAGATGTGATTGCAGAACGGCCCAAAGAGCACTTCTAAAATACTATCAGTGTTCTTTATCTTAACCTGAGTGCTGGATCCACAAGTATTTGCTTCATTAGTCTTCTTTTGACAGTATATATACGTTTTTTACACTCTTCTGTTAATTATTTCACAATTTTATAAAAAGCAGAGAAAAGACATTATGAGAATATGGAAAACAAAGATAAATCTTTGAACAGACTTCAATTCTTATCCTTGGGATAAATTTCTAGGAATATCATTGTTAAGTCAAAAGGCATGAATACTTTTAAAGAGTCAGCATTGATACACACCTGAGCAGTCCCCCTTATTTTTAGTTTTACTATGTATCCATGTATATACATTGCCTCACTCTTTTCTGAAACAAGGTGAAGGCTATATAAACCAATAGTAAGGTAAGGAAGTGGTACGAGATGTGGGTTGCAGAGCTATGTTGCATGTGTGGTGTTTCTCCCCAATGAGAACTTCAGTTACATTCCCTTGCAAGGCTGCAAATGTGATGGGTGTGTTATTCCAGGATCACAGAGCCTTCTCCACAAACCAAAGAAAGAGACCAGGAAGTCTTCTCACTTTCAGCCTGAAAATACCCTTCCAGGTTCTCCTGCCTGTCCATAGACAAAGGCCTTCTCGGGCCATCTAATATCAGCTTTCCTATCTACCTGAAACTCACTGCAGCCTTTTCCTCTGTATGCGTGAGATTTATTATCAGCTCATTTTGATGGAAATGCAGTGACTTCAAAACCGCTGATAGCTATCAGCAAAGAGCTGACAGCTCCTAACATAAACATCCTAAGAGATACTTCCTTTTTTCAGGTGCTTTGCAGGGTATGGAAATAAATATCGTTGACTGGGCACAGAGAGAAAAATAAAAAAAAAAAAAACTCTACTTGCTGCAAAGACCTCAGGAAAAGCAGAAGCCGGTGCAGTGCCTGTGTCCTCAGCCTAGTGTTGTCCCAGAGACAGCCCTGCCCTACAGCCCAGTTCAGTCACAGCCCTGCAGACACCTACCATTGCACTCTCCTCCTATCTCTAGCAGAGCCCTTCCCAGCACAAGGCAAATACTTGTCTCTATGCCTGTCTCCCTCTTTCCCCATTCGGCTGTGCCTTGAACATCTTTGATGCTCAGCACCCAACGTGATGACTGGTACTTAGAATCTACCGTTCAAAAAAGCCTCCCTCAAAGATTAGTAGCACCCTACTCTTTCCACCCAAAGGAAAACATGGGTCCAGACTGACAAAGACACACGTCCAAAGCCACAGAGAGTGTGGTAGAGGCAGAACCATTAGTCTTCTGAATCCCATTCCTATTTACTGCGAGGAATAAAAGTTTCAGTAACAGCTATATTGTATACCAGTTCCTGGCCTCCTCAAGTCTGCATCTCTGCCCTGGCAGAAACAAAATGAGCTAATTAAATGCTTGCCACTGGCTTATTTTGGAAACTTCATGGACTGTGTGAAAGCCCGAATAAATTTCAGGCCACTATTGATTACTTCAAATGCAGAGGAAATCATCCAAGCATGGGAAGAAGGTGAGGAAGCTAAACCCGTGGCTGAGGGTTATTAATATTGTAATGCTTTTGCTTATTGGTGCAGAAAAGCAACTCTTGGCTATATAAGGGACTAAAGCTTTAAGGCTATAATGGAGGAGAGTAAATAGAATCCTTCAAGGTTGAAGAAGAGTCCAACCAAATACTCGACCTAATTGCTTTGGAATAACCAAGATCACCCTGCTTACTGCGGGAGAAAGAAAATCAATAGATTGCATTTAGAGGGAACTAAAAGCACAATTGGGTCATCCTCTGTGTGGCTGGTAGAGAATGGTACCTTGGCACTGATCCCCAGAGGGTGGCAATTAAGTGAAAAACAGTCCATGCTGCCTAACGTAACCCAGCAGCTTTTAAATATAAAATAGTTCACTGCAAATGTAAAGGTTTCCAGAGAATCTGCAGAAACACCCATCCTTGAGAGGCTTTCATAAGGCAAGCGAAGCCTTGCTCATCCTTCTCTCCAGCACATATGCTAGTAAGATGGGATTTCATCCACTGGAAAAACTGATCAGGTTCTGAATAATAGCATTAGTCTCAATCACAGAGATCCGGGGGATCCAAATTAAATCTCTCCTATTTCTCATGAAGACCTTTTAGACTTTCAGTCCAGAGTTTTGCATGCCCAACTTTTGAACTTTCCTATCCCAAATTAACCAACATCATCCATCACATAGGAAAACTTCTTCAGAGAACATAGGATGCTTTGAAAAAATAGATGCTACTGTTCAACAGTTGGCACAGGACTGACCCTAACGAACAAGACTTAGACATACCTAGCCTCAAGTCGTGACCATTCCAACCCATCACCTCTTTGTATTCACCTTTTAGTGATAAATTTTAGGTAGGAAGTAACTGACATTTGTGAGTTCAAGCGAGGATTCAAATGGACACATAAACAAGGCGTATTATTTGTTTCAAAGTAAGTTATGTATCAAACTATTTCTAATACCATGTCAAACTACATAATTCTAAAAACACCTTAAAATTAAGTAAAGTAAACCTTTTTTGCAATATAGATTTGGGGGCCAGGAATAATTCATTCTCTGTAAGCAAAACAGGTTTTGTCCCTTTTACACAATTGTCATTTTCTGGGGAGAGGGTACAGTTGGATTCATGGGTTATTCTAAAGTCAGCTACAGCATGGCCCATCCTTCCCTGTGACTCTTCCACCCAGTCCATTGCTTGTCAGACCCAAAACCCCTGCCCTGCAAACTGTTGGATCCTCCTGCTCCTCGTCCTCCTTTGGCTGTGGCCACAGCCTCCTCTGGGCTCTGTCTCTGGTGCACTTGCTCCACCTGAAGCCTTGCACTGTGCTACCACTATCCCGTGTTTCACGTCCTTTGTAGCTCTTCACTGCCTAGGGAAAAAGCCCAAGCTCTTCAGCAGAATCATCATGACCCCTCTCAAAAGTCCCAGGCTGCCTTCCAGCCTCACCTCTCTACCCTCCAGCATCCTGTGCTCTGGTCTAGCCAGAGTCCCCCTTTCTCAAATAGGCCTGGTATTCATGCCTCTACCTTCTTTGTACAATACTCTGCCTAAAATAATTTTTCTTGCTCCCTGGCCACGAAAACTTCTACTTATTCATCTACATGTAGTTCCCCACTACTTCTTAAAGCTTCCCCCTCTCCCCTCAGGCAGAATTA
This sequence comes from Homo sapiens, assembly GCF_000001405.40. Taxonomy (NCBI): domain Eukaryota; kingdom Metazoa; phylum Chordata; class Mammalia; order Primates; family Hominidae; genus Homo; species Homo sapiens. Next base: position 34,168,489 of record NC_000014.9, read on the forward strand.
TCTACCCTCTTCTGCACTTCCATTGCTTTCTGAAACAGTATTGGTTACATATTTATCACCCTGTGAACACCACCAGCTCCTCGTGGGCAGGGCCCTTGCTGAGCTTAATCTGTGTGTCCTCTGTGTTCCCCTCTGTGCCAGCACATAGAAGCTATACTACATCTTTGCTGAAAGAATTGATTCTATTGGATTGATTTCCAGAGAAATGGTATTGTTCCCAAGAGTAGAGGTTGGGACTCTCACCTCTATCAAATACTTTACCAATAGTGACAGCTCAGTGAGGTACGAGGCAACACCGACACCCACTTATTTTACAAGGCCGTTTATTTGATCACCAGGTTTCGTGTGTAATGCTGATACTGCTGTGTCGACAATATGACATCTTCTTGTTGTCACACACGTTTTACAAGGGATGCTTCTTTGCATCTCTATCAGAGTTCATGAGATGAAGACTGTGTGGGCATGCTGGCTTGCCTGCTGACGGGCACAAACTAAGCACCTAGGAAGGGATTGCTGAATTATAATTGTTTGTCCGATTTTTAAAAGAGTATGTGGGGATATTTCTCCTCTCATAACTCCCTTCTTTGGTCTTGGGTCTAGTTAAACACTTAGTTCTATATTCCACTTTCAACTCCAAGACATGACATACTCACCCTCACTAGGCCACGCCTTTTCTTATGATCTTGACTCATTTACTCATTTCAAATACTGTTAAATTTTTAAACATTATTTTATATACATTCACATGGCACAAAACTTGAAAGGAATTATACATATATTAAACATAATAAATCACCTGGTGAAAAATTCTAAAGAACAAAGATTATAAGGGAAAATTCTTATCACTCACCCCTCTCCTTCCTTGAAGGCAATCAACATTGCCTGCTTCTTCTGTGATCTTCCAGGGAGAATCTATGCATAACAAGCATATACACTTCCTTCCATTTTACACAATTGCTAACATATTATACACACTATTCTGCAATTGCTCTTTTCACTTACTTTCTCCTGGGGCTTGTTTTGTATCTGTCCATTAAGAGTGTCCTCGTTCATTTTTTATAGAGGCTCAGTCTTCCACTATGGCTTCAAATCACTCCTCCAAGAAAGGCAAGTGTCGTGCCCAGGCCCTGACACGTTCAGGCTGCCTCCTGGTAGCTGCTGTAAGACAAATGTCATGGGTTAAACAGGAAGCATAGTTCCCTTGAAAAGGAGCACTGCCCCGTGGGCATGTGGCACATATATGGACTGAAACCATACTTTGGCCTTTGCTGTACCACATCTAGCTGCATTATTTGGCCCACAAGATTTTCTGAAAGTAGAAAAGTATACTTGTGACTCCAGTGCATGAATAGGGCACTTTATTCTGAGTAGAGCCTTTGGTTAATGCCTCAAGATAAACATATGATTGGCTAAGGATATGCTCAGCAAGTCTCTTAACTTAGTTTTGGCAGATCCAAGGAATTTATTATTGGTGAGATATAATTGTTCAGCTTATAGTATTTGTACCAATTAGGCATTATTTATACTATAAAATAAATATTATGACTAGAGTTTCAAATTCACCTCCATCATAACCCTTAAATGTTTTTTATTGGAATAAGAACCAATAGGACCCTGACAGATATATTTTTGGATCTCTCTCTCTCTCTCTTTTGCTCTCTCTCTCTCCCCCTCTCTCTGTGTTGTATAAATAGCAGCCATCAACTACTAGCCACATGTAATCTGGGTTTTTGAAATGTGGCTAGTGCCATTTGAGGTGTGCTGTAACTGTAAAATATATACCAGATTTTGAAGACAACATAAAATATACATTATTTCATTAATAATTTTATACTGATTATGTATTAAAATATTTTTGATATATTGAGTTAAACATTTTAAAAATTCCTTTTACCTGTGTCTTTTTCTTTTTCAATGGGGCTATTAGAAAACTTAAAATTACATTTATATCTCCATTGGAGAGTCTTAGTCTATACCATGCATTTATTTCCTGCTTAATAAGAAGGCAGACTAGAATGATAAAAGTACTTTCTGCAGGGCCGGGCGAGGTGGCTCACACCTGTAATCCCAGCACTTTGGGAGGCTGAGGTGGGTGGATCACCTAAGGTGGGGAGTTCGAGACCAGCCAGACCAACATGGAGAAACCCTGTCTCTATTAAAAATATAAAATCAGCCAGGCATGGTGGCGCGTGCCTGTAATCCCAGCTACTCAGGAGGCTGAGGCAGGAGAATTGCTTGAACCTGGGAGGCAGAGGTTGCAGTGAGCCAAGATTGCACCATTGCACCCCAGCCTGGGCAACAAGAGAGAAACTCCATCTCAAAAAAAAAAAAAAAAAAAAAAAAGTACTTTCTGTTTTAGCTTCTAGAATCCACTTCTTACCTTTCCTTTTGTTAACAGATTTTAAGAATTTTAAAATGTACAATTCCAATATGATTATCAAAAGGTAACAAACAGAAGAAACCAAAAAAATGTATTTTGAAAGAACAGTTGGTTTTGTAGATTAGGAATTTCAGAAGCATCAAGGAAGACATCACATTCACCAGCAAGTTACATTTGGAAATGCTTGGAGGGGCTCCTAACTCACTGGGAACAGGTTAATGGAGCGTGACTGGAAGGAGCAGTAACTGAAAAGACAGTTCCTGACTTCCCCAGATCTAAGGCCTTAGAATGATGATACTCCTCTCCAGACATCCTTTGATGCTCTCTTCATCCAGTTTTCCTTTTTCTCTTGCTGATTTCAACTTGAAAACTCAAAAGCAGAGTGTTAACCATACTCAGGTAAAAATCTCTAGGATCTCATACTTCCAATTTAAAATAAAGTCATCTTTGCAGGCTTCCTTTTTGTAAAAAATATGAATTGCCAGATCTCTATTTTCATTATCAAAATACAAATATTTTTCCAGATTCTATCATAAGAAGAACATTGTGCTGGGTACAAAGAATAAGAATGTACAAGACACAAATGTATGTAGAGGCATACAGTCTAATGGGGACATACAAAGCAACCCTTCTCTCCCTCTCTCCTTTTTCTCAGTCTCTCTTACTTCCCTTTGCTTATGTAATCATTTCTTCCCCATCTGAAAAGGAATACTTTGTTGTGAACTGTCTGGCCTCCTGGAGTAGCTCATGAGACTCGCTAACCACCATTATATACGTAAATGACTCTCTACCAGTGCCCATCCCGGAGCCCACTTGCACAAGTTGCCCACGTGAGAGGCAGCTCAGTCCCAAGTTGCCTGCTGTCTGGAGCATCAGCCATTGTGCGTCGGTTTGGGGTTCACTTAAGATCACCATTGGTATTCTCTGTCCACAGCATCTGATTACATATAGCAGGCTTCTCCTGATCAGAAGTGACACAGGACTTTCTCTAGACAGTTCAGCTGCTCTTGCTGGGGAAACTTCTTCCCTCCCAAAGTGCATTTTATTTACATAATGAGACGTATATCTTGAGTCAGGCCATTTGACCCTTACCCTGCGAATTTCAGCAAAACCCAGATAGCCAGTTTTGCATGGTGTAAAAACAGAGAAAAATTTAAACTGCATTTGTATAGATTGTTGAGGGATTTTTTTTTCTCTCCACAGGGCTGGACAATCAAGGGAATATGGAAGGAAGATTGTTGTCTGATAATATATTTTCTCTTTTCAAAGCCACATTCCAACATTTGACATATTTTTCTATTTTTTCTCCTTGGCTAGATCTAGTTTGTTAAGTTTCTTGGCTCATATCCCTCCTTGACTTTCATTTACTCCACGTTCTTTTCTCTGTGTTAATGGTTAACAGAGCATGTACTGTAAATTAGCATTTATAAAAATCAATTACACTGCTTCATAAGACAGAGCAGAAACTTAGATTGTCTTCACCAGATCATTTGTATTTATCTGTTAATTATAAACCTTAATTGTCTCTTTTTATCATATTAATTTGCACAAATTGTACAACTTCAGAGTTTAGCAGTTTTTAAGCCCTTGAAATACAATTATTCTCTTAACATTCTTTTCAGAAACATAGTATTCATTAATGATTAGGTTGGTAAAAATTAGCAGTTCTGATCATTGGCCTTGGCTTCTCCTTGGATTTTTTTTTTTTTCTTTCCCCACTAAAGTCCTGGTTCTCACAATTACACATGTCTGTTGGCCTCTTCCGGTGCCTGAGCTCTGTTTTAATTGGACTTCATCGCCCCTGAGACTTCACAGGATTTTGGCTCACAGTAAAATGCAGATCTATGCCAGTGAACTGATTCCAAGCAGGTTTGACTCTTTTCCCCTCTCCCCAGCAGAACTTGGACTTTTGTTCCATGGGGTTAGTCTACTTGCCCTGAACCTTGGTATAAAAAGACTTCTATGTGAAGTGAGGAAAAAGACTTTCCAATTTCCAGTCCCACTTGTGAGAGAGTTTTAGGCTCTTATACTCGGTGCAAGCATGAGGAAGGGGGGCTCTCTAGACACTCCCCAACCCACTCTCAGCTATGGCTTTGTTTCCACTCAGTGTGCCAGCCACTTAGAAGGACTCATATGTCACACAGCATGTTTGCAAAGACCAAAACAAGCTTTCTTCTTTCAAAAGGATGTACAAATCTGGGTTGTTAAGCAAGTAATCCAGACTGAAGGACACTGCATCCTGACCACCCTGGAACCAGGTGGCTTCCTGCCCGGGGCTCTGTGGACACCTTCCAGAGGACTTGCATCCAGCTCTGATGACACTGACAGACAATCTGCATGCTCTGTCGCCAGAGGCTGAAGAGCTCAGGAGCAATGAGGTTGAAGACACCCCTTGTACCCCGGTGCCCCACATAAGAGAGCAAACTACCAAGAGGGGAATTTCTAAGGTCAATGTCAACCATCTTCATACCACCTTTCCAGCCCCAATTTCCACACCATCCCTATCCTGCAATCCCCGTTTGGGAGCAAATGTCTGATACAGCTAGCATTCTTTGAATTCTCTGACTGGGTATCTGGAAATGCTTAGCTTGCTGTGGTTGTGTCCCTTCAGAAGAAATAGTTCAGCAGTTAGGCCAAATTTTCTCATGTATTACCTCAGATGGGACCCTAGTCAGGTGCAAGTCGAGTCCTGAAGTCTGTGAGCTAGAGTGTTCCAGGGATTTTTTTCATTTCATTGGTGGGGCTGCTGTGGGAAGGCGGGCTGGCCAGAAGGGACACAAGAGAACAGGTCTCTCATGTACTGGAATATGGGATCATTTGCTCTATCACTACAGCAACTCTATGATACTCTTCAGATCAAGTTACTTCTATGAAAAGGTGTATTTTTCCATATACAAAGCACTTGCCAGCCAGATCTGTGAACGTTCTCCCGATGGCCTGGTTTCCCCCAGTGCTGGCTTGTACCAGCTCATGCCACAGAAATATGGTCACGTTACCGCCCAACGATCTCTCCCCATCCCATAGTTTCCAACCACTGGGGCATTTCAGCCTCTTATGCCAGTGTCTGGCCACATGGATGGAATCTTCTGACAAAATAGGAAGCTATTCCTGGGGATTGACAAATGTTGGCTGAACATAGCCATTTATTCAGCTCCATGGCTCTAAACCATCACTTCTGTGAACTGGAAGACAGGACTGCTACCATTTCCTGGACTGGGTTGACAAGCAAAGGCCAAAGGGGTGAGAATGCACCTCCATGGACAGCAGCTTGGGGTATGGATGGGAGATTGACGTGGAGCTCCGCATAGCAAAGAGCCCTTTGTGTGGCAATCTCTCTGCAGGAAAAGCACTGGGTATTCTCGGCTGTCTCAGGCTAACTGTGATAGTCTTTGCCTGCTATTTTTGCTTCTCAAGACCCAGTGTGAATCAACAAATGTGCCAGCCATGCAGATCTACCCCTGCAGCTACCCTTAGATAGGGACCTTGATGCAGTGTGCAACCTGTGCAACTACATGCACTAGCTCTATTAAAGAGATAACCAGAAATAATGATAATAGTGGCTAATGAGTTCTTTACTTGGTATGGGTACTGGGCCAAGAGCATCATGTATATTATCTCATCTAATCCTCACATCAACCCAAAGTACTATTCTTACCCTATTTAGATTTTGTGGGACTAAGCAATCTGCCCAGACTAGAAGCTACTATGTGACAGGGCCAAGATTCCAGTGCAGGATGGTCTTATTCCAGAATCTGAGCTCTTGACCACTATGCCGTATAGAGGTAGAAACATAGAAACCTGTGTAACTTTGGATGTCTATTGAAATAAATGGTACTCTCTTAGGGCAGGTTGCCTTGATGCAGGGGCTTGAGAAAGGGGTTTGGTTGCCTGTGATCTGTTGAGGGCAGGTTCTTCAGGAGAATCCTGTAGGCTAGCGGGAGAAGCAGGACAGTTTGGAAAGGGAAGATGCTGAGTAGGAATGTAGCCTCAGGTAACATCCAGCATGACCTGGTCCAGTGTGGGTCTGGAGCATCAATCATCCAGCAGCCTTGCCCCACCTTGCAGCAAAGGGGCCAGACTCTTAGACTCCCCCGCATAAGTCATTCAGTCATGGGCCATAGGGGTTGAGCAGTGGAAGTTCCTACATATCTCCCAGTGAGGTGACTCCCAAGAAGGTAACAGACATTAAGCCAAGCCGTTGGCTCTAGCACTTGCAGCAGCTGGAGACCAGGTGCAGCAGCAGGTAAAGGGGATCTAGGTGTGGTGTCAATAGCATCGATTACAAGCACCCAGTACTTTTTGGCAAACTGCCAGCAAATGAGGCCTCTGTGATTATTTTAGGGCACAATTCCACTTGATTTAAAAGTAGAATTTCATCCATCACAGTCCAACTACCATCAAATTTAGGGCAGATATAATGTGCTTGTCACTCTCTAAGAAGACAGAACACCAACACGCTGATCAGAAACCATCATTCTGCTATTCAAAAATCTGCCAGGCTCCCACTGCCTCCTCCAAACTACCAAGAGAGAAATTACCAAGGTCAGTGTCAACAGTCTTCAAACCACCTTTCCAGCCCCAATTTCCACACCATCCCTTCAGACACCCTATTCTGCAATCCCCATTTGGAGAATTCTATCCATTCAATCATGAACTTCCTCACTCCCATGCTTATATTCATGCTATTGCCTGAATTTGGAATGCCCTCTTTCATCTCTTCTCTGACTACCGAAATCTTAGTGAAGGCTCTTTTGTTGTAAGAAATAGAAACTCACTCTAGCTTAAGTAAAGTGAGACTTATATAAGGAATCGGCATCTCTCAGGAAGAATGGGAAGGCCTTCACAAAGGAAATGCAAACAGGAACTGAGAGTCAGTGCTCCCTGACCTGTGGCACTTTAGTTATAGCACAAAATTTTGAATGTGGCTTCTCAGTTAAGACTTACCTCTTTATTGCACCCCTCACACAGGAAGGAGGCCTCAACAGCCATGTGCAGGCTCTATCACCCTGTTCTTACTTCAGGGCCACAGTTATTAGATCAGGAAGAGATACCTGATATATCTGGGGCAATTAGAATTTAGAAGTAAGACTAAAAGTTAGATCCTGGTTCAGTCTGGCCTACTGTATCAAGAGAAATATAAACCTGGAAAATAATGGGGTGACCCATCTTGTACCTACAAGGTGAACCAACTAGTAGAGAAAACCAATCTGCAAGCAGGAGAGAATAAAGCCAGAATGTGGTGAGAACTGGCCAGGTCCTGACAGCTTTTCAGTTTCTTGTTGCAATCTCTTCCGGATTCAGGCAGTTCCAGTCTCTGCCCTTAGGTTCTGTGATATTCTTATACCCTGGATCCTCATAATAAAGGCTTCTTTTCAGGTTAACAAGCTCAAAGTGAATTTGGGAACTTACAAGCAAAGATTTCTCAACAATACCTGCATCTCTCTGTGTCTGTTTCAGTCTTCTCTTCCCTTGTTTTCACTTCCTATCTCTTCCTTCACAGCCATTCTCCTCTCTCTCCCCATCTCTCTCCTGTCTTCCCCCACCCCACCCCAACCTCTGACTCCCTCATCCCAGCATTGCTTCACTTATCTGCTCCCAAAACCCAAACATGGCTACAGCAGCCTCCTTAATATCTTACCATCAACAAAGCCACCATTCAGCAGCCTAGCATCCTTAGTTCTCAATTCTAAATTCCTAGGAAAATTTAATGACCCAGCCATTGTGTCATTTCCCCTAAGACCTCTGGATCTGACCAATTAGATCCAGAATCCCATATAAACACAGGTGCAGAGTCCACAGCCACTATGGGGAGGCATGAACTAAACATCCTAAATACCAGTATGCCCCAGTGAGGACTTCTATATCTCCCAGTCAGATTTTATTACTACTCCCTGTATATTTCCATCATATCTTGCTTGTATTTCTAATGACCTTGTCATTTTCCATTGTATTAAATCTTATATATTTATTTGATGTTCCTACATCAAAACCTTCTTGGGGATATGGTGGGCATACTGTAAGCACTAAAACATTAACTTGAATTGAATCTAATTTGTGTACATGAATGGGATGTGTCACATCTGCAGTCTGATTTTTGATAGGTGGTTCAAAAGACGATATATACTTTGGGATGGGGAGCCTTTCCGAAATAATTTTTCTTCTATATTTCCAATTATTCTGTCCTCTCTGATCCACAGAACTTTACATATATTTATTAAACACTCATCATGCTGAGTAAGTACCGAATGCCTCAACTGAACTATGAGGTCTCTGAGGCCATATTTTGTTTGTTTGTTTGTTAATCTTTCAATCCTTAACCTAGTACAAGCCTGACACACAGAAAATGTGTACTGAATATTGTTTGTTGAATTGGGTTGAATCCCAACCCATGTGACATTTGGGCTGAGGACATCTCACTTTCTGGCCATCATTTACCTGGCCTTCTGAGTCCTTTTTGAGGGTGAGTACGGTAAAGCTTTTCTTAGAAGCCAGTTTTGGCTAGACTACAACCTTCCTTCTCTGGAAGGACGCTCTTTGTTTTATTACAATAGAAGAGCATGATAAATAATGTTTCCCATAAGAAACATGCTTCCTCTTTTTGACAATTTTGACAGCCTATTGTTTAAGCCTGAAAAAGTAGTCCAGAAATAATTTACAGAGGAAACCTGGCTCAGGTGTCTTCCCCAGATGCTACTGGTATCTTGAGACCATCCAGAGAGGTAATTTACACACACATATGCATGCACGACAGAATTTAAGTGGGTTTTGTGTTTCCGAGGGTGTCCAAACACTAACATTTGCCATCTGGTCTGCTCAGATGGCTGCTTCTGGTGTCTGCCCCAATGTCTGGGTTTACTTGCTTTATTCTTCAAACATTTACAAAACTTAAGCACTGCACTAGGCACAAAGGATGCAAAGATGGAATGTGGCACTCTCCACTTTCAAAAAGTAAGTCACAGACCATGAAAAAATAATTGCATGAGGATGCAATAAAGTAAAACTACCACACGCTAAAGTGAATCTTACAACACAATTCATTCAATGAGAGTGCAGGAGAAGGATCCATTAAGTCTGCCTGGGCAAGGCAAGGAAGAGTTCAAATTGGAGACAACTCGAGATCATCCACAGAGTAAAATGATCAGAAGACAAAGGAAAGAATCCAAGGGAACACTAATATTAAAGGATAAATGAAGAGGAGTCTATGGGGGAGACTGGGGAGAAGCAATCAAAAAGGTAGGAGGAGAAATGAGAGAGAGTAAGGCCAAGCAATGTAAAGGAAAGAGAAAAAACACATTAAGTTCAACAGTATTGAAAAGCCACCTAAAACAAGCACACACAGGGACCATGTGATTCAGCATTCTAGAAGTCATGCTGATCTCTAAATACCTGGTCTGTTAAGTATCTGCATAGAAACTTGCTAAAAGCATCTAAAATCTTGCTTCAAAGCATGGTCCAGAAGCATCTGCATCATTTGGGCACTTGTTAGAAATTCAGAATCCCAGACCCATCCAGGAGATTCATGTGCAGGTTAAAATGTGTGAAGCAACCACATCCTTCCTTAGAAAAGTGGCAGTTTGGGATGAATGATCAGATTGATGACCTGCAAAGAACTGGTTTCATAAGGACTCAAATTAAAAAATCAACGCGACAGTTTTACGTAACAAAAAGTAATATGTACAGAGCATTCTTATCCCTAACCTTGATTTAAACATCGTGAATCATGTGTAAGATATTATTACTACCATTTTACTAACCATGTAAAAGGAGCTTGAAGAGGTTAAGTGCCTTGTCAATGACTACAGGGATAATAAATGGCAGAGCCTGGCCTTGAACCTAGATCTTCAGATTTACTTGTAAGGAGGAGGGTTCTGTTCACTGGAAGGAGCAAGAATGTTTCTTTCAGGGTCTGAATGAAATATCAGCTAAGACAATTCAATTTTCTTTGCTCTCATTCTGGGCTTGTCAAGTAGGCTGCTGATGACTGATCTATCTGACTTCCTTTGAGTTTTAATTTTGAGATGGAATGCCCTGGAACAAAGAGAAATGACAATGAAAAAGACAAAATTTTACAAATTAATAAACTGACATTTTTGTTCATAGTTTTTTTTTTCCCTGAGTTGGCAGATGGACAGATTTTTCCAAGCTGAGTTCCTGAATTGTCAAAACTCAGAGTCTGCCATAACTCATGCGGGCTTCACAGTGAGCCACGATACTGTGAAGGGTTGGGAATCACAATGTCTAAAGAAGTTGGGTCTGATTTGGGCCAACAGTATTACCCAAGAGACTTAATCTGGCAGGTAAGGTGTGACAGCAGATGCTTCTGGGTTGATACAATCATTTCTTCTGATCAGTCATGTGGACAAATCATGGTTTAATGGAGGCCTGTTTAGTTTGAAAGAGTACTTGGCCAATGGTAGCAACCCCTTCTTCTTGGGAAAGGAGTTGACAAGAGTTAGGCAGGGCTCTAATGAAGTACTCCTGGGTTTAGGGGAGGGGAACAGCCCTTAATGAGAAGTGCAATAAATTTTTAAAAATCAAGAAAAACACCCAGCAACATATCATGAAATTTAAGGGCATGGATTTTGGGAATATGTAGACCTGGTTTCAGGTCCCAGCACTTGTACTCACTGTGTGGCCTTGGGCAAATCATTTCATTTCTCTAAGCTTCAACTGTAAGACGGGATTAATAGGAATAACTACTTCACAAAGTTGTTGCAAAGATTAAGTGACAAAAAATTACATAAAACAGTTAACATAATGGTTTAACTCACAGGAAACATTCTAAATTAGAAGGTATTATTATCATCATCATTATCTAGTCTGGGGATTCCCAATGGAGTTAAGGTAAAGGCTTTGGTGGGTGGACCGATGGGTGCCAGGGATATGCCCAGGCAGACCAGAAATGAGCAGACAAGCAGAAGACTTCACCTGCTACTGAAAATGAGGCTTTGGAAATATTACCAGGCCTGGTCTGGGCTGAACCAGCACATAGAAGGCTTTAAGTACTGCACCTGCTAAAGCCCCAAAGGCTGGACACAAACAGGTTTCTAGACAGGAAATTTACTCCTGAGGCCCAGCTTTGGCTGCTAGCCAGTCAGCTCTTTTCTCTTTGTAACAATGATAAAAGCTTTGATAAAGAAATGCCTTAAAACTGTTGACTACAATTATTTATGTCATTCCAGTCAGCCTTGTCTTTCTCAATCTTTGTCCCACCTCACCTCTCCCCTAATCTGAAAAAATACTGGAGAGTTTATTGGAAATGTCTTATAATTTATTCTGCGATGGGATGATTTCCCTAGAATATAAACAAAGGGAAAGGCCTTTAGGTGACTTAAATCAAGCTGGTAGGGGACAGGATATAAATATTCCCTCTAGCCCTTGGGCAAATTAGAGAAGTAGATGATCTCCCAGGATTTCCTCTGATGAGATTAATACCCAAGATTTCCTGGTGGGCTTTGTTATAATTTTGGAGGTAAAAAAAAATAAATAAACTATTTTCAGGGCTCCCAAGAGAGACCCATTGCAACCCAAGACTGCTAGTTAACTACCTGCTGGGACCAGGCAAATAAAACCTCCATATTACATTACTTGATCTGGCTGGCCGAAGCTGAATTCTACAGACCTGTCACCTGTCCTCCAGGCCCCAGGTCTGCACTCTCATTCTGCCGACCACAGAAGTGCAAATAGCTCTTAGTCAACAGGGAAATGATGAACTCTTCTTCTTGTTTTTATCTTCACTCTGTAGTATACAGACTATCCTGTTGCAGCAGAATTATTCTGCCCTTCCCCTTTTTCTAGGGGCAAAGTTTAGCCTTAGGCACCAGCTTTTCAGTCCCTTCCTTTTTACTTTAGGGACTTTTTGGTGAAATGCGAGAACTCAGAGGTCAAAACTATTAACATTGTCAAGGATGCCTTTTCCAGCCTGAGAGCTGGGGCCATAGCTTCTTAACAGGGTTCAGCAAACGGTGGCAAGAGAGTCTGCTGCTACCTGACCTCTGTTCCTCCAGCTCAGAATGTAAATAGGTTTTATTTAATTAAGCAAAAATGATACAAAAATGTTTGCTAAAGTTGAAAACAAAAAAGATTAAATGTGACTGGCAGAGTGGTGGGTGGAGGGGGCAACCAGGAAGATCATAGTCTTCTTTAAGCTACAACCCTCAGGCTAAGGAAAGACCATAATCCACCCACCCACCTACCCCCAAAACTCACTCTTCCTTTTTCTAAAAATAACTGCTGGAAATGTGAGCCTTACTCTAATCACGCCAACTGAGAATGCTGCCTTCTTCACTTTTTATGTGTTTGTCAGTAAAACACACACACACACGCACAAATACACACACACTTCAACTGAGACCACTTCATACTGCTTTCTTATATAGGTGTCAATTCTCCTTTGGCCTTGAGCTATCTTTTCCCTTTAGGAAGATATCTTCTTTCCTCCCAGACCATCAGGAAATTCTGGGGGCCTGGGTAGTCAGTCTCTTTGAAGCTTGATTCGTCTAAAATAAAAAGAAGGCAAAACACTTCTCTGAATCCCAGCTCTCCAGGGCTGGTGATTTGTAGCCATTAACAGGGTTAAGCCTCTTCCTGATGGAGCCCTTTGTTTGTCCTCTCAAATGTCACATGGGTCTTGAGGGAAGGAAACCCTGTGTCAGCTTCCACTTAGAGCAAGACTAGGAACTGACCCACCCAGCTGGGAGGCCAGGGTGTAGATTTCATTTACACTTGGCCTGGTTTTCCTCCACTCCCGCTAGTTTTCCTTATTTTCTTTCCCCTCTATGATTCCAGAGGGAGATAACTCAAGGTTCCAAGAGACAGCACCTTAAAGAAAAAAAAGAAAGAGCAAACTCAGATGACCACAGACCCTTGGCATCCCTCCGGTTGCTGCAGCTTGAGGTAATCACAGTTAGTACCAGCACATGAGGGTTATTTGCAAAGTATCAATCTGTCAACAGGCACAAACAACTAACTGCCTGTTAAATGGCAAAGGGATGCATGCAGAGACCCTGTTAAGTTTCAAGTTCTAAAAGCAAATCCTTATATATGCAAGGAAATAATCTTTCAAATTAAAACAATAAAAATAAATAATCTGGCAATATCTACCACCAAGATCTTGAAAACAATATCATCAAGGTTTCTAGCTTGAAACTGCATCCAAAAAAATTTTTATTGAGTGCCTACTATGTGCAGACTGTGATGGGCAGTGACAGTTCCTCTATTAGTTCCAAAACCAGAGCTTGTTCAGTTCAGGGGCTTGAAATAGAGCATTTGACCCAATAGAAATATATATTCAAGGCAGCTATTTAGAATTTTACAGAATTTCAGAGCTTATAGGGGACTTCAGAAAAGTTCAAAGTCCAGGGAGATGAAGTGACTTGTTCAAGGTCAGTTACATCACTCCAAAGCCAAGACTAGAACACAGGTCTCCCCTAAGGTCCAATCTAGGGCTCTATTTCTCTTGTACTTCATGTCTTTAGCTTGCCAACCTCAGAGCCACAAGGAGGGAGACAGACACTTTAGCAGCAGGGATGGGAGGTACAGACGGCATTAGAAATATCATAACTGAGGCTTGCTAGTAGGGAAAACAGCCTGTAGCTGCTACTGCTCAAGTCACCAGAAATAGTTGGAGAAAAACAAATATCAAAAGAGCCTGTCTGACACTGAAATATGGAACAATGTGAAGAACAGAATAACTGTAGCTAGTCTCCCCCAGTGAAATACACTGCTCAGTTAGCCACTTCTTTGTGTAGCCCCCTCACACTAGTCAAGTGCAATGGAAATAACCACATGACTTCCACGGCGTAGGAAGCCTTGTATCTTTTACCTTCAAACGCTCACTGTTGGATACATCTTCGCAGGACCAGGACATTATGCTTTGAGAAGACCATGTTGTCACATGGAGAAGCCCTGTGTTGGCACTTCAGTAGGACAACCCCAGCTGAGCTCTCATCCAACAACCAGCACCAACTGCCAGCCCTGCGAGTGAGCCTGTTGGATGACCAGCCCCTTCCAGCCTTCAGAGTACAGTAGCCAGCCCCAACATCTGACTGCCACTGGAGGAGAAACTCTGAGGAGAAACCCCAGCTACACCCGACTAACCCAAAGAACCACGAGAGATAATAACTGTGTTTTTATTTTTATTTTCATTTTTATTTTGAGACAGTCTCACTCTGTCACCCAGGCTGGAGCACAGTGGCACAATCTCAGTTCACTGCAAACTCCACCTCCTGGGCTCAAGTGATTCTTCTGTCTCAGCCTCCCAAGTAGCTGGGAATATGCCACCATCCCTGGATAATTTTTGTATTTTTAGCAGAGATGGGGTTTCACCATGTTAGCCAGGCTGGTCTTGAACTCCTGACCTCAAGTGATCTACTCACCTTGACTTCCCAAAGTGCTGGGATTTCAGGCAAGAGCCACCACACCCAGCCCAATAATTGTGTTTTAAACCACTAAAATTCAGGTGATTTGTTACACAGCAATAGATAACTGAAGCAGTTCCTTCACACAAAATGGGGCAGACGGGACAATCTCAAAGGCCACCAGTAAGACACCATTTTCAGCTAAGAACTTCCGTGAAATTTTTTTTTTAAAAATAGGACAACCTGAAAAAGAGAGGCATACGCTTTTGTGGAACAAATGCCAGCAAACTCTGAGGCTCATATGAGCAAATGACCAGACACATCAGATATCAAGGACACCAAGGGGAAATAGAAACTGTTCAAAGCTGAATTTAATGGATGCCCAAGGGTATTCATCATGCACGTCACCCCAGCAGCAAATACTCCAGAAGTAAATCAAATGGAGGACGAAGCAGAAGAGCGAAGAAATGCAAAGAGTAATCAAGGGGAAGAAAGAGGCATATGCTCTGCTTGGTACAAAACCATCTGGAACACACCAGAGGAGGGTGAGGCAGTGTGGGATGAACCGAGTATCAGGCTTTGGAGACTGAAGAGATTGCCCAGTCGTTCAAAGGAATAACAAGCAAAGCGAAGAGAGATAATGAGAAATACATCAAATGTACATGGAGAGAGATGTCAGGGCAGGAGACCAGAGCTCTGAGAGTGACAAGGAAGGGCTTTTATGCACAACAGCAGCAACACAAGCTAATGGAGCGATTATCACATGATAATCAGGCTTCGGTGCTAAATGTTAATAGTTGGACCTTAGAGTAATTCAGCTAGTCAGGAGATCTTAGAAATCGTCAAGATGTCTCACTGGGTCCCAAAGTTCACAAAGGGCACAGCTGGAGACCTGGTTTAAAAGAAGCTTTGAATTTTATTCTTTTCTTCAATGATCACAAAGATTAGGAAGCAACTGCCTGAGTCAGACTCACTTGTTCCAGGAGGAGATAATCTGATGGAAATCAAACCTGGCTGAGAATAGGGGTTCTAATGACCTCGGGGAGTGAGGGCCTCACTGTAGAGCGGCAACACTACCTTGGAGATGACTTCAGTTCTGTGTGTCCCAGCACTATGATAATGGCACTGGGCCCATTGCATTCTGATACTAACACTTCATTTAAGTCTCTGGCAAGGCCCCCTCACACAGTGAGGTAAATCAGATGGAGATTATTAGTCATATATTAAAATAAAATATCCTTAACAGGGCTTCTACTATATACCAGAAAATGGGCTAGAAGTCTTACATAAATTCCAAGAATCACATGACATTGTTATTACCACCTTGGTTTTATATGTAAAGAAACTCGGGTTTAGAGAATTTAACTTACTGGCGCAGATGACAGAGCCAGTAATAATAATAATAATAATAATAATAATAATAATAACAGCAAATATTGCACTGAGTCAGGCCTTATTCCAAATGCTTTAATATATATTAATTCATTCCATTTCCACAATAACACTGTGAAATGGCCTTATTACTAACCCATTTTAGATACTGAGCAAATGTTAGAACTCGGATTTGGTCCCCACCCTGAACTATACTGTCAGTCAAGCTAGAAGTCCTGGGGCATCCATGTCTGGCTAACTCTAAAAGCTTTTATTCTTTTCTTTGTACCCCACTTCCCCGCTGACCTCTTTGACAAGTTTCCAATATAAAGATATCTAAATTTAAATCTCCATAACTTGAAGAATTCTTTTAAAAATCATCCTGAACACCATCCAGGGCCCTGCAATTAGCTGCATAGATTATGGTGCAGGGAAATATAGCCTGCTGCCCATTTAAATCCTGAACTGCCACCCAATGTCGTTGTTACTGGCCCATGTTAAAAGGGGAAAGTGATGCTGACAAGGCCAATTGTTAGACGTTGAAGTTGGCTCTTGGGAGTCGTACCTGTGAAAGCCAGAAGCAAGAACAGCTCATTGAATTATGGTTCATAGAAGTTGGGAACAGCTCACTGACAAAGTCCGTATCTTGATACAAGATAAGCCTTCCAGGCTACAGTAACCAAAACGGCATGGTACTGGTACCAAAACAGACATATAGATCAATGGAACAGAACACAGCCCTCAGAAATAACGCCGCATACCTACAACTATCTGATCTTTGACAAACCTGAGAAAAACAAGCAATGGGGAAAGGATTCCCTATTTAATAAATGGTGCTGGGAAAACTGGCTAGCCATATGTAGAAAGCTGAAACTGGATCCCTTCCTTACACCTTACACAAAAATCAATTCAAGATGGATTAAAGACTTAAACGTTAGACCTAAAACCATAAAAACCCTAGAAGAAAACCTAGGCATTACCATTCAGGACACAGGCATGGGCAAGGACTTCATGTCTAAAACACCAAAAGCAATGGCAACAAAAGCCAAAATTGACAAATGGGATCTAATTAAACTAAAGAGCTTCTGCACAGCAAAAGAAACTACCATCAGAGTGAACAGGCAACCTACAAAATGGGAGAACATTTTCACAACCTACTCATCTGACAAAGGGCTAATATCCAGAATCTACAATGAACTCCAACAAATTTACAAGAAAAAAACAAACAACCCCATCAAAAAGTGGGCAAAGGACATGAACAGACACTTCTCAAAAGAAGACATTTATGCAGCCAAAAAACACATGAAAAAATGCTCACCATCACTGGCCATCAGAGAAACGCAAATCAAAACCACAATGAGATACCATCTCACACCAGTTAGAATGGCAATCATTAAAAAGTCAGGAAACAACAGGTGCTGGAGAGGATGTGGAGAAATAGGAACACTTTTACACTGTTGGTGGGACTGTAAACTAGTTCAACCATTGTGGAAGTCAGTGTGGCGATTCCTCAGGGATCTAGAACTAGAAATACCATTTGACCCAGCCATCCCATTACTGGGTATATACCCAAAGGACTACAAATCATGCTGCTATAAAGACACATGCACACGTATGTTTATTGCGGCACTATTCACAATAGCAAAGACTTGGAACCAACCCAAATGTCCAACAATGCTAGACTGGATTAAGAAAATGTGGCACATATACACCATGGAATACTATGCAGCCATAAAAAATGATGAGTTCATGTCCTTTGTAGGGACATGGATGAAGCTGGAAACCATCATTCTGAGCAAACTATCGCAAGGACAGAAAACCAAACAGTGCATGTTCTCACTCATAGGTGGGAATTGAACAATGAGAACACATGGACACAGGAAGGGGAACCTCACACTCTGGGGACTGTTGTGGGGTGGGGGGAGGGGGGAGGGATAGCATTAGGAGATATACCTAATGCTAAATGACAAGTTAATGGGTGCAGCACACCAGCATGGCACATGTATACATATGTAACTAACCTGCACATTGTGCACATGTACCCTAAAACTTAAAGTATAATAATAATAAATAAATAAATAAAGAATTCAGCCACAATTTATATCATAAAAAAGAAAGGTGAATCTCTGATTATAACATGAATTTTTAAAACTCTGTGTCAGCTTTTATAACCTTAAGAAAAAACAATAAAAATTAATGAAATTTTTTTTAAAGAAAGATAAGCCTTCCAGATTGAAAAGGCAAGTAATATTTTTTTATTACAAAACAAAAAAGCACAGGTCTGTGGAGAGAAGACCAAGCTGAAAATATAGGCACAAATCATGAGCTGCTAAAGAGAACAGAGCAACTGAAGTTCCAGACACAAATTCACCTGCTTGGTTCCCGCTCAGGAAAAGGCAGGAGGGACAAGGAGACAGGTGCAGTAGGAGATGCGCCTCTCCTGCCCATGGACTCTTGTTTCCCCTCTAGCTGTACAGAAGC
This sequence comes from Homo sapiens, assembly GCF_000001405.40. Classification (NCBI taxonomy): domain Eukaryota; kingdom Metazoa; phylum Chordata; class Mammalia; order Primates; family Hominidae; genus Homo; species Homo sapiens. Next base: position 34,187,080 of record NC_000014.9, read on the forward strand.
TAACAGCCTACAAATTTTTATTAAAAATTCCTTCTTTCTCAAGTTAATTTCCAGGCAACAAGGGCTACACAATTTAAGGTCGCTGGGGTTTTTATTTTTACAACAGAAATGATTTAGTTCCTGAGTTACTGGAAGCAAACACCCTAATACCTGAGAAAATGTCAAAGTTCATAAAGTCCAATGACCCTATGTTTGTGACATTCTTCACCATGCCGGCCCCCATGCAAACAGCCAGATTCAGAAGAGGCAGGAGAGCTTCACAACTGAGAACCATAAACAAGTATCATTAATTCCTCTTTATGTGCATTTCTCCACGGACTTGGAGCACATTTCTCATGCAGTTCTCACTTGCTACCTGCCAAGGAATGTGTTTTCAATACACAAAACCCAGAAGGCTCAGCATGAAAACAAACACAATATTAGAGTTCTCCAAACACTAATTTAAGAGTCAGAACAAGTCTTTGTAGAATCTGTCAAAAGAGGAGCATCCCTGAGAATCAACTAGAAGAGATTAAAAACAGAAAAGGTATCACAACTAAAATAGAGTTCATAGTCCCCCTGGGGGTAGCAGGCACAGCAAAGAGGCCTTTTTGTTCCTTATGGAGGGCACAGGGAACAACACTGACTCACAAACCCACATGCATACACTATACACATGTGTGAACACACCCATCAGTCTCAGATCTCCTCATCCCTTCCCAGCTGTCTGATCTGAAGACCTTTAGGCTGAAGGCCGACCATCCCCTAGGTTGACCCCAAATGAGCACTTTAGCAGGAGTCTTATAGCCACATGCAAATGTTGCTGCGATAGTGGACTATCCAGCCTCACTGTGGTGCGTGGCATGAGGCCCAGGGTGCCTAGGTCTTTGTATTAGTTATCCATTGCAGCACAGCAAATTACCCCAAAACTTGTTCACCTGAAACAACAAGCATTTCTTATTTCAAAGAGTTTTTGAGGGTCAGAAATCCAACTAGGTCTTTCATGAGGCTGCAGTTGCCTGAGCATCATTTCCACAGTATCCTGTTGGTTCACAGAGGTCAGCCCTATTCAGTGTGGAAGGGAACTACCCAAAGGCATGAGTCAGGAGGCCATATCATTTGGGGCCCTCTTGGACAGTGGCTCCCACAGCTTTACAACTGCACTTCACCTGGTTCCTAGGGCACCGCAAGTCCTGGTGGGTTCCTTGGCCTGCATCCTAGTTCTTCTGCTTGGTAGGCCTCAAACAGCCAGCTGAACAGTGATCACTTGTGACTTTAAGTACTTCTATTGTGTTTGAAACTGAGATGATATTAAGAATGTATTTTAGAATTTAAAATATTTTCAAAATAAAACGCTGCCAACTTGGGCAAATTACCCAAATTGTTTTGGTCTTGTTGTCATTTGTTTGTTTATTGTTATTATGAAATTTAAGACTATAATTTTCTGGATTTTTTGCCAGCTGAAAGAAGATCTGGGGTTCATATGCCATTAGTCAGTTGCTAGATTTCTCCATTTTAATTGAATAACTACTTGGTAACCACAAGTGCAGTTATCTTTGCATGGATATATTTTAATGATATGGTTACTATTTCTGAATCTCACCAACCTGTAATTATCAAGAAGTCATATTTCCTTAAATACTCAAGAGTATTGGTTGGCTACAAATAATAGAAGATCCCATGAAAAGTGGCTTAAATAGTAAGATTTTACCTTCTCATTGCCCATGAAGTTCCACATCTGCGTATTCAGCAGCTCTATGACACTATCAAGGGCTAAGGTCATTTCCACATTCTGTTCTGTCACCCTCAGCACACTGGAAACTCCTTCTCATGGTTGCAAGATGGATTATATCAGCTTTTTGGCTTCATAGCATCTCACAGCCACACCCAAAAGCAGAAAGAGAACAACTTTCTCGTTGGCTTCTCATATTTAAGAACAAAGAAACCTTTCCCATAAATGATGGAGAAAATTTCCATTTGTTTCTCACTGACTAGAATCGTATTGCATGCCCATTTTTTCTTTTTATTAGGAAGGGGAATGGAATTGCCATGATGGGCTTAGACAAATCAAAATGCACCTTTCATCCTGGGGCTGACGAGGTGCCCAACCTCCCTTGAATATGGTCACTCAATATCTGAACTAATTAAGGCACCACTAATAAGGAAAAAGAGGGTCTTTGCTATTGAATAGGTCATCAATAATACTGAGTCAATAGTTTGAGCCCTCATCAGTATACTGCCAGACATTGACCTCTTCTTCTTAACCCTCAATGTTACCCAGATATTTCTGAGAGGTCCCCCAGGAAACTGTCTCATGTATGCTCAAGAAGAAGTAATGACAAGATCACTTCTCTGCAAAAGAAGTACCATTGGGCCCTCCTGCTCTCCCCAGAATTCACAGCTAACCTCCACATGAAATAGCAGAGGAAGTTTCACCTTAGTCTAAGGCATGCTTCTTAAGTCTTCTTTTTCTATCTCAGAGTTGCCCTCTTACCAGGACGATTGACAGTGAGAATATCCACTCCCTTCAAGGGAAATCCTACTTGTATCTGCCCACCTGCCATGGAGTTTAGTCCTGTGGCTCTCATGAGACAATCACATCAGAAAATAATAACTGAATATCAGTAAAGTCAGGTTTTTCAGCCTGGAATAGCATCATGTGCACACACATCAACAGTGCAGCCAATACAACTTATACCAAGCCAAGTCCAAGGCATTTTCAAAGTTTCATCGCAAGTGTGATGTGAAGTTCAGGCCTGCCTATCTTTCCTGGCATTTTGTGATCTCCGGTTCTGATGTTTTTGAACAACTGTTTAAGTAAGAGCACACACATAAGAGTAAGCAATAGTAAAAGGTAAGAGTAACAAACTTTTCTCTGTAAAGGGCCACATAGTAAGTAGTCTAGGTTTCGAGTCTCTCTCTAACAACTACTTGCTATTGCAGTAGGAAGGTAGCCATGGACAATATGCAAATAAATGAACATAGCTGTGTTCCAAAAAAACTTTATTTACAAAACAGGCAGTGGGCCAGATTTGTACCACAGGACATAGTTTGCCAACTGCTAATATAAAGACCGGCGCAGCCCAAATCTAAGGAAAGAAAAGCTTTCTCATGAAGAAAACAGAGATATCTAGAAATCTTTACTTGCTAAAATATACACATTGTTTACATTAGTTATATTTAAACATTTACTTTCAGGAAAACCTTGAGTTCACGGTTTTTCCCCCCAACAATGGCTAGGTACTCAAAATTTTGTTTCCAGAATAAGAGTTCTAAAGCTAAGTTCAAGCTTTCACCTCTTAGGAGGCAGATACTGTTTTAAATTTTAAGTAATAATTTTTCCAGCTTCTGGGAAAAAAATCTATAACGTTTAGGGAAAAAATTAAATTTCAAGTTTCATCCAAAACATCATATCACATCTTCAGCTCACTCTCAGAAAGAATGCAGTGTCCTCTAGAGTAACTGGCAGACTCAAAATCCCAATGCCGACTTCCACCAAACATCTGATTCTATTACACACATTGTAAAATGAAGCCACGACAATTCCCAACTGTCCAATTTGTCAAGAGACAAAGCTGTGTCACCTCCAACCTCCAGACATTCCAGAACCACCTTCTACCACTCCACATACTACAAACACATATTTTACCAGAGAATTGATTCCCAAACTGAACAGATTTCTAAACGGCTGGTTTTACTACATGATTTTACTTGAAAGGCACAGATGCTCTTCTCAGCACCTCCCTGGAGAAAACAGTAACTCATCCTCTGCCACCATCACCACTCTAGCAGGAGGATTAAGTCCAGGAAATTTTAATCTCCTTTAAAATAATGCCCATTGATTGTACGTAGTAAACACTTACTGTCCTGATCCACTCTCATGTGTACTTACTGAAATTTATTTACTCTCTCCCATCATCAATCACGGATGCCCTGCTCAGAAAGGCACTCATACAGTCTTGGCGAGCTTGCAGTGCTTGGAGGAGCCCTGACTTTACCCTCAGGTCCAGGACATCTTCAGGTATATTCTCCCAGGTGGGCAGCAGGTATCAAACATACCAAAACATGAAGACAAGATATGAACGAGCAAAGAGGAGGAACTGGCTATGGCTAAAACCCAAGACAATGGGTGAGTGGGAAGTTGTTATTTTTTTACATTTAGGTCACTGAACTATGTAAAATAAAAAGATTATTGAATTTACTAAATGCCCTATATTGTTATAAGAACAAGGCAAATCATAGCTTTCAGCCCCAACCAATTTCCTCATGAACACCCTCTAAAAAGCAGTGTGATCACTACTGTCTTAGTCTGTTTTCTGCTGCTATAACAGAATACCACGCACTGGGTAAATTATAAGTAACAGATGTTTACTCAGCTCATGATTCTGAAGGCTCAGAAATCTAAAATCAAAGGGCCAATCTGGTGAGGGCCTTCTTGTGTATCATAACATGGCAGAAGAGCAAGCAAGCACACACAAGACAGACAGGAAAAGGAGGCCAAACTCCCTCACTAACCAACCCACTCCCAGATCCAGGGTTTGGAACTGGGGATAAGTTGAGTCAGAGAAGTCTGGGTCTGGGAAAACAAGTGGATGATGAGGTTTGAACAAAGACTGTGGGAGGTAATGAACCTTGTAATCACAGTCAGAGGCTGGAACTAGATGACCTGTGTTTCAATTCCTGTCCTGTCCTTGAACTGTGACCACAGACAAGTTCTTCGATATCTTTAAACTACATTTCTTTGTCTATAAAATGATACTGGTAATTGTAGCTACAACCTCAGGGAGTAGTTGTAAGACTTAAATGAGGTAATCCGTGTAAACCGTGTTTGAAGGTTTCCAAATAGGTTGATTGTAAATGTTCAATAAATTCCTAGCATGGGAATAAAATCGGGACTTGGGCCCTTATAGAACTAAACAGGACTTAAAGGACTGACATGCAAAGACCTAGATACAAAGCTTGGCCTGAGGCTGGATAATCACTCCCCAGGGGGAAAATGAAGCTGAGATACAAATACTATTGGGCAGAGGTGAAAGAAAGATCTGTGACACAGATTATCGGCCCACCCCAGAACAAGGCATCTCCAGGTGCTATGGACATTCACAGCACTGGGTGGTGGGCATTTCGGAGATAAGGCACCAGAATAGTCAGGGTTCAGGGTAAGGCACCCAGCTACTGGAAAACTGAGGTAGAAGACAAGGATCCAGTTGTGCCACCAACATCACAGGGTTGCCAGAAAGAGTGAAGGTACCAAGTTAGGGGGCTGCTGATGTAGGATTGGGCCCAGATTCAGGTGCCGGGCTAAGCATATAGACACTGGTGAAGGAATCCAGCTGTAACAGTCAGAGACAGAGCACAGAGAGTGAAGAAATCAGGGTACCTAGAGGGTGAAGGGATTGGGGGTATCTAAAGGTCTCTGCCCACTTTTGGCCATAAACAACACCTCTACCTAGCAAGCAATATGAAAGAGGCCACAAAACTCGAACCTCCTTCCTCTAGGATCAGAGTTGAGGTCTGCCCTCTGATATCCCTCTTCCTCTCTCTGGTTATCCAGCATTTGGCCTCCACTGCCCAGATCTCTAGGCTTTGCCTCAGCTGATCATCCTGGAATTGACTCCTCATGAGTCTAGACCTGAAGACTTTTCTTCTTAGCTGCAGTGACAGTCCCTTGCCTCTCGACTTGTACTGTCCCTTGGTCCCCACAATGAGAAGATCAAACTCCACTGAAGCTTGTGCCCCAAACACACTGCTGTGACAGGTGTCAACTGATAATTATTCCAACTCCACAAGTCTTTTTTTTAAAAAAAAAAAAAAAAAAAGCAATGTTCTAATGACACTCATAAAAATATTTTTTCTACTCTCATTGTTTTCATGTTGCCCAAATAAAGATAGCTTTGTTTTGTTTGCCAATTCCAATTGCTTAGCAATGGCTGCCTGGGATGTATGCATATTTTTAATTATTTAATTTTCTTTTTGTTGGTTTTATTATTAAGTTCTAGGGTACATGTGTACAACGTGCAGGTTTGTTACATATGTATACATGTGCCACGTTGGTGTGCTGCACCCGTTAACTCGTCATTTACATTAGGTATATCTCCTAACGCTATCCCTCCCCACTCCCCCCACCCCACAACAGTCCCCAGAGTGTGATGTTCCCCATCCTGTGTCCAAGTGTTCTCATTGTTCGATTCCCACCTATGAGTGAGAACATGCAGTGTTTGGTTTTCTGTCCTTGTGATAGTTTGCTCAGAATGATGGTTTCCAGCTTCATCCATGTCCCTACAAAGGACATGAACTCATCCTTTTTTATGGCTGCATAGTATTCCATGGTGTATATGTGCCACATTTTCTTAATCCAGTCTATCATTGATGGACATTTGGGTTAGTTCCAAGTCTTTGCTATTGTGAATAGTGCCACAATAAACATACATGTGCATGTGTCTTTATAGCAGCATGATTTATAATCCTTTGGGTATATACTCAGTAATGGGATGGCTGGGTCAAATGGTATTTCTAGTTCTAGATCCTTGAGGAATCGCCACACTGTCTTCCACAATGGTTGAACTAGTTTATAGTCCCACCAACGGTGTAAAAGTGTTCCTATTTCTCCACATCCTCTCCAGCACCTGTTGTTTCCTGATTTTTTAATGATTGCCATTCTAACTGGTGTGAGATGGTATCTCATTGTGGTTTTCATTTGTATTTCTCTGACGGCCAGTGATGATGAGCATTTTTTCATGTGTCTGTTGGCTGCATAAATGTCTTCTTTTGAGAAGTGCCTGTTCATATCCTTCACCCACTTTTTGATGGGGTTGTTTTTTCCTTGTAAAGTTGTTTGAGTTCTTTGTAGATTCTGGATATTAGCCCTTTGTCAGATGAATAGATTGCAAAAATTTTCTCCCATTCTGTACATTGCCTGTTCACTCTGATGGTAATTTCTTTTGCTGTGCAGAAGCTCTTTAGTTTAATTAGATCCCATTTGTCAGTTTTGGCTTTTGTTGACGCTTTTGGTGTTTTAGACATGAAGTCCTTGACCATGCCTATGTCCTGAATGGTATTGCCTAGGTTTTCTTCTGGGTTTTCATGGTTTTAGGTCTAACATTTAAGTCTTTAATCTATCTTGAATTAATTTTTATATAAGGTGTAAGACAGGGATCCAGTTTCAGCTTTCTACATATGGCTAGCCAGTTTTCCCAGCACCATTTATTAAATAGGCAATCCTTTCCCCATTGCTTGTTTTTGTCAGGTTTGTCAAAGATCAGATGGTTGTAGATGTGTGGTATTACTTCCAAGGGCTCTGTTCTGTTCCGTTGGTCTATATCTCTGTTTTGGTACCAGTACCATGCTGTTTTGGTTACTGTAGACTTGTAGTATAGTTTGAAGTCAGGTAGCATGATGCCTCCAGCTTTGTTCTTTTGGCTTAGGATTGTCTTGGTGATGCAGGCTCTTTTTTGGTTCCATATGAACTTTAAAGTAGTTTTTTCCAGTTCTGTGAAGAAAGTCATTGGTAGCTTGATGGGGATGGCATTGAATCTATAAATTACCTTGGGCAGTATGGCCATTTTCACGATATTGATTCTTCCTATCCATGAGCATGGAATGTTCTTCCATTTGTTTGTGTCCTCTTTTATTTCACTGAGCAATGGTTTGTAGTTCTCCTTGAAAAGGTCCTTCACATCCCTTGTAAGTTGGAGTCCTAGGTATTTTATTCTCTTTGAAGAAATTGTGAATGGGAGTTCACTCATGATTTGGCTCTCTGTTTGTCTGTTATTGGTGTATAAGAATGCTTGTGATTTTTGCACATTGATTTTGTATCCTGAGACTTTGCTGAAGTTGCTTATCAGCTTAAGGAGATTTTGGGCTGAGACGATGGCGTTTTCTAAATATACAATCATGTCATCTACAAACAGGGACAATTTGACTTCCTCTTTTCCTAATTGAATACCCTTTATTTCTTTCTCCTGCCTGATTGTCCTGGCCAGAACTTCCAACACTATGTTGAATAGGAGTGGTGAGAGAGGGCATCCTTGTCTTGTGCTGGTTTTCAAAGGGAATGCTTCCAGTTTTTGCCCATTCAGTATGATATTGGCTGTGGGTTTGTCATAAATAGGTCTTATTATTTTGAGATATGTTCCATCAATACCTAGTTCATTGAGAGTTTTTAGCAAGAAGGGCTGTTGAATTTTGTCAAAGGCCTTTTCTGCATCTATTGAGATAATCATGTGGTTTTTGTCTTTTGTTCTGTTTATATGCTGGATTATGTTTATTGACTTGTGTATGTTGAACCAGCCTTGCATCCCAGGGATGAAGCCCATTTGATCATGGTGGATAAGCTTTTTGATGTGCTGCTGGATTCAGTTTGCCAGTATTTTATTGAGGATTTTTGCGTCAATGTTCAGAAGGAGTCTCACTCCATCGCCCACGCTGGAGTGCAGTGGTGCAATCTCGGCTTACTGCAACCTCCACCTCCCAGGTTCAAGCAATTCTTGTGCCTCAACCTCCCCAGTAGCTGGAATTACAGATGCGCACCACCATGTCCAGCTAATTTTTGTATTTTTAGTAGAGATGGGGTTTCACCATGTTGGCCAGACTGTTCTCAAACTCTTGACCCCAGGTGATCCCCCCACCTCGGCCTCCCAAAGTGCTGGGATTGCAGGTGTGAGCTACCGCACCCGGCCAATATTTGAAATTTCTAGTATTATGACTATGTAAATGCTATTCACAGATGAGCCATGTATTATCATAATCACTTTTTCTTTTTTGTACAACTTTATTTTCCCTGGAATTAATAATTGCCTTGTTGTCTTCATTTCCTTAGTTTTCTATGTATTTATCACTAGTTTAATGCCTATCTTTGACAGTTGTCTAAATCTCCTCTCAAGGTATTCAATATATATTCAATTAATTCAATTAATAGTCTATTAATTTTGTCTTCCTGAGGAAATGTGACCTAGAGCTTTCTGACCTGCCCCAACCCCTCTATATTTTGTACACTCACTGTCTTCCTGGTGTCTCCCTTCATGGTTCTGAGAATTCCTTTTGCTCCCAGTTTCCTATGCCTTATCTTTTCCTCTTTCTTTGTTTATACCTCATTTTCATGGAACTCATCTACCAGTCACTTCCTAAGAAGAGGTATGTGGGAAGGAAATGGTTTTGAGAATGTGTGTATCTAACAATGTCTCTATTCCCATCTCACATCCAACTGATACTGTGAACAAGTATCAAATGCTAGGTTGGCAATCATTCCTCCTTAGAATTTGAAGGCCTATAGCTCTATTGTTTCTAAATTCTAATTTTGCTGTTGAGAAGCACAAAGCCATTCTGATCCTAATCCTTTATGTGGCCTACTTTTCTCTTTCCAAAAGCTGGTAGCATCTTCTTTGTCCTCAATATTCCAAAATCCCAGAATGAGGTGCCCTTGGTCTAAGTCTATTTTCATTCATTTTAAAGGTACTTAGTGAACTCTTTCAGTCTGGGAACTTACGTCCTTTTCTAGAAAATTTTCTTGAATCACTTGATCGATGACTTTCTCCTCTCTCTCTATTCCTTCTTCAGGAACTCTTATATTTAGATGTTAGATCATGTAAACTTGTCCTTAGAATTTTTAAATAAATATCTCATCCCTATTTTTCATTACTTTTTATTTTTGTATTTTTTCAGAGATTTGCTTAACATTATCTTCAATATTTCTATTGAGTTTAACTTTTTGATTATACTTTAATATTTTATATGTCTTACATTCTAAGAATCTATTTTTTGTCCACTAAATGTTCCTTTTTAAATAGTATTTATTTCTTATTTCATGGTTACAACATCTTCTCTTGTCTCCTTGAGGAATATTAACTATAGCCTTCAATTTTAAAAATTTTCATCTTCTGGTTTAGTCTCTGCTTCCTCCAAATTGCTGTTTCTGCTTTCTTTGGTCTCTCTCTCTCTCTCTCTCTCTCTCTCTCTCTGTGTGTGTGTGTGTGTGTGTGTGTGTGTGTGTGTGTGTGTGTGTGTGTGTTTCTCTCATGTTAGAGCCTCTCTACGGATGTGTAATCTTTGGTTATCTGCTCATATTTGAGTGGGGACTGAAAAGCTGATAGCATGTTCACCCTAAAGAGTGATGAGGATCTCATTAATTGCTTCCAGTTACAGTCACCCAGTCACCAAAAAGGATCCAGTGAGTGTGTCATTGAACAGTGGATTGGTTACCATTCACAGCAGGAAAGAGGAAATAAATGGACAAAATCCACAGCAGGTTACATATAGGAGAAATTGTCAGAAGAGCTCTCTTCCAAGGTTTCTGGAAGTATTGAATGTATTTCTACTGAAACTGAGAATGAGGCAATAGACTGCCTTTCCATATGGCTTAAGGACAAGCTTAGCCATCACTTTCACCTGAGATTTCAAATATTCTTCCAGAGAGAGATTTACTGCACTACGTAGAGATACCAATAATTTCCCATCGAACATACACCTTCCTTGGAAGTCCTATTCACATCCCTGAAAGGACAGTCCTGTGTACCCCTCTCCTCCACCACACCTGAGTGGACCATAAATAGACCTAACTCAAACTGAACACTGAGATTCTCTCTCCCAGGAAACTTCAAATAGGACACTGAGAAACACAATTAAATGGTGAGGATTCCTTGAACTGAAAGGTTAAATAGGGTCACAGCAGGAGTTTGTAGCATGACCAGACAAAGAAAGTTCACGAGACAGACAAATAATACCAATATAAGACAGTAGCTGAAGACAGCAGATGTGTAGAAAGAGCAGAAATAAGGGACACCATAGCCTCGTGCCACAAGAGACTGAGGAGATGGTTTCAGGTACTGACTTACCAGATGACCTGATACATGTTCCTTACTGCCCTGTGTCCTGTCTGTAAGTTCATATTGTACTTGAGCTAGTATGTGTGAGCTTCTATTCTTTGTCATTAAATGATCCCTAAAATATTCACTAAGTATAATAGTCAGGAATCAACAGGAAAAGATGGTCCATTCAAACATAGTAACAGAGGAAAGCTTAATAATGGGATTATTTACAAAGAAGGGCAGAGCGTAAGGAAACCAACCAAGAATAATGGGGCACCTCAGGTCTAGCAAGAGCGGGGAGCTGATACCACCCTAGAGCTGAAAGGGCAAGGGACAGGAGCATCTGTCTGAGTCTGGAGAGAGCAGGGACTTTTCGACAGGAGTTGTGGTCATAGGTAGATGGACACAGCCAACTCACAGCAACACAGCAGGAAGGGAACTGGCAGAATCGATATCCTGACCTTCCACTCTGCCTGTCCTCCTGTACCTGTAGATGCCTCTTTTGTCAAACCTACTAGATGACAGAGGGCAAGGTAGCCACTGATACAGCCCATGAGTGGGTGAGAATGGAGAGTGGACTGGAGAGGCAAATGGAAATCATCTAGCACACAAAGTAACTTCTGTGCACATTTGCAGGAAAAAACTGGCTCTCTTCTCCTTGACCCTGGGTAACCTTTTTTTTTGAGACTGAGTCTTGCTCTATCGCCCAGGCTGGAGTGCAGTGGCATCATCTTGGCTCACTGCAACTTCTGCCCCCCGGGTTTAAGCAATTGTCCTGCCTCAGCCTCCCAAGTAGCTGGGATCACAGGTGCCTGCCACCACGCCTGGCTAATTTTTATATTTTCAGTAGAGACGGAGTTACACCATGTTGGCCAGACTGGTCTCAAACTCCTGACCTCAAGTGATATCCACCCACCTCGTCCTCCCAAAGTGCTGGGATTACAAGCATGAGCCACCATGCCCAGCCGACAACCTCTTTTTGGCCCATCTACTAAACTAGAGGTGGAGAGAGCACAACTAAAATTCAAACTTACCCCAGTCAAATCCAGCTTGCTTTACAGATGATTACATTTAATTACATTTAAAATTTATAAGCATCAATTTTTTAATCATAGATTCAAGTTAGACATGGACTTTCTTTTTTTCTTTTTTTTTGTTTTTTGTTTTGAGACTGAGTGTCGCTCTATCGCCCTGGCTGGATGTGTGTGTAGTGGCACGGCCAGGATAGTCTCGAACTCCTGACCTCGTGATCCGCCTGCCTCAGCCTCCCAAAGTGCTGGGATTACAGGCGTGAGCCACCGCGCCCAGCCAGATACGGACTTTCTTTAGAGTTTAGAACTAGAAGTTCTAGGTTGTCTACTTAGAAACACATACAGATACAAACATATGGAAAGCATATTTCATTTTCCTTCAGAATTTCCAAAGCAAGGGTCTTTCCTTATACTTCCTTTCCAGCTGCCCCAGAGCACCTTCTGCAGTGATTCTCAGTGTATGGGAGAAATCGTAAAATAATCAGTGAAGGAGAAAACGCACACTCACAGATGCCACATAAATTAGAAGTTTTCTTTTGGAAGAGAAGCTCAGAAATGTTCTAACTTAAGAATATTATATTTCCTTCCAACTTACCAACTTTCCTAATAAGAGCATGTCTAATCTCAAGTTATGATAGAAACTTTGCACAAGAAGGTTAGATGTTCCAGAACCACTCCTGTGGCTCCAGCGTGTCTTCATCTCCATGGCAGAACCTTCTCAGGGCAGGCATTGGAAGTACCAGCAAGCTTGACTGCATATCACCACCGTCTGTTTTTTGATGAGCAGATAAGATTGGTGATAGGGCCTTTCATTTTTAGGTTGTGGTCAGAAGCCCTGCATCACTGAGTCATAGTTAAAGCTGCTCCTTCTGGAGATGGTGGGAAACGAGTGGGTGTATCCAGCCCACCTCTTCCTAGATGAAAGCTGCCTAAGAAAAAAACACCTCAATACATCTGGCATGAATGAATCGGCACAGATTCCTGTGGTATGGAGAGCGGAGGCTGTGAAGAAATGTAAACTTGTAGACTCTGGGAGATAGTCTGGCCCAAATATGACAAAACAGAAAACACCCTGAAACTGCTGTTTTTAAATTGAAAACAATAATCACAGGATCCAGGATCTCAAAGCATAAGAAAGGAGGCCAGATGAGGTGGCTCATGCCTGTAATCTCAGCACTTTGGGAGGCTGAGGTAGAAGGACCACTTGAGCCCAGGATTTTGAGACCAGCCTGGGCAACATAGTGAGACCCTGTCTCTACAAAAAAATTTAAAAATTAGCCAGGCATGGTGGCATGTACCTGTGGTCCCAGCTACTTGGGAGGCTGAGGCAGGAGGATCACTTGAGCCTGAGAGGTTGAGGTTGCAGTCAGCCATGATTGTGCCACTGCACTCTAGCCTGGGCAACAGAGCAAGATGGATGGATGGATGGAAGGAAGGAAGGAAGGAAGGAAGGAAGGAAGGAAGGAAGGAAAAGAAAGAAAGAAAAGAAAGAAGGAAAAAAAGAAAGAAGAAAGAGAAGGAAGGAAGGAAGGAGAGATAGGCAGGCCTTCCTTCACATCATACTGGTGATATATATGTGAGCTGGGACCACATGAATTTTAACATCCTTCCTTCATGGATGAGAACCATTTGCATGGAAGTGTGATATCCCTACACGAGGTTATAATACTGAAGTTTTTCATCTGCTCATTATGATCCAAGGCTCCCAATACCCAGACTTTCAATTAGCTCTACTTTCTACTAATGGGCATTCATAGGAATGAGCTGATAGCAGCAACAGATTATAATTCTTGGCAGAATCAGTCTGCATGCCTTTCTAATGCTTAGTGCTAAATCATCACTTATATCACCACTATCACAGTTCCGAAGAGACAGGGGATATGGACAAAACTGAGAGGCAGGCGAAGGATAGAGCATCGCTAATGTCAATCTGTCTGACAAGGATGAGACACTAGGCCGCCAAGAAGATCAGTCTAAACAAAACAATGACCACCCATAGCTACAGGTCAGTAAGACCCAGTGAGCTACAGTACACAAAAATCTGTGCCTTCCCTGGAGGTTTGTCCCACAGAAAATAAAAAAAGGATCCAACAAAGGGGATTCAAAGGACTATGCAGGAGAGACTATAGAGTAGACATCATTTATTTATCCTGGCTTTTGTTAGGGTAAATAAAAGCAGAAAACTTCCCTGGTTGGCAAATCTTTCGCACACTCCAGAAATTGCATTGTATATGTCCAGTGACATATTCTCTCTCTAGTGAGGAGATAGAGGAAAGGGACATTTGGAGAGAAGAGTGCCAAATAGGTCTTAGTGAAGTTTCAATCTGTGAGATGAGATTGTGTTGTTCATTCTGTCCTACAGCGGAGACAAACATCTGGCAGAAAATATCTATTAGTGCTTTCTTTGAACTGACCTCTTGAGTGAACAAGGTAGATTGCAAAAGAGTGTTTCTACTATGATTTCATTTTATGTAAAATTATAGATTTGAACACAAATATAAACAAAGATGCGTAGAAAGATGACTGAAAGAATGTTGCAAAAGTATGAAGAGTTATCTCTAGATAGTAACTGTTCAGGGGATTTCACGATTTTCAGCATTGTTTCATTTTCTACAAGGAAGAGGTATTATCTTCATAAATAGACAAAACTAAATAACTTTCTTTAGACTAATCAGAAACCAGCAATATTCAGATATTTTATTATAAAAGGCAAAGGAGAGAATAAACATTTATCAGCTGCCTTCCTTGCACTCAGGACTATGTTTGGCAACAAGCCTCGTGAATTATTATTTTTCCTATTTTACAGATAAGAAACAAAAGTGCAGAGAATTTGCCTAACTTGACCAAGACCTCCACCAGTGTTTTCAACCTTTCAGCAAAGGAGAAATCCCAGAGCCAAGATGCTCTTTCACTCAGCTTGAGAAAGAATCCCAGGGAAAGAGGGAGTTTGGGATGGAAGGCACAAGTGCAGGCCCATCTCTCCAAGTCCCCACTGAGAATCCCTCTGACTACTGGCAGAGCCACATATTGTGAGTCCATTAATAGAGAAAATATTGCCCCCTTAGCTGAGGTGTGGCCAAAACAAATGAGAGCAAGATGCTTTGTGATCTTTGAGTAGCAGGACTAGCTGTGAGGAGTCCCAGTGTCACCCATGACATGTGTTCTGGGGAACATCCACAGTGAAGGCAGCAGAGCCATTATTTGAGGTCTAGTTGAGGGTCACCCCACATCAAAGCACAGTGCTAGCAATCAGGATTACCATGGTAACCACTTGAAATAGCTAAGCTTCTCTGGGCCTCAGTTTCCTCAACTGGAAAGCAAAAGGGTTTGCCTAGAAAATCTTTAAAGTCCCTTCCAGTTCTAGGAATCTATCACTCATGATCTAATCCCAGCCACCACTTCTGTCAGAGTCATTAGACAATTGCCCTAGCACGTTCAACTGGCCCACCAGACATTGCTTCAGGGCCTAAAATTACGTGTGGTAATGCAGAGATGGAAAATCTCTTTTGTAATCTGCGTAGGATTTTGCTACCTACTTAGCTTAGTTTCACAACCCACAATTATCTTTGAAAAACAGACAAGTCAATTTACTCTCTCATCTATGTTCCAGAGGGGGGCCAATCCCACACTCCTCCTTCTTACAGAAAAATCCCCAAATCTCAGATAGGAGTCAGGATAACTCAGGAGATTTGGCAGTATGAGCTTGGAATCTTTCCCACTGGGTCCCAAACACTTTATCTCTTAAGAGCTGCTTTTGTAAGGCAGGCAAGAAAGGCTGAGTTAATACTGAGAATTTATAAATGGTTTTGCAAATTAAACAGAATTCTGTCTCTGAAAGGCAACCAGGAGAGTATTTCTGTTCTCCTGTTATTTGCTCACAAGCAAAAATTCGAAATGCCGATAAAAGCCCCTTAGTGCTTGCAGGTAGCCACTTTCTTATCAAAACAAGACAGAAGAGTAAATTGAACCATCCAGAAAATCACATATCCACCCCTTAATAATATTAATTGAGAAAATCTCAGACAGTGGCAGTGTGGACAATTATAAACATGAGATGCAGATGGCCGAATCACAATAATCAAACTCAATTGCTATTTGGAAAGAAAGAGCCAGGAATGAATTTAAATATGTGGTTCAGTGGTCAATTTCCAATATTTTCTCCTGTGCAATCCATATCCTGCTTTCAAAGGTAGGTGGGCAAAGATACTAAGTCTTCCAGATGGAGGTGGGAGGCCTTCTCTGAGTTGGAAATTCTGCATAAACAGCATCAAGCCACTATCTAGCCTCCCTGAGCATCTCAGTTCACCATGGAGGCACCACGAACTAGAAAAACAGTGACATCCCTCTCTTCTCACCCTTTGCAGGACAACTTGTGGTCCAGAGAAATAGGTTAGAAAACTTCCTCTTCGTGGGCTCTGGAGAATCATTTGTGGTATTCACTCCAGGAAATCAATTTCTGAAGTCTGTTTCATAGACTTTAATGAGTTCCTTATTTAAAAAACAACATTTGGCAATCTCTATTCAAATATATTTCATGCGTTTCTATTGAGTCATTTATTTGACAAACCATGTGCTATCTGCTTCCTTTTTGAAATGCTATATTTTAATTGGGTCAAGGATATGTGTGCTATATTTTTTAGAGAATTTTTTTCATTTCCAGAGAAGAGTTATATCTAAGGGTACATCTTAATCCAACATAGCAAGAGTCTGTTTACCTTCCCCGCCTTAGCATGTTCCACCTTTTAAAGAGGCTAATGAGTGACTCACGTTTTTGGCTGACTTTTCCTTGAATATCAGGTCTTCTCTGAGTGAGCAACTCATCTTCTGCACAGATACTGCATACCCACCCACCCATCCCAGCTTAAATACTGTTTGTCTTGCTTCCACTGATAGGAAAAATTATTCAGATTCTATCTTCCCACTCACTTTAGTTACGAGAATGGGTGAGGTTAAAGAATTTGGTGGCACCAACTGTGAGATTCACCTTTATTGTCTATCCTTTTGAACTGTCTTCCCACTCACTTCTCTAGCTACAAGAACGGGTGAGTTTAAAGAATTTGGTGGCACCAACTGTGAGATTCTCCCTTATTGTCTATACTTTTGAACATCTCACCATTAAGTACCAAAAGATCAGCCAGGCACAATGGCTCATGCCTGTAATCCTAGCACTTTGGGAGGCCAAGGCGGGCCGATCACGAGGTCAGGAGTTCGAGACCAGCCTGGCCAATGTGGCGAAACCCCATCTCTACTAAAAACACAAAAATTAGCTGGGTGTGGTGGCACGAGACTGTAGTCCAGCTACTCGGGAGGCTGAGGCAGGAGAACCACTTGAACCCAGGAGGCAGAGGTTGCAGTGAGCCGAGACAGCGCCATTGCACTCCAGCCTGGGCAACAAAGCAAGACTCCATCTCAAAAAAAAAAAAAAAAAAAAGCACTAAAAGACCCTGACTGCACACTTACAATTTACTTTTTGCAACCATGAATGCTTTCAAATCTGATTCTAAATTCCAAAATCATGCAAGGAACTGAACATACCCGGCAGACAGCAGGAAAAGTTAAAGTTAGAGAACTAGTTACTGTGCTACATGTTTACTGTAAACTGTTTCCTACTTCCTACTTTTGCCTATAATGCTCATCTTCCCCTTCACCCAACTAATCCCCAGTTCTCTCATCCTTAAGGTATTACCTGTTCCAGTAAGTTTCCTCTGTCCCTAACACTCCCCACCTTGGTTGTCTATCATCCTCCATAGCTGTTTACATCTCCGTCATTGCATTTAACGTCACTGTGTTATAATTATCACTTATGGGTCTGTGTCTTCAACAAAGACAGAAACTAAGTCTCTTTCATTTTTGATTGCCCATGCTTGGTCCAGTCTGGCGGATAGAAAGCATTTACAGTGAGAATGAATGGGCATCAACTGCTCTCTGACTCATCTAAGAAAACAAAAACAATTTTAGATTCAAGGCAAAAATGCATTAAACTAGTGAGAAAAATATCTGAAAGTCCTAAGCAGAAAATTGTTTTAAGTAGTACATATGGCTGCTTGTTCTCCCGCGTGCTGGTGCACTTGTTTCACTCTGACTTAAGAGTGGATATTTATATTTGTAGATGACTCCACAAACCCTATCACTTTGGGCTATCACTACAGGTATTTCCATCTCCACTTACACTCACTCCACAACCTTCTCCATCACCTCAAATACATCTCCCCGGCCACCTCCGCCACTATCTTACTTCTACCACCTCAACCTCCTCTACTATCTCAGCCACCTTCCCACCCACCTCCACTACCTCTTTCACCTTCTTAGCCACGACATTCACTACCTCTATTACCTCCATCGCCCCAACCAACTCTTCTACCTCCATCGCCCCAACCAACTCTTCTCCCTCCATCGCCCCAACCAACTCTTCTACCTCCATCGCCCCAACCAACTCTTCTACCTCCATCGCCCCAACCAACTCTTCTACCTCCATCGCCCCAACCAACTCTTCTACCTCCATCGCCCCAACCAACTCTTCTACCTCCATCGCCCCAACCAACTCTTCTACCTCCATCGCCCCAACCAACTCTTCTACCTCCATCGCCCCAACCAACTCTTCTACCTCCATCGCCCCAACCAACTCTTCTACCTCCATCGCCCCAACCAACTCTTCTACCTCCATCGCCCCAACCAACTCTTCTACCTCCATCGCCCCAACCAACTCTTCTACCTCCATCGCCCCAACCAACTCTTCTACCTCCATCGCCCCAACCAACTCTTCTCCCTCCATCGCCCCAACCAACTCTTCTACCTCCATCGCCCCAACCAACTCTTCTCCCTCCATCGCCCCAACCAACTCTTCTCCCTCCATCGCCCCAACCAACTCTTCTCCCTCCATCGCCCCAACCAACTCTTCTCCCTCCATCGCCCCAACCAACTCTTCTCCCTCCACCTTGGATTCACCACCAATTCCTCCACCACCTTCACCACCTTCTTCACCATCTCCATCACCTTCACCCAACCATAACCTCCACCACCAGCTCTACTACTTCCACCTCCACCACTCCTACTACCATCTTTTCCACCCCCTCCACCATCCCTAGCTCCACCTCTATCACTTGTCCCACCTCCATAACCTCCTATGCTACTTCCTCCATCCCCCCACTACATCCTTTACCTCCACCTCCACCTCCATCTCCACCTCCAGCACCATCTCCTCCCCCTGCATCTTCACACTTACCACCCCCTCTACCACAGCCTCCATCACCACAAGTATTTATTCTCTTCAAGAATCATCTTCCTCAAATATATTTGGGGAATATAACAGAAACTGATTTCACCTTCTTTTCTGCTGCTTCACTGTCCCTTGCCTTCTCTCCTGCTCCTGCCACTTTTTTTCTCCTCACATCTCTGCATTCCACAGATATCTTTATGCTGCTCTCCCCCTTCTCCCACTATAAACCTAGCAGAGATTCGGCTCTCAATACATGTTTAGAAGTGAAATTGGTTTTCAAGGCATCCCTGGAAGTTGTGGGAGCTTGGAGCTAAGGTCAGAGGAGGCAGAGAAAAATAAAGCATGTTCTCCCTGTTCTCTACCCCTGGAACCAATATTCTATGCAAGAAGGTAGAGCACAAGCTATTTCACCCACTGAAAATACATTAGCCAAGGTAACAAAACCTAGAAACAAAGTACAGCATAAACTGGGCATGCTGCCTGCTCCAGAGATAAAACTGAAGTCTGGACTGCAAGTCTAAAAGGCCCATCCATTCCCAAATGATTGTGTTCCTTCTATCATTGATGTATGACTATCACAGCAGAAAAAATTATGTAGCCTTAAGTTGTATGTATTTAGGATGTTGGAGAACAACATAGTAAGGATTCCAGGATTAATGAATATAAACATATAATACAAAGAAAATTCATCATAAAAATACAACTCAGCAGGTCCTCTGTCTCCCTTACAGAGACTTTGATGGAAAGGTATGGGGATTTTCGGTGTTAAAGTAGCCACCGGAGGGAAGTAAGTCTGAAGGATGAGTCAAACCCCAGATCTATGGAACACCCTGGAACACAAAGATAAAACAAGAAAATCCATAAAAGTCACTGGAACTACTATTTCCAATGCCACCAAATTGGCTCAGAACTCTTACTGCACTTTTCAATCTTATCATTTAAAAAAGATAGAGAAAAAAAGATAAAGAAATAAAGACATGGATTTTTCAAACAAATGCAAAAGCTTTAGACAGTAAATCTCCGCTCCCAGACTTAAGAACATTCAGAATAATGAGTCAGTTTTGGCCCCAGTTCCTACGTTTTACCCTTTCACAGGATGAGACAAAGAATGAAATATAGAAATGAATATATGAATGAATGAATGAATGAAATATAGAAAAGAGAAAGTTTCTAAAGTTGTGACAATCATCAACATAGAATGCCACGCTGAATGTAACAACTTTACTATGGATGTGATCAAGGTATATATGGGGGAAAATCTTGTTCTCAAGGAAATTCCAGGTATTTTACATCAAATCTCATCTGGTGACAATGACAAGAAAAACACTTTTTTGTGTTAAGGTCCCAGCTCAACACAAAGCGGCCTGCCCAGAACACCCCACCCAAAATAGCACATACCCCCTTTCAACTGTCCTTTTCTGTTTTCTCGCCCAGCTTTATTTTTCCTTCTTTTTCCTATTTATTTCATTTTTCTTATCTATTTATCTCACACCCTGCGTTATTTTTCCTTCTTATCATCACCCAACATAATACGTATTTGTTTATCTACTTATCGTCTCCTCTCACTTTTATATAAACTTCATAAGAGCTTTGACCTCTTCTTGAGCTTCTATTTTTGTTCACTCACAGCGGTATCCCCAGTGCTTAAGATGGTGGTTGGCACAAAACATTTATATTTTGCAGTGAAAAAACTCTATAGGCTAATTAAATAAATGATATCTCTAAATAATATAAACAATTGATAGCACAAGTACAAAATTATATTTTTGTACATTTCCTCAGTTTCAATGCTTCCAGGCAAAGGAAGTCAAAATCTGTGGCTCCGTGTTTGTTTTAGTCTTTCATCCTGTTCTACTTCTAAGTCTATGAAAATGGATCCTGTTCTTTAGTCTCCCAGGCTGCCCTCCATCTTGGCTCTTTTCCCTTGAAGGAGAATAAGAAGGACCAGGAGAGAGACCAGGAGAGGAAAAAATGGCATAAGGGACTATAAAAAATGTTGGAGGGCAAAATTTAGTCTAGAATTTAAAATTTAGTAGGGGCCTGCCTCTACTCCCTGCCTCTTGTTTAAACTAAAAATTTATCTTCCAAGACAGTAAGATGAGACAGGGAGAGATTTAGGAAAAAAATCTATGCTTGGCAACGGATCCCACCTTTCTATCTGTAAGGCTTTGGAATGACTCCATCTGTAGTTCAGGAGTAGAAATAGTCTTTATGAGGACAGGTAATTGTGTATGAAGACTATTAAATGGGAAATTATGTGTGTTAGAATATAAATACAGTATGCAGGAAATAAGAATACATGGCATCTCTGTACACTTGCTTAGATGATGGGTAGAGAAAATACTGGCTACAGAAATTCTGACCCTCAATCCTGAGTGGGAGATTTCGGTGTAGAGGAGCTTGGTGTGTGATACTAAAGTTATCTGTCAAGGTAGGAAACCCAGGGGACAGGGAACATGGCCCCATAGTCTAAATAATAGCTAGTATTTATCAAGTACTTATTATGTTCTAAGTGATTTTACAGGGTTAATTCATTCCATTCTCAACAACAGATCTATGAGGTAATGTTATCAGCCCCATTTTACAGATAAGAAAACTAAGACTCAGAGAGGTTAAATCCCTGGTCCAAGACCACGTGACCAGCAGGAAATGAAGCTGGTCTTTGAACTTTGACGGTCTGATTTTGACACCAACACCGCTGTGCTTAATCCCTGCTCTCTGAGGAGATGCTCTGCCCACACTGGGAGGCTGCTCTAACTGCTGGGGTCTGTCCATTTTAGCTCTACACATCTTAGCTACACACAAGTAGATAAAAATTCCACCAAGAAGGCAGCCCAAGAAGGATCAAAGACGTAGACAGCTTCCACCAGCCATTTGGAAGATCTATGAAGAGTCCCCTACCATGCTGTCCTCCTCCTGCCAACACCTCTGTCGGTCTCACATGTGGCCTCCCCTCTTCCTTCCCTCCCCTGCAGTTCTCCTGTTTAAGAGGAAAGGAGGAGGTAGGGAGAAGGTGTAGGAAGTAGAATTAGCCATAAGCTCTTTAGAGAGCCACAAGCTCTCTCTTCTCACCTGTGAATTACCCTTGACTAGCCTCAGGTGAAAAACAAGTTCAAGGGTGTTCATTAAGATTCTTAAATTCTTTTCAAAACAAATATGTAGGATTTGACAAAGAAACATGTAGTACCTGAAACATTTATGGTTTACTTCATGCTTTCCCTTTACACATGGAAAAAAAATTAGGAAGGATACTCCCACTCCTAGTGTCCTGTTCAGACAAGATGGTCCTTGGAAAAACTGTTAGAACTCCCTGTGCTACACCTTTATAAAGCACAGTTCTTTCCATTCACGTTCATAGAGCCATTTCTCTCAAAGCGGGCACATAGCAACAGCAAGTGCTAGGCTGGGAAGGATTTCACCCTCAACTGCCTACTAAGCCTAGCACTTTCTTCCAACCCTTCACTTTCTTAAATGCAAAAATTAGTTTGGAAGAAAATGTGTATCAAATTGTACTACTATAACAGACACTGTGATATGGCATCCATGTCCTCCCTCAGGAATGAAGGACTTACTACTGCTTATTATCCCTGTTTGGATTGCCTTGGCTGAAAAGAGCCACCTCACTCAAGCCGATGCACCCTTGCTGGCACAGAGCCCATTTAATGACTAGTAGTAGTGGTAGTAGTGGGGTATAAAGTCCCAGCTTTCCCACCGTAACTCCAGACCACTCTAAAGGGTTACCCCAACTTCAAAACTTTCCGTAATGTATCTGCTCTGCAAAGGCTTCATCACAGCCCAGCTTCTGCCTCTGACCAATCCTGCTTACTTCTCTTCCTTCCGTTTCCTTCTACAAATGTTGACCCCAAGGGCACTCTCTAATAAACCTCCTTCATGCTTATCTCCATCTCTGTGTTGGCTTCCTAGGAAACCCAACCCACCATACCTATTAAGCCAACAATTGTAATTACCCCTCATTTCCCAGGTAAAAAGGTTTTAAATCAATAAGTAACTCACACTTACCCTGGCCACACCAGACTAGAGGCAAACATAGACGACATCAGTGATCCTCTGCAAAGCAAAATACCTGTAATTCTAGCCCTGCTCTTTTTCCTGGGTTCTCTTAAATGGGCTTTAGAATGTGCCGCGTAAACCTATGAACTATTCTCTTCCTCTTGACACCTCCATGTTCTCCATGGTATCTGTCGTGCACATCATGGCACTCAGGAGGCTGCTCTGAAGATCAGACTCCCAGGTAAGGATGCGGCTCCAGTTGCTCTATATTCCCAATCATTGTGCCAAAGTTCAGAGAAATCACCTTCAGTCAGGGAGCTGCCTTATATTCTCTATTTTGTCATATTTTCCAAAAATTTTCCACAAACTATAGAAGTTAGGTTTAAATAGGAGAGAGGATTTCTTTATGTTCAGTTGGTATTCTTTGGTTCATTACAGAGCCTCCTACCTGCTATACCACAAAATGAATTCACCAGACACTGGACGAAAAGACATATGAAGTGACACAGGCCTCATACTGAAAACACATTTTTTGAAATCGTCTTTATATATAAAACCTTAGGAAATTTTTAGATATAATTTTTAGTTTACCACATTCACATTGTTTATTTAGTTAGCTTTCATTTTTGTCATTAATTTCTAGTTTTATCACACCATATTCAAAGAACATAGTCTAGATGAAGCTGAGCCTTTGAATTAAACTTCCTCTTTTACTTATACCTACACAGGCCTGAAAATCACATATTTTATGTATTTGTTTGATCTCTTTTCAGATATATTTTATATATTTGCTTTTTCATTTTCCAAAAAGGTTTGTTTTTATTCTAACCATAAGTATTGATCTATTTTTTTCTCTTAAGTCAGTTGTTGCTTTTGATATTTTGAGATCTGTTAGCAGCACATATGTTCATGATGATGGTGTCATATCTCCAACATGTAATGTTTCTTGTCCCTTATTAGGTTTTTCACCTTAAATTCTATCTGCTCTGATATTAAGTGCTACCTATGATTTCTTTGCTTCAGACATAACTGGTGTATTTTTTTCCATTCCTTTATTTTCAATCGGTCTATATCCTTTTGTATTTAAAATTTATGGTTCTTATAAATAACATCTGTCCAGATCATGGGTCTAAAAACTCTTTCTGTCTGTTGGTTGTTCACATTAACTCACTTGTATCTACTATAATTACTGTTACTTTGACACTTTGCTATCTTATTTAGTGCTATTTGCCATGTTTTCCTTTTATTTCTTTCTTTTCTCTTTCTTGGTTTTCTTTAAATAGTCTCCATTTTATTCTGCTGATTTAAATGTCATAATTCTATAGTTATTGTTGTGGTGGTTGCCCTAACTCTTTAACCTATACTTATATTATGCTCATTTTTCCTAACGATGTCTAACATTTATCAATATCTACATCCCTCCCCTGAACAAGAATCTAAGTGTCTTCTCGGCAGCTTCTGATCAGTCCCCACACCACTTCCCAAATGTCTAAGGAGTTAGATGTTTGAACGTGACTGTAAAATTGGTTGTTACTTATTCCTCACACACATTTCAAGTTTGTAATTTCCACAAAACACACTCATAAGCAAAAGAACTCTAGCCTATCTAGTTACCTACCTAATCTTTCCTCTCCTGCCTGGAAACATGCATTTTCCATAGTCAAATCAAGTGTTTCATTTTCCTAAATCCAACTTTAGCCCAGATACCTTGCAGCCCGTGGGATCCCCAAAGGACATCCCCAAGGGAGACGTATACAAAGGAAAGCAAAGTAGTAATTTCTGAACACTCTGTGGTTTCCCTTTTCTTAAGTGACTCAGACCTAATTAGGCCAAGCCTAAAGGAGTTTCTTTGCTCTTCTCTGACTCTTCCCTCTGCCTAAGTTAATCCTTAATCTTACCAGAGTGGAAAGGAAAGCCCCAAATAAGGGGCAAGTACAACCTGGGCAGAGAAAGACAGATGGCAATGGAGTCTGCCTAGTGAAAAGCAGGCACGGGCTAGGACAGCTGTCCTGGGCCCTTAGAGAGGACCCCAGAGAGGGTCAGCTCACCACTCCTAGTACCTGGAGAAATAAACAAAGTGAAGTGAAGCCCACCCCAATATACTCCCCGCATACAACCCAAATGGCATCCTGGGTCTGACTTCCTATCACAAAGGCTGAAACAGGTAAAGGTGTAGAATAGTGACACCTGTGTTTCCTATGCCGTGCAGCTCAAAAACTGTATATTGAACACCAACGATCAATGGAAAAATACAGATGAATGAGACACCATCCCTACCCTGTGAGTGCTCGCAGACAGTTGGAAAAGGCAGATGTATTCAAGGCTGTGAGATACTATGTCATAACGAAAAATTTCTCAAAACTTAGCAATTCCCAAGAAAGTCACTGGGACTCATCATCCTAGGGGTACGAGACCTACTAGAGAGTCAAGAGAGGAAAAGTACTTTCTCTTCTGGACCAATTCCCTAGCATACAAATCACTAAAAAGGCTTCCCTTCCCCCAAATTGTCTCTTTTGCTTTTTACTAATGCTGGAAATTTCTTTCAGTGGAGACAAAGCCAGTCTTTCTGCAATTAGAGAAAACAAGCTTAAAATAGAAGTGCTGTGGGATGGTTAGCATGAGTGGAAATTAGGTCAAACCCATGTGTGAATGACTAATATCAGTTGATCACCAGTTTTGATAGGCGATAGAGGTTAGTGATTCATAAACCCTGGGAGCTGGGAGCCCCAAGAGTCCCACTGAAAGAAACTGGAACACCAAAGAACACAGGCATGTGTTACAATGTTGTTCAGGCTTTGCTCTGTTGATTTCTATTTATTGGAAAAACAACTAGAACCTGAAGCAATATTGCCTGTTTCCTCAAGTCATCTCAGAAGGGACCCTGTTTTGGAATCCTAGTCCCCATCTTCATCCCCTGATATCTAGGACTGTGAATTCATATTCTGAATCCCACAAATCATAAACACCTCTCACCTAGCTCTTCATTCCCAGATGTCTGTCCAGAACTGTCCACATTCCAGTACTTCATCAGCAGATTAACTTGATCATATTATCTACTGATTCACAGTGTGGCCTTAAAATTCCTCCAAGGAGTCTCCAGGCCCTTCGAGGACAATGAGCATCACTTGCGTCTCCCATGCCTGCAATTATCTGATCATTCCTCCATCACAGTAACTTCATCCACAACTGTTCTTTCAGCTCCCCGCATTTGTCCCTTTCCCCAAACAATTAGATCTCCGCGTGGATAGACAGTTGAGATGGAGGGCTTTTTTGTGGGGAGGGGGCGAATCTGATGCCATTTATATCCCTTCAGAGCTCCAGCCTGGTTTAATAATCCCCAAGCACCACTTTGCGTGCGGCAAGGTATAAATATATGCTAATAGGAGGTCTGGCTCCTTGTCACAACACATTGCAGGCTGCATTCGTGCAAGATAGAATAAAAAGATTAGATGCAATCTTGAAGTCAATCAGAAAGCAGGAGGAAACCAAAAAAACGGAGCTCAGATTGTCAACAAGGAGAGGCAGAAAAATGACTTGAATCGAATTGCAGTTTATCTCGTTAAGCGTTAAAGGAAACCAATTTCCTTCAGAAATTGGAAGGCAATTTAAACATTTCTACAGTTTTACTAAAGTTTGAAAAATTCCAGTAAAAGAATAAGATTTTCTTTATCTCTGCATATCTGACATTTTCCCTGTACTCTCAGGGACTAGAAGGCCCTAGATAAGAGGATATTTAAGGAAAAGTGAGCAGTTATCAACAAGTAAGGAAACGAATCTATTAAAGAAATACTCACGTGATTTCTTCAGCCCCTTCAGGTTCCATGCCAAAAGACCCAAGGAAACTAGAACTGTGTAGGAAAATACCAGCATACAAAATCTGGTCTAGCCCTGGATAAATCACCAGGCTGGGTTAATTGACAAACACAGAAGTCACATTCAACCTATAAAGGCCAAATACATTGTACCAATCTCAAAGCCAAGCTACCTTCCATTGGGGTCGATGCCATCACAAGCTAAAGGCACTGTTCACAATGAACTTAAGTCTTTTTTGATAAGCCCCCTTCCCCATTCCTAGAATCATAAACATTGACAGTGACCCCTATTTTGCAAACCGTATAATGGTTACTCCTCCTTCCCATGCTGAAATGTGTAATTCTCCCCAACCATTGTATCTCATAGAAATCACTAACTAAACCTCCATCATCAGATTTAAAACCAAGCTTTCTCCAATCCCATAGTCCATCCGGAAATTATTGTTAGCCAACAAAAGCAGACCTTTTTTTTTTTTCCTGCATTATCCCAGACAATGAATTCTCAATATTTCCAGAAACATGAGGGCTTAAAGGATACATATACTGTACTAAGAATAGCCATTACCTCAGGAAGAGGATCAATCAGAGTACCTGAAAGGGGCTCCCATATTTTACTCAGTCTATACATGTATTGTTTTTATCTTCTACAGTGAAAAAGCAAGTATTGCTCTGTAATTTTAGAAAATGCATTTTAAGATGTTCTGAGATGAATAAGCTAAGATTATTTTTTTCAGATTCATGCCCCTAAAAAACTGCCAACTCTAACCTCTTGGAGGGCCAGGTGTGGTGACTCACACCTGTAATCCCAGCACTTTGGCAGGCTGAGGCAGGTGGATCGCTTGGAGCTCAGGAGTTCAAGACCAGCCTGGCCAAAATGGTGAAACCCCATCTCTACAAAAAAAAAAAAAATACAAAAATTAGCCAAGTGGGGTGGTGTGCACCTGTGGTCCCAGCTACTCGGGAGGCTGAGGCAGGAGAATCGCTTGAGCCAAGGAGGTGGAGGTTGCAATGAGCCAAGATTGCGCCACTGCACTCCAGCCTGGATGACAGAGTGAGACCTTGTCTCAGAAAGAAAGAAAGAGAGAAATAAAGACAGACAGAAAGGCAGGCAGGCAGGCGGGCAGGCGGGCGGGCGGGCAGAAAGGAAGAAAGGAAGAAAGGAAGAAATGTTAATGTTTGGTATGAGCTGGACATTGCTCAGAGTTTAACTTGCCAAAATTGTGGCTTTTGTCTTCATTCATTGCTTTCCCTGCACAGTCATTCAGTCAACAAACATTTACAGAGCACTTACTACCTCATAGACTGAAAAAGGCATCTGATGTGAAGCTAAAATTTTCCTTAAAAAAGAAATATGATAATTAATGATGTGGCCAGTTGTTCTCCGTTATAATTAAAGACAAAATCTCAGACAGATTCATCAGAGATAACATTCAGGAACAAAAAAAAAGTGCCTTTCCTGGTTTCCCACTTCTACTGACAACTTTTTTCTTTCAATAACTTGTTATGTGCCAGGAGCAAACAATATGAAATCCATTCCTAATGAGCAATAATTATAGCTTTAAGAAGCTGTACAATCAGTGTTCAGTGATTTCATTATTAGATAGCACCATAAATTATGCTAATGCTGATAACAGTTCTGGATGAGAGAGGTCCAGATCCAGGAGATTGCACTGAAATTATTTACATCCTCTATTTCTGAAACAATAGATCCAGCAATTTGAAAATCAGATGATCCGATTTATTCTGGCGGGACACACATGTAACAAGTTGCATCAACCATAAAATTAAATAGGCTTTCTTTTTATTTTTTTTCCTTTTTTCTTCTTAAACTTTTTTCTTCAATCTTCTCTTACCTTGAGTATTACCAATCTCCTTTGAGAGGAAATTCTAAGTACTGTAAAAAATTGCTCAGTGATGGTGGTTGATGATGTCAGAAAAGGATGACTTTAGTGCACCTGTGTCTTCATAAAAGCTAAGCTTAAAAATGCTATGTCTGGGCCGGGCACGGTGGCTCACGCCTGTAATCCCAGCACTTTGGGAGGTTGAGGCAGGCAGATCACCTGAGGTCGGGAGTTCAAGACCAGCCTGGCCAACATGGTGGAAACCCTGTCTCTACTGAAAATACAAAATTAGCCGGGCATGGTGGCACACACTTGTAATCCCAGCTACTCGGGCGGCTGAGGCAGGAAAATCGCTTGAACCCAGGAGTCGGAGGTTGTGGTGAGCCCAGATCATGCCATTGCACTCCAGCCTGGGCAACAAGAGTGAAACTCTGTCTCAAAAAAAAAAAAAAAAAAAAAAGCTATGTCTGAAAAGTCACAATTACCTACTAGGATGCAGAAGAGGGGTACAGACTTACTGTGTTAGGGAACGATTGCCTCTTCTAATCAAAGTCCAAGCTTTTAAGGGTCAGCTATGAAAGGAGAATCTCCAGATGGATATGGAGAGATGTCCTAGGTGTCTCAACTTTATTCTCCTGTGTTTAGAGTTGGGAATTTTCCCACTTCAGTTAATAGGGTTTTGTTTTGTTTTGTTTTTGTTTTTCTTTTCTTTTTTTTTTTTTTAAAGCTAACTTTTTTTGAGTACTTTATATGCCAGGCCCTGTGCAAAGGGCTTTATGTACACTCTCTCATCCAATCCTCATTAAAACCCTGTGTAATAAATTTATGATTGATTCTCATTGTGGAGATGAAGAATAAGTTTCAGAAGGCAAAAAATAAAATAAAATAAGCAAAAACTAATTTGCCTAAGAACATACACTTAGCAAATGGAAAAGCCAGGATTCAAACCCAGGGGGACCAGGGCTTGCTGCCCTTGATAGGAAATGCGAGGAATCCAACACCCATCTGACTCCAAGTGCAGGGGCTTTGCTGAAGCCTCATAAAGGGCAGCAAAGGGGCAAAAGATACTACGTGACACCCAGAAAGACTTTCTAAAATTCCTATTAAGGTTTACCAAAGATATGGAGCAACTAGAGCACCTTACATTACTGCAGAGGATGCCAATTGGTACAACCACTTTGGAAAACTATATTTTGCAGTATCAACAGAAGTTAAATATACACATATACCCTGTGACCCAGCATTGCACTCCTAAGTGTCTACCAAACAGAAATGACATGCACAACAATATTCACAGCAGCATTGCCCAAAATAGTTCCCAAACTGAAAACAACCCAAATGTCCATTAACATGGACAATGAGCATATTCATTAACTTGCCCATGGATAAATGGGGAAATTAATTATGGTATATTTATTCAATGGAATACTACACAAGAATAAAAAATAGATTACTGATACATACAAAACCACGTATAAATCTCATAGACATAGCCAAGGGAAAGAAATCAGAAACAAACAATCAATACTATATGATTCCATATACATAAGGTTTAAAAACTCACAAAACTACTCTATGGGACTAGAATCAGAATAATGATCACTCTTGAGCTATTGACAAGGGTGTAAGGGAGCCCTCTGGGGTGATTGAAATGTTCTATATCTTGATGTGGGTAGTAGTTACCCAAGTATATTCATATGTAAAAATGCATTGAGCAGTACACTTAACATTTGTGTATTTTATATAAGCTATATCTCAATTTTTAAAAATAAATAAAAATTGTCATTGGGTCTCTTTGTCCCCAAAAGTCCTAGTCATCATGGCAGTTGGTCCCCCAAACTCTACCTCTATTTCTTCCAACTTCAGCACCCCACTTCTCTTGGTCCCTTCTCATACCTTCTAGATATATTATTTTCAGTCTTGCTGGTAGATTCATGTCCTTTCTTACATAAATCAATTTAGTTCCCTCTGGCACCTTCCATTTCTCTTTACTATTCATTAGTATAATCAGGAGAATGAAAATTCCAGCAGTCAAGCAGATCAAACAAACAACTCTCTTTAGAAGAATATTAGTGCACTTACAGAGTCAGATTAGAATCATTTGTTTCTATCTCCTCTGAGAAAGAGTAAGCTCCCTGAGGGTGGGGGGGTACATAACTCAGATGCTGGGCAAATGTGGAGTTGTATTAAATGAATGCTCTTACTTACTCCATACTTCAAGTTGTGAAACCTAGGGCATTCACTAACTTCTCATCATTCACTCCAGAGATGCCAGCAATGGGTTAAAGTAATAAACAAGGATGCTTAGAGTTAAGATCATAAAACTATGTTTCAGAGGCATTTGCCTGGGAATTACAAGAAAAATGCAAGATCGAAGACTTTAATTATCTTGGGTCATTTTTATTATTTTAATCTTTTTATCTCTCTCTAACTTACTGCCTTTTACTGAACAGGCATAACCAGGCAATTCCACTGTTACGAGAGAATAGAAGAACAATAATTCCCTTAGAGTGTATAGGAGAGAAGACAAGAAGTCTAAGTAAACAATTAAATTGTCTAAACTCTGAAATGTAGGAAACAAGCCAGGAATCGGACTGGCACCTATTTTCTTGCTGTTGAATATAGCGGAGCCTAGAAAGGTGATTAGTTCCCATTTTATCATACAGGTGGAAGAGTCTTTCATCTATTTGCTTGGGAAGGTGCTCAAGTGTGGGCATCTCGCAGGAATAGTCTCATCTCTTTAACCTGGGATATACCAGCTACCAATCACTATCAGAACCCCAAAATTCAAAATCAGGGAAGCAAGCGAAAAAATAAAGGCAAAAGGACGCATTCGACCTATTACTTATCAAGAAAGAGTGGCTTGTCTTAGAGTCCATTTCAAAATGCTGTGCCAGGCCAAATTTAGAGGAGAGAAAATCTTTTGTTCAAATCCCTCACTGAAATATAACTAAATGGAATAAAAGTCTGAGGTCGTGTAACAGGCCTCAATTGTAAGGCCACAGGTGACAAAAGGCTAGTTGAAGGATAAGCCATTTTTTTCGAATACTGATATATTACCAACATTGAGAGAGCTTCATATCACACGAAACATTTCCATGTTTAGAAAGACAATGTGCCATTCCTTTCCAGTCCCCCAGGACAACCACCTCAGTTGGATGACTTCTGTATAAATACAGAAGCTAACTGTGAAGAAATACACGTTCACTTCTTAGAAAAGTATTCCTGTGTTTATCTTTTGGTAGACCTGGGCTTCTTAGACATAAACCATTCCTTGTCAGCAACAAGTAGGCAAGTAGGGGTTTATTTTTGTCATTCATAAAATAAACCAGTTCCCAGCCAAAGGAAATGAGTCTTAGAGACAACCCCGTCATAGACATGCTGTAGAAGTTACAAATGGCTCTGTGGCCCAGGCCATAAACAGTCTTTAGGAAGGCTGGTGCTGAGCTGTTGATATTAAAAATCACCTCATTAATTATGTTTGTAAACAATGCAGCTGCCTGTGCTTGCAAGCTGGCTTCCTCAGCATAATAATATTTGTAACAATAATAACCATCATTTCAAGCATAGCAATAAATAGTCAATCCAAGAACCTCATGTGAAATCACATCTGGGAGCTGCCACCTGGTCATTCAAAACACCTCTTCAGAAGGTAGGAAGGTTGTTGTTTGTTTTCCACTCAGAAGGCACTTTATCAGGATCAAATACTCCACGAAAATCACCCCCCCCTCACTTTTTTAAAAAAACTGGTCAACAGCTAGTGTGGTCAGAGTAACAAAACCAAGAAGAAAGCCAAGAGACAAAAGCAGGAAAGAGCTGGCCCTAAAAGCACATCATGTGGCATAACCTCCAGAAAGCATGAGGGGAAAGGGGCCCACTCCTCTCCCCCAGTGAAGGCTCAGTGAGGTTCAGACTTACTTCAGGAGACCAACAAACCAGCTATGCCTTCTTGGCGCTCGTTCAGTTACACTTTTATCGAACACCTACTATGCACTGGGTGTGCACCAGGTGCTAGAGAAAAACTCACAAGCAGATATCCATTGCAGATGCCTGTCGGTGATGTAATTAGGACATACCTGGCCGACTAGGCAATGCATAATCTAAGTGGCCTGGTATTTCCTTTCATTAAAGTCATACCTTTAGAGCACATATTTCTAAAGTTAGAGCAGCAATAGTAAGTCCTTAAAATTGCTAAAAGCAAGAGAAAAATATGTTTTCTTGTAACACAGGTAAGCTAGGATTACTAGGCTTCTTTCCACATGAGAGGACAACACCTTCATACCTCATTTATGCCCCCTCCACATGTAAATTTTCATTCTGAACTTCACCGGAGAGAGATAAATGTGGCATCCAATTCCAAAGCATTACCCATTTTCTCTGTCTCTGTCCCTCTCTTTCCCCTCTCACTCTGTGTATATATTAATTTTATAGATCTTTTTATTGTCTGAACTACACTGGTTGCATGAGAAGCAGAATAGGCCAAGAAGTTCCATTTCACACATGCCATCCTTATAATTCAAATAGGACAATAAAAAGAGAGAGAGATCTATAAACTGGTGATAAATCAGTGTCCTAAACCAAATTAACCATCGAAATAGATTATCATAAAAATAACGCCATGAAAAATATTCTTCACCTTCCTGGTTCAGCTGCCTGTAATGGAGAAAGGGAAGGGGTGTGTGTGTGTGTTTGTGTGTGTGTGTGTGCATGTACATTGCCACACGCATATGCAGACATGCACACACAGGCCAGAGGGCATGCAGTTACATGCTGCTTGCTCCTCCAGGAACAGAGAATGCTAAGAAACCTCAGGATTGATCCCCAGCCTTCCCAGTTTCTAAAGCTCAGCTTTCATCCAACCTGGTAAATAACAATACCATGTGCCAAGTGTTATGTTAGACCCTGAGGATACAAAATGAGCTAAAGTGGACACAATCCTTATCCTCATAAAACTTCCAGTCAGGGGTAGAATAGATATGGAAATTAATCAAATAATTATATGGATAATATTTTTCTAACTATACATCCTAATAATTGCCTAAGAAAATGCACCAGCGGCTATAAGGGAACCCAGCTTAATCTGAAGTCAGAAATGAATGCATCTTTGAGCTGGAGAACGAGTGGAGGCCAGAGTGATATAAATGGCCCACCAGCAGGCAGCATCCTCCATCAGCAGGAGGAGTGAAATGCACTTTTATCACAGGAGAAGGTTGAAGGAGAATGGATGAGCAAATGTGATTGGGACCACAAGCAACAAGAGGAGGGGGAATGTTCCACACAAAGGGAACCACATATACAAAGACTCTGAGGACAGGCGAGAAGCACGTAACAGGAACTGAAAGGCAGCCACAAAGGGAGAGCAGAGAGCAAGAGGAGGGCGGTGTCAGATGCAACGAAAGGGGCAGAAGCCAGATCATGGGGATTATTAGCATGTGGAGGGGGAGGATGATGCGCGGGAGTGCTGAGTTTTCTCTTTCAAAAGCTCACTTTGTTTTCGTGTGGAGAACAGGTTGACATGAAAGAAGGAAGGAGCTGGGAAGACAGTTATTAGTCCTCTTGCCAGTCCTCCACCTGAGTCTTGGCGAGAGATCGGACCAGGAGTCTAATACTAACTAGCTCTGTGACCCTGGATAATTTGCTTCACCCCTTTAAGCCTCAAATTCCCCACCCGTAAAATGGCAATAATCATGGTTTTGGTGGGGATTAAATGAGATCGTGCCTGTGGGGCACTCAGCCCTCTGTAAGCCTTCAATAAATGTTAGCTGTTGGTGGTGCTGGAGATGGAGAGACACAGACAGATTAGAGAGATATAATAGTCTACCAGCAAGCAATCACCCTACCTAACTCCTACCTAAACTCCTAAAATGTGAGGGGGCACATTTTTTTCATAGGAGAAAGGTCAGGGAGGAATTAATGAGGAAGGGCGATTGGTACCAATATGAGAAATTTCCCAAATTTGCAATTTTTTTTTTTTTTTTTTGGAAACAGAGTCTCACTCTGTCCCCCAGGCTGGGGTGCAGTGGTGCGATCCCAGCTTATTGCAACCTCTGCCTCCTGGATTCCAGCGATTCTTGTGCTTCAGCCTCCTCAGTAGCTGGAACTACAGGCACATGCCACCACACCCGGCTAATTTTTGTATTTTTAGTAGAGATGGGGTTTCACCACGTTGGCCAGGCTGGTCTCGAACTCCTGACCTAAAGCAAGCCACCCACCTCGGCCTCCCAAAGTGCTGAGATTACAGGTGTGAGCCATCGTGCCCAGCCGGAAACAATTCTTGTTCCTTATTATTAACACTGCCAGAAATATTTAAGCTATGAAAGGTATCTGAGACCATTTAGAGAAGTAATTCCTAAAAAATGCTCAAGTAATATCTTCAACAAGCTTTGTGACAACAGCAACAAAAAGACTGCAAAAAAGTAAATGACTTGCCCAAGATCATAGGGTTGTTAATGGCTGAAGCCAAGAGTGCAACTTGGGTTAAACTCCAAGTCTGTACCCTTTCCAGAAGGGGACAGAGCCTCCTGAGAAGTCCAAATCCAACCCATTCCTTCCAGATTAGTTTAGTCAGAAAAACAAACAGCAGCAAACCCCAGGAAACAAGGTACAGTTGAAAGTCCAGTTCTATTGTTTATATTGAAAATTATGGTGACGCTACATTGTTTTGGCGTTTGGTAAATTGTATCACTCTAATATTAGAGTGTTATAAAATAGCTCTTGCCTTTGGACATAATAACGTCTTTTTGAGGGCTTTATCCAAATGCATACAGGAAGCTAAATAAACAAAAGCAGTGTTATTTGTCCACTGCAAAAGGCAATTGTTATTTACTTCTAAGGCAAGTTGGATGATAGGCTATTTGCATATCCAAAACTTCTAATGCAGTAAGAAAAAAAAATTAACCTCTGTATTAAGCACAGACTCAAGGACTGAGAGACTTCCTTAATTAAATCAAACTGCTTTTCCACAGAAGCTTTAGGTAGAACCTACTTATGGGAAGCTTAAGGTAATTGATCCTGAAATTAAGCATTCTTTCAAAATCTGGGCACCGGACTTTTGGCGTACTCACAGAAACCAGAAGTAGTTTCCCCTGGCTGATCTTTGAGGGTGTCCCCTTTAAACTTGCCAGCCTCCTTCCGTGGAAGATAAAATCATGCAGGGGTATGGATTAGCTATCATGTCATTATAGCAGGCACAGCCGTCTGTTACAGGTAAATTGCTAGGCAATGTAATAACAATGCATTTTATTTACTGTGCAGGGTGCTTATCTACAGAAATGTTCCCGACAAACAAAGAAAGGCACAGCTAACCGCCTTCCCTTTAGAATACAGGCTGAAGCTATGCCAGCACCTTCAGAGAATAAAAATGCTAAATAATCTCTGTATAAACAGAGTCCCTAAAAACTCAATGCATTTCCTAACAGAAGCAGAAAAGGCAACTGGTGCCTGGGATGTCCACGAGGTCTTTCTCAGGCTCCTATCACTGCTGACTAAATCGCATCCCAATTTGGGGAGGAACCAACCAATGGTCAGTGTAAGTCCAGACTAAGAGCATTCATTGTTGTTAAATGATGATGATGATGAGGTTGATAAGGTTGACTACCATTTGTCACATGCTTGTCATCTGCCTTGCACTTTTCAACATTGTCTTTTTTTAATTCTCAAAACAAACCTATGTTAGTCCTGCTCTTAACCTCATTTAACAGATGAAGAGTTTCACAAGTAAGGAAACTGTCCACTCAGCTGTTAACTTGAAAATTCAAAAATAAGCCTGCCTCCCTCCAAAACTAGAGATATGAACCTCTGTGCTAGACCGTTCTCAAGAATCTGAGGAATTTGCCTGAGGCTGGACTTAGCATTCAGGACTCTTGTCCTCCCCTGCTATTGGTGCCTACCTTATGCACACATCCCACCCACTGAAGCATCCACTGGGCTCACACTTTGTGCCCCACAATGAGGGCCACCAATACAAAGGGCACTGTTTTACTAAAAACCTAGTAGATGCCTTTTAAACATACAGCCGTCCATGAATAGAATAAGTGAACTAATGAATGAAGGAATGAAGAAATCTAATTAAAGAGTCTAGGATGCAGCCTACAGAGACATGACTGGAATGTGATTGCTCTAAAAGAAAGCTGTGACTTAATCAATAGTATTAACATATCTGAAGAAAGAATGTGTCCACAGAAGGAAGGCAGTCTGCCCAGAGTTCAGAAAAATGGAGCACTATTGAATTTGGTGTTTATCCAATTGTGCCCAAGGGAGAGAGGGAGTACATATGGCATTGATAGAAAGATGTACCAGGATTGCTTAGTTCACTTCAATAGTCTTTGTAAACCTACTATGTGCCATGCTGTACAGTAGGCACTGTGAACGAACACACACAGACACACACACACACACACACACACACACACACAGTTCCTAACATGGAGGAACTTGCAGTGATAGTAGGAGAGACCAGCACATAAACAGTTCTTAAATGCTCAGTGCTACAACTGAGATATGTGAAAGGTGCTACTGAGTACAGAGGAGAAAACCTTAGTCCAAGGTCTGGGAAAACTTCCTGAAGTGACCCTTGAGCTGTGTTTCAACAAATAAGCAAGTGTCATCCAGGCCATAACAGACACAAAACAATTATAAGCAGAAGAACCAGCAGCTGTCCACATCACAGCATGTCAGGGATAAAAATAGTGCCTATTGCCTATTAGTCCAGAGACAGAAGATGGTGTATTTAAGTAGCCTGCAATTTATCCTTAGGGAAATAGGGAACCTTTGAAGGATGCTAGCTGGGGAATAACAAGATAAACTTGCATTTTAGAAAGATCATTCTGGCAGGAATATAAACAATGGAAGTGAATATAAAGAAAAGCCAAGAAGGCCTACAGACAAGTTTGAAGTTATTATCAAAGACCCTGGTGAGGCTCTGTCCTAGATCAAGGATAGCTAGGATAAGGAGAAGAGGGAAAAGTAAATATTTAGGAAGCGATGTTGACCGGTTGGATGGGAAGCTTGAAAGAGAGATGAGAAATCAAGAGTGATTCCAAGTTTCTGGCTTGGATGCGGTGTTAATGGTTGATTGGATGAGAAGGATGAAGAGATAAGGAATCTAAGATGATTCCAAGTTTCTGGCTTGGATGACCAAGTTGATGGTAATATCATGAACCAGGATAGAAAATATAAGAGGAGCAGCAAATTTGGATTTGGAAGCTGAAGAAAATGAGTCTTGTTCTGAACATGTTGAAGTGTCCATTGGACATCCAAGTGGAGCTGTCCATCCAGTGGGCTATTGTATACATAATTCTGCAACTCAGAAGAATCATCAGGGATAAATACTTGAGCCAGGTGCAGTGGCTCCTACCTGCCATCCCAACAACTCAGGAGGCTGGGGTGGGAGGATCACTTGAGGCCAGGAGTTTGAGACCAGCCTGTACAACACAGGGAGAGCCCATCACTACAAAAATAAAAATAAACTAGCTGGGTGTGATGGTGTGAGCCTGTAATCCCAACAACTCAGGAGGCTGAGGCAGGAGGATCACTTGAGCCCAGGAGTTTGAGGCTGCAGTGAGCTATGATTGTGCCATTGCACTCCAGCCTCAGTGACAGAGTGAGATTCCATCTCTAAAAAAAAATAAATAAATAAATATTTGAACATCGTGATCAAAGAGATAATAGTTAAAACCATGAGAGTAAGCTATCACAAGGACAAAAAACCAAACACCGCATGTTCTCACTTACAGGTGGGAATTGAACAATGAGAACACGTGGACACAGGAAGGGGAACATCACACTCCGGAGACTGTTGTGGGGTGGGGGGAGGGGGGAGGGATAGCATTTGGAGATATACCAAATGCTAAATGACGAGTTAATGGGTGCAGCACACCAGCATGGCACATGTATACATATGTAACAAACCTGCACATTGTGCACATGTACCCTAAAACTTAAAGTATAATAATAATAAAATTAAATTAAATTAAAACCATGAGAGTAAAAGAAATTAGCCAAGAATGGATAGAAAGATGGATGGATCAATGGAAGGGAAGAAAAGAAATAAGCTAATTAAAATGAGATTATTCTATATTAGCTAGCTTTAATTTTTGGAAAGTTAGAAAACTTTGTTTTACTTAAAAAAGGATAAAGAAACTGAAGAAAGTGAAGGAGAATAAACTTCAAATAAACGTTTCCTTGCCAGTAAAGTTATTATTTCTTAAAAGAGCCTTCTACGTTAAGAAAAAAAATAT
This sequence comes from Homo sapiens, assembly GCF_000001405.40. Taxonomy (NCBI): domain Eukaryota; kingdom Metazoa; phylum Chordata; class Mammalia; order Primates; family Hominidae; genus Homo; species Homo sapiens. The sequence continues at coordinate 34,226,010 of NC_000014.9, forward strand.
TAAAAAAAATAAAGTGGCTAGTCATTCAAAAAACAAAAAAACTTTCTGCTAAGAAAGATGAGGAAATTGGTACTCTCACACTCCCACCCATATTCCCTGATAAGGATTATAACATTAATTCTCTATTCTGTTACCATTTTCTACTTTTGTTTAGACTTAGTTCTTACATTTACATGAATTGAATGCCCACTACCAGTCTTTTACTGTGACTGTTTCATTCCTGAGTCCTTCACTTTGTCCTTTATTTTTACCTCTTGTGTGGCTTCATCTTGTCACTAACTTTTTTTCCAAGAAGTGTTTGTACACCCTGTAATTCTTGGGTCAATACATAAGAATGTTTACCTGTTATCTTTATATTTGACCAACTCCTTGGCTGGATATAATATTTTTGAGTCACTCTTTTCCTCAGAAATTTGTAGACATTACTTCATTGACTATTGGCACTGAGCAAAAGTCCAAGGCTAGCCAGATTTTCCCTCTCAATAAGTGATTCTCAAAGCCCATGTCTTTAACCAAATGTAGGGGAAAGAAAACTCAATCTCTCTCAATATGTTTGGCTCCTTGATGGTTTGAGGTGGACAAAACTCTCTGGCAATATTAAACAACATTTAAAAGCTACAAGCAGGCCCGGCGTGGTGTCTCACACCTGTAATCTTAACACTTTAGGAGGCCGATGCGGGCAGATCACTTGAGCCCATGAGTTCAAGACAAGCCTGGGCAACATGCTGAAACCCTGTCTCCACAAAAAATACAAAAATTAGCCGGGCATAGTGGCACAGGCCTGTAGTCCTAGCTACTCAGAAAGCTAAGGTGGAAGGATCACTTGAGCCTGGGAGGTTGAGGTTGCAATGAGCCCTGACCATGCCACTGCACTCCAGCCTGGGTAACAGAATGAGCCTTGATCTCAAAAAAATAAATAAGTAAAAATAAATAATAAAAGCTACAAGCCCTTCTCTGCCTCATTAAATCTTCTCATCCTTCAAGACTCTGCTCAAATGTTCCCCACCACCCTATAAGCCTTTCTCCTCCCTTCTTTCTAGGCAGAATTAGTATTTTCAAGGAGTAGTTATTCCATTTAGCATTGTAAGTATGCCTGTTTTCCCACTAAATTATAAACAGCTTGAGAGAAGAACCATGTTTTCTTCATTGTAACCCCAGCATATATCACTCAGCTATTAATAAACATCGTAAGGGTTCAATGTTTCCTGAGTAATCTATCCTCACTTTTCCCCCATACATATCTGAGGGACTCCTTACAGCAGGTGTGCACAAACATCAGCATGCATCCGAAATACCTGGAGGACTGGCTAAAACACATTGCTACACCCCATCCTCAGAGTTTCTGATTTAGAAGGTCTGGAGTGGGGCTCAGAAATTTGCATTTCTAACAAGTTCCCAGGTGATACCAATGCTACTGTTCCCAGAATCACACTTTGAAAACCATTAGAAATAGAAATAGACAGAACGAATCCTTGCAAATGGGAAAATGAGGTTCAGAGGAGGACCTTACATTCGTCTCCAAAAGCATCCACTTCTGAACTAAGTCCACAAAACTGTAGACTAAGTGATTTCTTATAGCATAAGACTAGAATTAGCCCAAATATTAGAGCATGTGGCCCACGAGAAAAGACATTTCATGACGCTTCCCTTAATTTTTCTTTCTTGATTCATCTTATCACTCATGAATAAAGTACCCTCAATCAGTGTTATTTACCATGATTCTCTATTATAACTATTAACTGTACCCACCTTAATTCAATGGTCAGGTGGGAGTATACATGCAGAGGGAATTCATGTACTTCAAACTCTCCTTCAAAATAAAACAATAATAATAGTCATTTAAAAATCCATTTCTCTCTCACCCTTATTGTGTTTTCTCAGGCTTTTCATTCTGTCTCCCTGCCTTCTTATTTCCCACACACATGAAACAGTGGTGATTTTTAACGTCAAGATTTTGCAAACCATCGCCAGGTACACATTCCCCACCACATCATCCTTGCCATTTAGCCGTTCGGTCCCTGGAGAGGATGGTCAGTGGCCCCAAGGCTTCTACAGCAACTTCTAAGTGGTGATTTTTGTGCTCCTTTCCCTAAAGGGCTTGAATTTCTCGGAGCACTAAATCTCCCCCGGTTTTCTGCGCGCTATCACGCGCTGCGGTGCACCAAAGTTGCGTTGCAGTGCCACCTACAGTCTGCTTCTGATAGAGACCCAGAGCCACCCAATCCAGGGCCCTCTCCACCAGCTGACCAGTTAAAGCAAAATACAGACATTCTGGATTCAAGTGGACTCTGCCTCTATAAGAAACTGCTCAGTACAAAGTCAAGGAGCCCTCCTATCTGAACTTCCATCTGGAACTATGGATTGCTAAACCGTTTGAAATGGTGTCATCAGCTTGGATTCTTGCTTCACATTGTGTTTTTAACTTTGGAAGTTTTAAACACCTTCATGGCAAGAGGCCTCCCGTGGTGACAGTATGAGAAGAGGAAAACAGTGGCTGCTGGGCCTTTCCTTTCTGCTTCTTGTGGTTGTGGCAGTGTTTGAGCTTCGTTAAGATCTGCAGGGTGAAAATCAGCTCGGCCCGGCCAGGGAGCCAGAATGAAATGGAGCGCCTGTGCGCGCATTCGGAAAGCAGCAGCCACGTTAGGAGCCTAGGGTCCATTCGCTCTCATTTAATGTTTCTTCTCAGGCAGAGAAGTACAGGCATCAAACATCCCGGCCCTTTTATGGCACATAAATCACAGGTCAGCGCCTTCCACGGAGGCTCCTGCTTGCTAAGTGAGTGGTTACACCAGGAGCAAGGAAGCAACATTTCAGCACACTTAGAGACCCAGGAGGATGAGCTGATTGCACAGGGCAGAGCCAGGAATTTCTCCCTACAGTTGAATGATTAAAACCTTTCTCCTGCTTGAGAACTGGGACATTGTTTCGAACTTTCCACAGGCAGCAGCTTGCACCCAGATCTGCCCTGGGTCCCAATCTGCCATTAACTCCTTTCTCAGAGAGTTGGTTTCCACAGCCCCTACAGAGCAGAGCAGGCTCTGAGACGCCATCTCTTGGCCCGCCGCTAATTGAACTAAGGTGAACTTTTTCCTCACTGAATCCACAGAATCTCTGTCTTGATGATTTATGTCAAGAGACTGAGAAAGCTGGAAGCTAAGCCACGTTAACAGGAGGGCCCTAAGTAAGGGTCCATGAACTTGGCCTGCTGAGGTCCTTGAAACTGCCCTGGCTTCTGCCATTCCTATGTCTACCACTGTGGCTTTTCTGTGGTTGATGAGTCCTGTACCCAAAACCAACTTGAGAAGATTGGGCTCCTTAGTACCGAAATTGGTAACTAAGACACGCTAAATCTTAGAGAACACACATCAGACTCATGTGGGGATTTCCGCTCACTACCCCACACCATGGGGAAGAATCTCCACAGCCTGCCCTCAGCCCACCAATGTTCCTGCCCTCCAGCCAAAGGCAGGAGATGGCTACCCCGTGGGGCAGGGGTGCGGACAAGGGAAGGCGGTGGAGACCAGTCCACAGACTGCTATCTACCCACAATCCATCACTGGTTAGCAACAAGAAAAGCACAGAAACAGTGTTGGGAACTACTATGACAATTTTTCAAAGCAATTTAATATTTATCAAATCTAACAATAAAAAATTAGAGCTTGTGTTTTGAATGTTGTTTTCCTTTTCATTTTTCTAGTATTTTATTTCTGTTGTATTTTATGTATTTATCCAAAGGAAAAGAAATAATTATATTGAAGAAACTCCTGCACCCCCACGTTTATTGCAGCACTGTTCACAATAGCCAAGATACAGAATCAACCCAGGCATCCAACAACAGACGAGTGGATAAAGAAAATGTGGTACATACACACAATGGAGTACTATTCAGCCATAAAAAAGAATGAAATCAAGTCATTTGCAGCAACATGCATGAAACTGGAGGACATTGTGTTAAGTGAAATAAGCTAGAGACAGAAAGTTAAATACCACGTTCTCACTCATATGTGGAAACTTCAAAAAAAAAAACGTTGGTAAAGGTAAAAGTAGCACAGAAGATACAAGAAGCTGGGAAGGGTAGGGGGAAGGGAGGGATAGGAAGAGATTTGTTAAAGGACACAAAATTACAGCCAGATAGGAGGAATAAGTTCTAGTGTTCTATACCACCATAGGATGACTGTAGTTAACAATAATATGTCACATAGTTTTAAGTAGCTAGAAGGAGGATATTGAATATTCCCAACACAAAGAAATGACAAATGTTTGGGATGATGGATGTGCTGATTACCCTGATCACTACACTTTATAATACTGGAGCATCACTATGTACCACTGTGAATATGTACAATTATTATTTGTCCATTTAAAAATTTTTAAAGTTTTTTCTTTAAAAGATTATCAGTCCACAAGAGATTGGAAATAAAAAACAAAACAACATACGTAAGTCTTTCATTATGAATAGTTTGAAGTGCACTACTTTAAATTCCCCTCTTCACTCTGGCCCAAGCCCCTTGGCCATCCAGCAGGCAGGATCTCAGAGAAGGCAGGAATGCAGCTGTGCCTTCTCTGCAAGGAAAAGCAATGACTCAAGCAGAGGCAAAGCCTACTGTTCACACCGATGAAGAGAACCCATGCTTGGATCATTCAGGCAGAGGCAGGGCCTTGGACTTAAGTCTAATTGCCCCAAACATTCCAATATAGAAAAGATCTTAAGACCCATGGCATCCTGATGGAGTTAAGGACAAGTATTCCAAGCCAGTCAGGAAGCACTTCCAAGAGCAAATTTTTGGGCTGCATCCAGGGGTGAGTCAAGTGGTCCAACTGAGTTTGGGGGACTTGTAACATCTCTAGTCAGTGTTTCTCTATGCCATCTCCCTCAAATACCCCCTACACACATATGCGCACACACACACACACACACACTTATTCTTCATCCCTCCCTGGAGCTTGTCCACTTCTCTGAGCAGCACCAATTTCCTTGCAGCCAGTAGCAAGAGCACAGATGTGGAGAATGCATGGCTCCCACATTTCTTGATATAGACTTGAGGTCTTGCCTTATCCTCTCCAAGGAAGAGCTGAGGCCACTGGGAACATGGAGTGGGCCCATAGGCCATGGCAAAGCCTCCCAACTCTAAGTCCTTTCTGTGTAAGTCCAGAAAATGAAATATTGACATGGAAACATCTTTCAAAAAGAAAAAACATGTGGCTCTTTAATACATGAAAATTTAAAAGTATAAGGAAAAGAGGAGGAACAAATAAATGGAGAGCAAGGCAGAAAAGGAGGCAGGAAAAGAAGAGGGGATAGAGGGCTATAAATTTCATGAGGGCAAAGAACATGTCTGTGTCCCAGTGCCAAGCACAGTGCTGGGCACATAATGGCACTCAACTCAGATTCAGTTTGTTGAGTGAATAAAGAAAAGAAGGAAAAATTGACACAGGAGCAAGGAGGGAGAAGATGCTCAAGAAGCATGCAGCTGCCCAGATTCCTCCTGGCATTCTACCCGGGATCTCACTGCTGTCCCTCCGGCCCACAGGAGGAAGCAGGCAGCGGGGAGGGCCTGGCTGCACGGGGCACATGCTGTGGGCAGGGTGGTGGCTGCACATGGGCTCCTTCTCTAAAGCAAGGCTCCTTGTTGGTCTCCTTCTCTCTTTCTTTTTGATTCCTGAAAAACATTGTTTTAATGCAGGGAAGAGTCATTGATTTCATTTGAAACAATGCCCAACAGGATATGGCGTCTCAAACAGCTCCTTGGCCCTTGGCAATTGTTGTGTGCAGGTGTTTCATGCAAGTGCCGGGCAGCACGTACAGCACTGAGACCCAGGCAACACTGGGCGTAGGCCTGGAGAGTGGCCCAGGACACATGGGGCTTATGGCACCAAGCCCTGTGGCGTCTTCTACATTCCAAGAATTCAACTCCTTCCCACATGCCTCCCCCACCCCTTGCTAACCTCACTTCCAGCCCCCAGTCTGTAGTATAATAGGAATTGGGTTTTCCCTCTTGTTATTTCTTTTTTTTTTTTCTGAGACTCCCTCTTGTTATTTCTGTAACTCATAAGATAAAAACAAACCATAGTCCCAAAGAGAGAAATGTATCTGCACTAAACAGAATGGCAGTAAGGAAGAAGGAAGACTGCTTGGTAACGACATACAAAAACAGGACGGACTTTAACCAAAAAAGGCAATAACAAACATATGAACACTGATAGAGTAGAACAAAAAGTTTATCAATAAAAATCAGTGCATATACAAACATATTTTTAATCCAAGCTTCCAAGAGTAAAGTGGAAATAAGGAGTATTGCAGCATGAAGAAGTATCTCCAACCCATAGAACTTTACAAGTCGCCCTGGACAGAGTTCAACGGTCTCCATTATGCAGCAATTACACTACCAGCCATACACCCAACAGAAGCGAAAACACATATCTACAGGAAAATTTTTACATGGATATTTATAGCAACATTATTCACAATAACCAAAAAATTGAAACAACCCAAATTGAAACAATCAGTTGATGAATGGATAAATAACATGTGGTATATCCATACAGTGGTATGTTATTTGGCAATAAAAAGGAATGAATACATTGATGTAACAGGATGAAACATGACAAAATTACGCTAAGTGAAAGAAGCCACACACAAAGGATCACATATTGTATGATCCCTTTTTCTTTTTTTTGAAATGTCCAGAATAGACAGATCTATTGAGACAGAAAGTAGATTAGTGTTTGCCTACAGCAGGGAGGGGGATGGCAGGATGGGGGGGTGACAGCTAAGGGGATCAGGATTACTTTGGGGGGTAGTACAAAGATTCTAAAATTGACCATAGTGATGGTTGCTCAGCTCTGTAAATATACTAAAAGCTATTGAAACATATAAACTGGTAAATTGTATGGAATATGTCCATGTAAATAAAAGCATAAAAAAAAAGGACAGGTGGTTTCCCAAGCAGAGATAAGAAGGGTGTGGCACGGCCAATGGATTTCACGGACAAGGAAAGGGTAAGGGAAGCATGCTAAGTCTTGTAGTGTCAGGAGTGATTTTGTCACTCCTTTTTATCCTCACTGACTCTAAGTCTCTGCTCCAAGACTTCACCAAGAGGGTCCTAGAAAAGAACCCCTCTCTTTTCCCCCTGTGTTTTCATAATGTAAATGACTGATAAGTGCTTAAAGTGTTACCCTTTCAGAGATATTTCTATCTTCAGATCATAATCATAGGAATGTAGAATATTTGAGCCTTAGGAACAATCTCATCTGCTGGATTTTTGTGTACTCTCTGGAGCCCTTTCAGGGCTGTAAAGTTGGAGCCAAGAAGGGAAGGGCTGTGGGCAGTCATACATTTTAGAAAAACACCCTCTCTGGGTGGTTAAATAACATTTTGAGGGTTTAAAAGATAGAAACTCTTAGCCATCCAGAATGAATAAATTATCAAGAACAATTCAGCCCTGAAGTTTTTGAAGAATTGACATTTGACTGCTTTTCCCATGAAAGGCACCATGAGGCCCACATTCCCCATCATGAGTTCCAGAGAGCCACTCACAGGCTTCTAGCACATATGACAGCTGCCCTCTTCCACATCTGGACATTACCCCAGACCCTTCTCTAGGCCCTGCCTGATGTGACATCCCCTCCAATGTGCTACCATCCTGTCCAAGGCACCAGTGGCTGACCCAGGACAATAAATGGCCCAGACCAAACTTGTGCCCCAGCACACAGGTCACTAGGAAAGCCTTCTAAATCAGGCCCTGGATGAGCCTGTCTCCAGTGCATGATGGATTGGTAACAACTTGTTCCCATCAATAGGCCAAAAATAGTCCAGAAGAAAAATATGGTTACATTTGTCCATCACACCAGCCACATTTTCTTACCCACACACAAAAAATAATGGCACAGTGGAATCTCCTGACCTCCAACCAAAGGCTGAAACTAGTGCATGATGATGGCTGCTGTAAACTACATAAAACTCTACCCAGAAAACTATCAGGATTCCTTGTACTCCACTAAGCCCGAAACAATCAACTTGACCAAGGTAGCATCAAAAGCCCCAGAGGGTCAGCACCTGGAAGGTCTGTGATTTCTATTTACACTTTTTATTTGAATTCTCTCTCACCCATAGCCCAATTACTGTCCAGCCCTTTCCCTGAGCCTGCCTTACTAAAATCTATTACTGGTAACTCAATGTGTAGCAAAGGCATAAATGCTTCAAAAAATTGATGTTAGGTAATAAGTGAATGAATTAATGATTTCAGAAGTCAAATAGCTTTGAAATGAAGAATATTTTCATTTAGTCATCCCTATTTTTATATTTCTCAACTTATCAACTTATTCAGGACCCTCTTAAAGTGAACATAGTCCCAGATTCATAGGGCTTGGAAGGGACCATAGATACTACTCACTCTAATTTTAAATTCTTGCACAGCCAGTGTCCCAGAGGCCATGTGAGGGCACAGGCAAGAGGCCAAGTGGAAAGGCACCTGAGGTCCCCGTTCCCATTTTGGTTACTACATTAGGATAAGGCTAGCTGCTATAGTAAATAAACCACAACATTTCAGTGGCTTAGCAACACAGAATTTTATTTTTTATTCCTATAATAGTTTGATGTCGGTGGTGTTTCTAGCCTGCTGGTGGCCCTTTGCCTTCTTCTGCCATGTTCCACCATACCTACGGCCCCAGCCAGGAGACAGGAAGGGAGACTAGAGGGAGCACATCTGCTTCTTTACCATCTTGGCCTATATATTGGTCAGGGTCTTATCAGGAAAACAAAGCCCAGCCACATAATCCATTAGAGGCAATTTCATATGGATAATAGCAAGAACCAAAAAGCCAGATAGAGGAGGTGAAGCAATCCAGAGATTCAGCAGAAAGCTGCTCCCACTCGTAGCTCACTCATGACTTACTCCTCTGAACCAGAGAGGGCTGCTGGGCAACTGAGACGATGAAAGAAGGGGCTGTTACTTAAGAGCTGAGACCACAAAGATGTCACCAGAAGCAAAGAGATCAAAGCTAAAATATCCTAGCTTCTCCCTTCCTCCCTTCCTCCAGTCTCCGGCCAACCCACCCACTGGCCAAACCTAGCCAAAGCTAGGGAAGGAAGCCTGGAAAATTGTGGTTGGCAGGGACAGATTCCCTACAGAATGAGCAGAGCAGGTGATGGGCAAGGAAAAGGATCTGAGGGCAAATGACAAACACGATCTGTAGGTGACACACATCGCCTTGTTCACATTTCATCTGTAAGGATTTGTTACAGAATCACACAGAAAAGCAAGGGGTGCTAGGGAATGTAATCCTTGGCTGGGAAGCTTCTTCGCAGGCACATCATGGAAGGAGGAGCGCAAACTTTTAGTGGACGGTGAGCCATCTCTGCCACAGTTGGGTTTTAATAGATTTTCAATCCACCCAGCAGCTCCATTTTTACATGAAGCTGGGGAGGGACAGACCATGGTAATTAATTAATTAATTAAAATAGAAAGCCCCTGATGGCTCTCTAGACAGCATGGTTGTTTCTCCCTCCTCATCCCATATCTTAGACTGGTGACTGCTGGGAAGAGGAGGAGAAGTTGACAGCAACTGTTTGGTGCTCCTGAGAGGAAGGGGCTTCCTATAGGTACAAGAGTCCTGGCTCCTTAAGTGAACTGTTGATGACATGATGCTGTCATGAACTTTGGGGTGAACTGGGTGAATTTGAAAGCATGAAAGAATTGGTCAACAAGACAGATCTGGTTTCCGCCTTCATGGAGCTAATGCCTCTATTAGGAGTTGAACACTAAGTGCTATGCAGAAAAGACATGGAGCTCTAGGACGAAGGATAACAGATGGGTTTGCTCTGGGTACGCTCAGTCCTCCAGCTTATACTTCAGCTCCAAACATTTATTTTTAGGTCAGGCTTCCTCTGCCATCATCTTAAAGGTATGCTTACATTCTTAGTCTCTATATTTATATTCCAACCAATGCAGATGGCTTCTCACTCTTTAATCTTCAAACACAACAAACCATTCGTATCAACTATTTCTGCTGCACTCCTGACCTCCAAGTAGGTAGGCTGAGGCGTCTCTCCACATCAGCCAGAGCAGCTCTGCTTGGACCTGTTTTATATATTGGGTTATTTATCTAATTTGAATGAAAAGTTCACAAGCTGTGTGTCTAGCTTCATTCTCCCTTTTACATATGAGAAAGTGGAAGTCCAGTGAGACAAGGAGTTTTGCCCAAGACTGCATATAGCTCATGTGTCATGGAGACAGGCCTAGAATTCAGGGTCCAAACCCCAACACAATGTCCTTTCTACTATTCTCAGGAATTCCAAACAAGTATAGTTTCCAGAACACATGTTCCTCATGGAAAGTACCAAGAATTTCTCTGCTGCTGAAGACTGCACCCATGGGAAATGCTCTGCAGAGGTGCTCATTTCCTTATTAATTGGAACTCCTTTGATTTCAAGTGACAGAAATCCACTGAGACAGCTTAGGCCAAAAAGGGAGACTCTATTATAAGGGATTCATGGAACTCAGGGCAGGAATACAGCTGGACCCCAGGTATGTACTGGAACCAAGGATTCCAGTAGCTTTGGAAATCTCTCTCCACATTCTACTTTGGCTTTTTCTGTACATCTACTTCATCTTCTACTCTTTGCAGGCCAGACTTTTCTACTTTGCTATTCATATGGCAGAAGACAGAGTCCTATCAGCCCCCAGGGTTTATGTTCTGAGGCTCCTGCGCCCCCCCAGCACACACTCATTTTTTGGTCAGTTTTAATGGAATGTCATTTATATGCAATAAAATGGACTCTTTGTCAAGTGTATAATCCATGAGTTTTGGCAAATGTATACAGTCATGCAACCACCACCGCAATTAAAATGTAAGAGTTCTATCATCCCAAAAATCCTTTGTGCTCTTATCAGTTAATCTCTTTCCCCAACTTTCAGCTCTGGAATCTGTTTTCCATTAGTAGCACTTTGACTTTTCTAGAATTTCATATAAATAAAACCATAACAGCATGTAGTATGACTTTTCTTAATCAACATAATGTTTTAGAGATATATCCATTTTCCTGCTTTGAGTACTGGTGGTTAGTTCCTTTTTGTTGCTCAGTAATGTTACATTGTATAAATACACCACAATTGGTTTATCCATTGTTGATGGACATTTGGATTGTTTCCAGTTTGGGGCTACTGTGAATTAAGCTGCTATGGGCGTTCAGGTACAGGTCTTTGTGTGGACATATGTTTATGTTTTCATTTCTCTTGGGTAAATACTTAGACATGGGATTGCTGAGTCACATTTTAATGTGTGTTTAACTTTATAAGAAACTCAAAGAGGCTTTGTTTTCCAAAGTGGCTGTACCATTTTGTGTTTCATTAGTAATATATACTGCTTCACACCCTCTCAAACAGTTGGTATGGTCAGTCTTTTTAACTTTAGTCATTCTAATAGGCATTCTAGTGGTATCTCATTGTATTGTCTTAATAAATAATGTTTAGAATCTTCTCATGTGTTTCTTTGCCATCCATATCTCTTGTTTGGTAAGGAGTTTAATTCCTTGGTCAGTTTTTGGAGGGTTCTTTGTTTTCTTCTTGAGTTGTAAGAGTGTTCACATGTTCTAGATATAAGTCACTTATCAAATATGTGTTTTGCAAATATCTTCTCCCAGACTGTGGCTTGTCTTTTTTATTTTCTTAACAGTACATTTCAAAAAGCAGTTTTTAATTTTTGTGAAGTCTAAATTTATCCATTTTTTCTCTTATGTTTCCTACATATTGTGTCCAATCAAAGAAATCTTTGTCTGATCCAAGGTCACAAAGATTCTTTTCTGTGATTTCTCCCGGAAGCTTACAGCTTCCATCAGTGATCCCCTCTAAGTCCATGTTTACCTATAGTGCATCTCTCACTTGCTCTGACTCACACTCTTTCTCTCCCTCCCCCAGACCTAATTATCTGGGTGAGACTCTGACTGGGGAACTTGGGTCAGGTGTTTACTCATAAACCAATCTATATGGCCAGAACCAGGGAAAAGTCTCTTGACCCGAGCTTGATCACAGCCAGCTCTGGTCCAGTCAAGAGCATCCAGAGCTCCAGGGTTCTGTGCAAAATATGGCTGCCATGAGGCCCATGTGGTTGCAGAGAGGAGATCAGTAACCAGAGAATGGGGATGCAATATAGATTATATTAGGATATATTAGGGAAGATAATCTAATAAGTGTCTACATACCCTGCAATCTGGCTCTATCCATTTTAAGCAATTAACCTGGAATATTACAAGGCTTCTTATTAATTGAATGGACAGATCTTACCAAGATTCAAACACAATTTTTCCCATTGATAACCAAACTCCTAGTCATGCTTGTATCCCTAACCTACTAAAATACCACCACCATTGTGAAGACTGTGGGGAACCCTTAGCAGAGTTAATATGACTACAGCACTTAAAACATATTTGCCATCTCCAAAAAACAGTTAGCTCCTTGTGATCAAGAACCTTATGCTGTTTGTATCTATCTCAACAGCTAGTTTAATTCGTGACATGCAATATTTTGGGGTAGTTGTTGAATGCTGGGTTTGCCCTATACTATTTGTCAAATAATGTGTTTGGTAATGAGAGAAGGACAATTTTGAAGACCTCGAGTGATGGAATTGCCTTGCAGAATTTTTTATAAGAAAAATGCTCACTTGAGATTGATGGCTGATTCACACTCAATGGGGAAAAAAATAAAGGTAGAGAATCCAATATCAATCTCACTTTGACTTTTCACCCTTGCCCAGGGGAAACATAATTCAAATGCTTCCTTGCAGTCGCGATGCACAATGTTGAGCTGGGTCCCACTTGCTAAGAAATAGTTAGCATCATCACTAAAAAGCCGAGGCCCACGGTGTCCACTACATTTAATCTCACGCCACTCTTATTAACAACACAATTGCTACTTTGCTGGCCCAGATGCTCAAAGAATAGTAAATATAAGGGCCAGGACAGGGGTGTTTATGCCAACAAACTATGATAAATGAAATATTATGGAAAATTTATAAAGAAAATTATTGCCCTCAAATAGAGGTTTCTAGCTAGGACTTAAGGCAGAAATTGCCAAGATGCAAAGCAGAAGATAATCAGGTCAGAGTAATAAGTTTAAATAAAAACTGCTGTTAAGGAAATCTATTTGAACCCTGCTGGTATTAAATATGAGCACAAAGGCTGTGACTGCCACACACTCTTTGATTTAAAAATAAAACTCTCTGAATGTTTAGAACAGATTCTTTAAATAAAAGAATATAGAGACATGGAGAGGAAATTTCCAAAATAAAACCTTTAAACAAATCTTAAGTAGTAGTGGAAAGTGCACATCCTGCTTCCATTTTAAGCCAAAGGAGGCTCTTTGAAGGATACAAATGTGTGAAGCAGAAAGACTGCAGGGGATGGGGGAAGAACAGAGAATGAGCCTTGCCTGGGCTCCTAGAAGCCTCCGTGGGCCCCCATCCTTCTAGAGTCCCTTTGTTCCCACCCTTGCTTCCCACTAAGCCCACCCCTGTGTGCGGCATATTTGAGTAATTCTGCTGAAGTCTTTCATGTATATGCAACATTGCGAGTAGGTAAACAAGAGTGATGTCTGGATCCCTCCAGCAAAGGGCAGATGATTCTGATTTAGAGAAAACTAGATTAACAGATAACTCAAGTAGCTGGGTAAGAGGTAGAAGACAAGCAAAGGATGATTTTTTAAAATTGTTTAGACTTAGTCAAAATCAAAGACTGGATGACTCAGAAGAGGGGCCCTCAGTCTAAACTAGAGTGGATGCTGGCAGCAAGAGCTACTGCTTCCTCCTTGGTGGGCTACCGCCTGAGATGCCTCTACCACCATCCAGGAGGTTCTGGACTTTATGTGGGCTTTATACATCATCCTAGGAAGCACTATGAACTAGGGGCTTAACTCTTGCCCATGGATACATGGGCTATGTACTTGTATTTGATTTCTGTTTCCTGTGATTTTTCTGCTAGTTTGGGGCAGGGTAGGGGGTAAGAAAAGAAATAAAGTATAAGCTAATTGGGCTTATATAACAAACTCCAGGAAACAGAAAATTTTATAAGCTTGTTCCTGCACTAACTTAGCCACCGTTCTTATGAACTGAATTTCAAAAAAAAGGAAATCATTTAAACAATAGCTATTGGCCAGGCACAGTGGCTCACGCCTGTAATCCCAGCACTTTGGGAGGCCAAAGTGAGTGGATCACTTAAGGTCAGGAGTTGAAGACCAGTCTGGCCAACATGGTGAAACCCCATCTCTACTAAAAATACAAAAATTAGCTGGGTGTGGTGGCAGGCACCTGTAATCCCAGCTACTCAGGAGGCTGGGCAGGAGAATTGCTTGAACCCAGGAGGAGGAGGTTGCAATGAGCCGAGATGGCGCTACTGCACTCCAGCCTGGGTGACAGAGGGAGACTCAAAAAAAAAAAATTGCTATTTTAGAAGTCCCTAAAGTTTACTAAAATTTGATATTTTAGTATCATTTGTGATTATGTTTTTATCTCTTTTTATTTGCTGGTGGAATTATGTGCTGTTCAAATTTTAGAATATAGATAATTTACTTGCAATGGTATTTCTCACACTGAGTTTGGGAGCTCTGGGAAATTTCTAGAAATCAGACCCACTGAACAATTCACAATTTTGTGATGCTGATGTCTCTGAGCTATCTGGATGGGTAAACTGGCACTTCTGATTCTAAATAAGAAATAGCTACCTAAACAGTTACCTAAAGTTTTCACTTTTTCAGCTGTCAAAATACTTCTTCCTCACACCAAAAAGTAAGTACTGTGGCTTAAAAGATTAAATTTGAGAAAGATATATATGATGAGCCAATAAGCTCTCTTATTTATTTGTCCAAACTTTGCATCTGTCCTGTAAAACCCAACTGCAAGGAACTTAATCAAAGGTTAATTTGGTAGAAAGCAATTTGACCAAAAGTAAATTTGTCAAAATGAAAGAATGTAGTTGATACAAAAATTTGATTGAAATATTGACACAAGTTACCGATATTTTTCTTCAAATACTACTAACTCTGAAGCTGCTCTCCCTGGGTCTCTTCTTGAGAATCATTATGATTTTGTTTTACTTTAAAAATTCAGGTTTATTTTTAGCCAATCATTCCTTCTCCGTTTTGTTTGTGATAGCAAAAATTTTGACTAAGTATCTAATGATAGGAGGAGTCCCGCGCTTGAGCTGCTACTAAAATCCATAACCTTCAACCTTAGCCAGCAAACTTTCACTTTGTCCTCAACCCACCCCAATCCCACCTCCTTCACCCTCACTCTCAACAGATAGCTTTGCCTCCTTCTTCACAGAGCACCAGGCATGAAGCCTCACATTCCTGTTGGGTCATCTGCAACCTTACCTGCCTCTGTCTGTCTCAGCAATGGAAGGCTCTGCCTTTAGCCACAGCTCTTCCTCTCCTGGGCTCTGAAGCTTCTCTGTCTGTCTGTCTGTCTCTCTCTCTCTCTCTGTCTTTATCTCTGTCTCTCTGTCCCTCCAACAATCACCCTCTTTCTATCCTGTGCCATCAATCTCTCCTTTACTCAGTCGACATGTAAACAATCACAAGCCTCTTCATACTAAGGTGATAAGGACTCTTGACTTGGCATTCTCCTCCAGCCCCATTCCTTCCTCCTCTTCACAGCCAAACTTTCACATGGAGTGGTCAGCTCTTTGTGCTTCTACCTGCTTCCTTCCCATTCTCTCCTTAACCAACCCCAATCTGGCTTTGGCTAAGACTGCCAAGGCCAATGGCTATCATTCTGCCACATTCCATGGGCAGGTTTCTGTGCTCATCCTACTTGACCTCTCTGCAGTATTGGCTGCCAAGTATTCCCTTCCTGGCAAAACCTCATTTCCTTGGCTGCCATGACACCTATCCTTTCTGATTTTCTTTTCCTTCTCCATCTCCTGTGGGGGCTCTTCTTTTCCCACTCACTTTTGAAGGCCATTGTTTCTTAACCCCCTTCTTCACACTTCTGCTCTGTTCCCTCTGCAGGCTCCCTGAGCCACCATAGCCAACCTTTATCCTGCGATCTTCAGCAGAGTGCAATGGTTAAAGACGTGGAGGCTGAGTTTGAATTCCTTGTTGCATCACTTACTAGCTGTTTTTACTCTTTTACCCTCTTAAGTCTCAG
Organism: Homo sapiens; assembly: GCF_000001405.40. NCBI lineage: Eukaryota > Metazoa > Chordata > Mammalia > Primates > Hominidae > Homo > Homo sapiens. The sequence continues at coordinate 34,242,147 of NC_000014.9, forward strand.
CTTCCCCATCTGTAAAATGGGAGTGATAATACCTATGTCAGAAGGTTATTGTGAGGATCAAGTGTGGTGATGCATGTAAACAATTAGCATAATGCTTGGAAATACACTAATCATTAGCCCAGTAACTGTTATCTATTATTATTATCTTGCAATGAGCTCCAGAACATCTGGAAAGCTAAACATGTATAGCTCATTACCAGAAATAATACAACCTCACTACTAGTAGATCACTGAGACTAGAAGATGGTGCATAGCCACTCTTTCTTCCTCAGCTTTCCTTCTAGTCCAGACGGAGTCTGCCTTGGGTGGGATCATAGGATGTTCTTCTTTGCCGAGTCTGAAGTTTTCTTTCCTTTCTACACCTCTGTCCTCTATCAGGGTCCCAGCTCCACCCTGCCAGCATCACCCTATGTGGCATGGACTGTTGCCAGCTCTCTCCTTGGTAGGCACCTTTCTAGCACCCTCCATAGAAGCAGGTCCCACAAACCTATCTCTAGCTAATAATGACTGCCTCTCTCAGCATAGTTTGATATTTGTTCATACTATAAGATTCTCTGCATCTAGGGTGAAGGTCAGAAGGGACAAAGAAGGTAAAGAAGACAGAGAGGTTTATTCTGCCATATTAGTATTTATTATTATTCCATCATAATTAATAAGTATGATAATATATATCCAGAAACATACATTTAGACCAAACATCCCCCTGTGCTTCAGACTAGAATATACAATAGCCAATTTTACAGCCACTAAAATGTCTTACTATACCTTAAACTCAATATATCTAATACCAAATTGATTATCTTTTTTCCTGAAACTATTTCTTCTATTATATCTACCACCTACCCAGATGAGCAAGCCAAGAACTCAGGAACTTTCCCAGCCTCCTTCTCATCCCTTATTCCCCTCATGCACTTCTTCCTCCTACTCTTCATTACCCTTGCAACTACTCACAACTCAGATCTCACTTCAAGTCTTGCCTTGCACCAATTTAGTTCTGAACTAGATGACCTGAGTGGCTACAGCAATGTGTACTTATCTCTGTGCTGGTACCATCATGCTGTGGGGTAGCTGCGGGCCTCAAACACAACCATCTTTACACTCTCAGTACCTAGGAGAGTGCCTGGTATCTAGTGTGTGCAATAAAAACCTGGTTACAAAAAAAGAGGAGGGGGTAGGGAAGAAAGGGAAGAGTGACACAAGCAAGGAAAAAAGAAGAAACCTCTTCTTTGGAAAAGGTCCATTTTTCATCTTATAAGTTTTTCTTTTGCATACTATTTATGAGCCTATATTTGAGGTGTCAAATACTCAGACCCATACATACTTGTCTCTTCTGTCGTGCTTAGCTTGCTCTGAGGGTTAGGGCTTCAGAGCATTGTGAAATCCCATGAATAGTTGTTTACAACTTATGGAAAGAAAGCAATAAATGCCTCCAGAGGCTTCTCTCTTTACCTTAAATATTTCCTCCTCTGACTTCTCCTTAAGGCCCACGTCCAGCTCCTTCAGGTTTTATTGGGCCTTCTTCTAAGCCAGTTCTACCTGTTTGCTTCCTCTTGGTATCTTATTTTTCCAGAGGAAAGAGCCTAAATGGAAGGCAGCAGGCAGAAAGGAAGGGAGTTTAGAAAGATTTCATGTTTAGAAGATTTCCCTTGGAATAACGAAGAGAAAACCATCTATGGAAAGAAAGAAACAGAGCTTTCAGAGACACAAGAGCAGGCACACAATATGATGTGTACCAGGGAGTGGTGCCCTTTAAAATGAAGGTTGTCTGTCTCTCCAATCCAGGTTCTCCCCACCTCCCACTATATCTTCTTGCCTTTGATGTTAAGATTATTCTACATTGAATTGCTTGAAATTTCTCATGAATTAGCCCAGTAAATTTCCATTGCTTTTAAACTATTTATTAAATTGGATTTCAGTTTTTTCTGTTGAACATTTAAATAAGATTTGAACAAATCATAATTTTTCTTTAAAAAAAAAAAGCATGACTCATATGTTTATTGCAGCACTATTCACAATAGCAAAGTCATGGAATCAACCTAATTGTCCATGAGTGGTGGACTGGATAAAGAAAATGTAGTACGTATGCACCATGGAATACTACACAGCCATTAAAAAAGAACAAAATCATGTCCTTTGCAGCAACATGGATGCAGCTAGAGGCCATTATCCTAAATGAAATTACGCAGAAGCAGAAAAAAGTGAGAGCTAAACACTGGAACAGATGAAAACAATAGACACAGGGGACTCCAAAAGAAGGGAGGAAAGGAGAAGGGGGAAAAGTGGAAAAACGACCTCCTGGGTACTATGTTCACTATTTGGGTGATGGATTCACTAGAAGCCCAAACTCCACCATTACACAATATACTCATGTAACAAACCTACACATGTACCCCCTGAATCTATAATAAAAAGCTATAAATAAATAATTAATTAAAAGCATGCAATGTTCATCCAGTGAGGCACATAAAACACCAATGGCCACTTGTCAGAAGAGATTTGGAAGTGGATTTCAGTGAAATTGGTATATATTGTGATTCCTTCAGCAGACAACTTGCGCAGTAGTTATATCCTTTCAAAGTTAAAGTTATGATGGTAAAGAGAGGCTTCATCACATATAACAGCCACCTGTCTGAGGAAGAAAAGCATTTTGCTTCCAGATATGCCAGCAGAAGCCATATTACCATTTCAATGCACACATTTTTCTGCTTTAGACGGTATGTAAATACTTCCTGAGTTCCCATGGATTCCCTTTTGTTCCTTGTGATTACAGAATGGTGATCCAATTTGGATCTGTCCTTATCCTTACACATACAACATACACACATACATATGATGCTTGTATTGTCCACAGAAAATGAGATATTTTCTTACTTAGAGGTTCACTGTCAACATGATCTTGGGAACGGATAACTTATCAATGGTTTCAGTTATTCTTGAAGGTATTAACTTGCCTAAATGTAAGCTGGATGAGCATACCAAATTCCATCACTCTTCTGAAGCCACTTCCTCAGGGATTACCAGTCACTATATGGCTGCCAATTTTAACAGCCTCTTCTCTGTGCTCACCTTAATCAACCTCCATACAGCAGTTGACAACTAACTCTGTCTTGATGCCCCCTTGATCCATGGTTTTGGTGACACCACTCAGAGTCAGTCCTGTTCCTACGCTGAGCAGAAATCAAGAGAATGTATATGGAACTGGGTTTGGAGTTTCTTGAGCCTACAAATTACCCATATAGGAATAAGAGACACATATCTTTTTGTCTAACAGATGTATAGATGGACACCATAAAGTGGGTTATTATAGAGTTCTGTCCTTCCCCTGAGAAGAGGGACTTAGAAGAAGAGAGAAGGATTAATACTGTCTACCTCAGGAATGAAAGCAGGGATTCAAGGCAAATTCTAGCCACTATCTCAGGAAAGGAGTCAGGAACAGAGTGGGAATCAAAACTATAAAAATGTTTCAAGATTCTTTTTCTTTTTTTTTTTTTTTTTTTTTTGAGACGGAGTCTCGCTCTGTCGCCCAGGCTGAAGTGCAGTGGCGCGATCTCGGCTCACTACAAGCTCCTCCTCCCGGGTTCACGCCACTCTCCTGCCTCAGCCTCCCGAGTAGCTGGGACTACACGTGCCCACCACCACGCCCAGCTAATTTTTGTATTTTTAGTAGAGACGGGGTTTCACCATGGTCTCGATCTCCTGACCTCGTGATCCGCCCACCTCGGCCTCCCAAAGTGCTGGGATTACAAGGCGTGAGCCATTGCACCCGGCCAAATGTTTCAAGATTCTCTAAATCTTATGGGTTTGTTAGTTTTATTATTCCCATTATATTAGGCAGTAGTGATTAGAAGTAAAATTTATTTCAAAAATAAACCAACAGTAAATAAGAGGGGCTGGTTGCTTGTCTTCAGGGACCTAGAGGAATTAGAAGGAGCTGCAGACACCACATCCCTCTGAGAGACAGAACCTCAGGGGAGTCAGAATTGGCAAAGCCAGCACCCAGGAGGAGAAGCAGCAGGTTGTATGCCTAAGACCTCTTGCAAGGAACTTGCAAATGACAAACTGGTCTGGTCTAGCAAGAATGCGGGGGGCGGGGGGGCAGGTAGTGAGATTCTTGGTGTACTTTGCCAGTTCCTTTTCCTTCATCCTCCTCCTAAATGCTTAAGATTCTTAAATCTATATCTCCAGCCATGCCCCCTCTCCTGACTCCAGACCCACATTCCTGATGACCTACTGTACACAGGCACCCCTACCTAGCTCAGCATATGCAAAATGAACTCATCACCCTCCCCATATCTCTCCCTTCTCCAGTATTCCTGATCTCAGTGGAAGACACTGCCAATCTCCCAAGCACCAAGGCCAGACGTGTGGTACTATCTCAAACTATCCTCATCCTCCTCCTCCAGATGCGGTTCATCATTAAGATTCTTCAGTTAGATCCTATGTGTCTCATTCTTTTGCTTCTCACAGTCCCTGTTCTATCTCAGGCTCTATATTCTCTTGTACGACTATTACAATAGCCCCCTAACTGCTCTCCCCATCTCCAACACGTGGCAGGTCTGGTTTTTACAGTTAATCCTCACAACTCAGTTGAATTCATTTCCATACAAAACTGTATATAGTTCTTGAGGCTTTATTGCCATTGATGGTAGGAAAACTTAAACTTGCCAAATTTAAGCTACAGTAATGCCATCATCTCTGGCCTAAAGTTCTTCCTAATGCCCAAAGTCAACTTTGTGATGACTTCCCCAAATAAACTATCCATATTCAAACCCTTGTCTCAGGCTCTGCATTCTAGGGGAACCCAAGCTAAGACCTCTCTTGTCCTATAGCCTGGAAAGCTTTGAAGCTACATTTTACTTTCCCCTGAGTGCTTCGAATGACCTAAATTCTACCAAGCATCACATAAGACTTTAAGGACCTAAATGAGCCATGTGGGGGATGGTGACACAAGGCAGACAGGTCAGTGTGACTGCTAAGGCTCTGTTCTTCTGCAGTAGCTGCGGCTGAGATTCTTGTCCCCAGTTCTCAGCTCATAGGTGCCAAGTGATGAGCAGAGGCTCTAATCGGGTTTCTGGAAGCCCCATTACCTGATATGGTTGGAGCCTCTTTGAGCTGCATTGCTCCTGGCTGGATACCATCCAACCTTGGTTCTCTGGTCTTCCTGGAATTTCCAAAAGCTACTAATACCCCATGACAAATACCTTTCTGCTAAAATTAGCCTTCATAATTCTGTTTTCTGAGATTAAGAATCCCGACCCAATATAGTCATTTAAAGTCTCATTCAGTGATAGATATTTATTTTGGGTTGCTTATAAAAGAGAGAAGCCATCACTTTACAGTTACTGTTGAGCAAAAATATCTTGTATGTTGAAAGAAGTTTTTATACCAGGAGGTTTTGTTTTTAGCTCCCAGATTTCTATCTATGCGGATTCATTTAGATAGCATTAATAAATGACTTGCTATTAATCATGGAAGCAAGACTTTTATGAGCCTTGGTACATGTATACATAAGGCCCTATTAGTACCTAATATATTTTAATAATAATAGCTATACCTTCAGTGCCTATTGTGTGTCAGTTACTGATATATTCTCAGTATCTGATATCTGATTAATCCTCACAACCACAGAAACCAAAGTTCAAATTACACAAATTGTTGGCAGTTGCAGTGTTTTAACCCAACTCTTTCTGACCTCAAGCCCATGCTCTCTCCCCTATGCTATGTTCCTCCCTGACTAAAGACCTCACCGTAATCTGAGCCACACACTTCTGGTTGGGGCTCAGGCTTCCAGTTGACACTGTGCTATAAGTCAAGCTCCCAGGGGAAGTGCTGGGTTCAGGGTATACACATGCTAAGTCTAGGCACTCTTCTCAAAGACAGACCTGTGGTCCGCCTATTTGAAGGAAATCACCAAAATATTCCCCTCAACTCACAGTTGCTGTATTAAGTAAAACTGTGTTCTGCTGTAATGAAATAATCTAAAACAAGTATAATTTAAACAAATTAGTTTATTTCTCTTTCACTTTCAAAAAAGTACAGAGATTGGTTAGTCCAGAGCTGAAATGGGGTGCCACACTCTCAGGGAACCAGGGTTCTCCTATCTTGCTGTTTCCCTGCAAGCAGCTTCCATTCTCAAGTTTACCTCATGGCCCGCAATGGCTGCTGGAGATAAGCTATCACATCTATACTCCTACCAACAGGAAGAAGAAAAGGAACAACAAAAGCACACACTTAAAGAGTCCCTTTAAGGACATCTCCTGTAAGCTGCACTCACTACATTCACTAATATCCATTAGACAGAACTAATGGTCCAGGACTAATGGAACCAGCAGTCCACCATAGCTTTACCATGGGCATCTCTGTGCTAAAACAAAAACCTGGGTTTCTATTATTGTGGAAGAAAGGGAGGACACGTATCAAAGGATAATTGCCGGCCAGGCCTGGTGGCTCATGCCTGTAATCCCAGCACTTTGGGAGGCTGAGGTAGACGGATAACTTGAGGCTAGGAGTTCAAGACTAGCCTGGCCAACACAGCAAAACCCCGTCTCTACTAAAATCACAAAAATTAGCTGGGCGTGGTGCTGTGTGCCTGTAATCCCAGCTACTCAGGAAGCTGAGGCAGGAGAATCACTTGAACGCAGGAGCTGGAGGTTGCAGCGAGCCAAGATCATGCCACTGCACTCCAACCTGGGCAACAGTAAGACTCCTGAACATGTGGGCAGGCATGACAAGCATCAGGTCCCAGAGCCATCGTTTCATCTCCATAAACTATTTACTCTGGCCTTTTCCTTTCCTTTCTCTCCATTTTTTGTATGACAGAGTGTTAATCACTTTTCATGTGCCAGCTCATTCATTCATTCATTTATTCAATAAACATTAAGCACTTTTTAGGGCCTTCCTTAGGGAGGCTCACCATCTACTGCATGGGACCAACCTATGAACAAATAATTGTGAAATCATGTGGTGAGTGCTATATAGAGGAATAAAAATGACCTGTGGGAACCTGGAGGATTTCTATAAGATGTCACAAAGGAGACATCTTTGAATTGATTCATCTTTGAATCCCCAGTACCAAAAATAAAGTAAATATTTGCTGAATAAAAAACATAATTATTCTTTGACACTTGGTTCTCAGAATCTTCCTGATGAGAATGAAACTGTTCTGTTGCTCTATAGAAGCACTCAACAAGAAATAGAACAGCTCTTTCCAGAACAGACCAGGCAGGTGAAGAACAGATAATCTCCTCCTCACCCTCCAAAAAAAAGTTTCTTCATCCATTCCATTTAAAGATTCTGTAAAATCATCTATTGTTGTGTTTGATCATCCCTATAGTAAGTAAGAATATCCATATAAAAGAGATTTCTCTCCTATTGGAATTTGAATTCATTTCTCATTTTAAAATCTACTAAGATACAAAAATAAGAAATGTTATAAAGATTTGTTGGCTTACAAAGATGGCTGTAAGTACTTAACATATGTGAGTTTCTTTCTTTTCCTTGGTTAACATAACAATCTGGTCAAAAAAATAACTTGGTTAGAAATAAAATCTAGAAACAATTTTTGCCTATATTCCAGAATGGGAAGGGGGTGTGTACTTTTAATTTTAGCCATTTGTTTTTATTCTAAGCAGCCTGTAATAACAGTAAGTTAGAAAATATAGCTGTTCAACAGTAGGGAACTGATTAAAGAAATTATAAGTTACAAAATAGTATGTATAACATACACAGAAATTATAAAATATAAACTGATATTCAAATTGAATTTTCTAACACTGAATAGCAAAATGTTTTATTTCATGAAAAAACAGGTTTAATTCACTAAAGATAAATCAGAAAGTTTTTTCAAAATATCAGAACATTTTCCTTTGTTTTGCTATTTAGGAGTTTATTTTATTTAATACAAAAAACAATGCATACTCATTTCTATAATTTACAAGGGAATTAAAAAATGTAACAATAAGCCATAACTATGCATATCAGAAATAACCAGTTAACAAATTAGTAGATATCATTTTTCATGTATATATTTGGTTTTATAAAAATGGAATCATATCAAAAATACTGTTTTATAACCCTCCAAAAATTATATGTCCCCCCAACCATGCTAGCTTGATGACATAGTTAATACAGTATGTTTATCCTCAAGAAAGAGGTTTAAGGTACACTGGAGATCAATACAGAGTAAAGCCACAGTGGAGGAAGCTGGTGAAGTCCTGGACTCCTGTAACACATTAAGGAATCATCCTGAAGTTTGAGTCCTGAGTCCTGTTCTGCAGCAAATATGCTAGGAACAAACGCTCAGTCCTTCTGAGCCTCCATTTCCTTGCCCATAACATGAGGATAATCATGCTTGTCTCTCACAAATGTTCTAACAAATGAGATCACCTTCTTAATGACCTTTGAGTTGTGGAAAAAAATAGCATCGTAGTATTTTTTTATGTTGCAGCCTGCTCATTATTGGTATTATGATTATTATTATATTACCCAGCTTCGAATTTTAAGCTCTCCTTTTTAGGATATTTTAGCTTATTAGCCCTATGACACTTTTATCACTAGTGGATCTTGTTGTTATTGTTTAAGAGCATATTGCTTTTAACTTACTTGAATAAACGTTCTCAATTCTTTTTTATGGACTTTTTTTTTTTTTTTTTGGTAAATTCTTACATGGAGAGTATGCTACTAGGGAGTAGGGGCTGGATTTGACATTGTCTCAGTATTTCCTGCACCATCTGTCTGCTGCCCTCCCAGACCTGCACCATCAGGATTTCTGCAATGCCCATGCCTACATGAATCCTGGGTGTGTGGGGGACACTGTTGTCCCACACCAGCCTCCCTTTGTAGAAGAATGGGAGGTGCAGGCCACTGAGACTCTTGTGGGTAGTTATTCAGATGGGAACTGCCAATGCTGGGAAGTGAATCTTGCAGCCAGGAAAGATTGATGCAGCCAGGAACCCCTTGCTGAAGGTTACCTCAGGCCATTTCATCAGTAACCTCTGCTGAACTGTAACGCAAGCACTGGGAAAAGGCCAAAAATTAACACGAAGCCACCCTATCTCCAGCCTTCACCTCAGCCTTTATAATGTCCAGGCCTCAGATCCCACAAGCATGGGATCCCTTTATCTAAAGCGTGGCCATTTCCTTCCTTACTCATTTAAGCCTCATTCTCTTTACCAAATACCACGAAACCTACTCAGGGTACAATCAGGATAATCTAAAATATAGGTACTAGTCTGCTGATGACACATAGGATTTTTCTAAACTAAGTAAGATTTATTTTTCCTCTTCTAACTGTTTCTTTTTCTTCTAGTTCCAATTTTAATTCTTCTTCAAAATCTTCTTTTTTTAAATTCTCCATGAATTCCTGTTTCACAAAATGAACTCAAGTCATTTGTCACTTGTACTAAGAAAAAAGTATAGAAACAATGCCCAGCTTCCCTTGGGAATTCATGGTCAGCACTGAGGAGGTGGGGGTCTTTCATAGGCATGTCAGGATTTCTGTCCCTCAGGACAGACAGGCCTGGCCCTCAGTGCCCCTTCTCCCCACTCACAACCATTCAGGACCAGCAGAGACCCAAGCTTTGAAAATAACCAGCGAGAAAACAGGTGTCTTCCGGAGAGCCCAGTGCTTCCCAGATGGGAGAAGCGATTAAAGGGACAGGAAGTGTGACCGCTCCTCAGCAAAGCCAGGCACAGGCTGAGAAATGTGCTTTTCTTATGAAAGTGCCAAGGTCATTATTAAATGGATGGAAACTATTGTTCATGAAAGGCACTTGTATAGACATGAAACTCTCTTTACGGCCTAGTTTAAATTTATCTCAAAACAAAGTGTTGTCAATGAAGAGCTGGACTGCTTCCCTACCACGCTTTAACCACACATGAACACCACATAAATCTCCCAGGCCCTATTCCAGGTGCTCCCCAAGTGGCAGCTGATGTCTGCTCCCCACCTTTCCCTCTGTGTGCCTCGGTACTCCAGAGACCCCATTTCAAAATACCCAAAAGTAAAAAGCATCCCCACTTTAGAAACTAGCCCCTAATTCATCACCATAAAGTTTTAGAAACGATGGCAAAAAACAAAATTACTAAATGTATTTTTCCTCTAGAGTTCTGTGAGGGTCCAACCCATTTTAAAACAACATTTTCCAGTCACCTTCCTGCCTTCTCCTTTTCCAGAATGGATTCTTGATCATACTGACCTCAGCACCTCAGGCTGGCAGGAAAGCTGCCTAGATTCCCTGGGGCACGTCAGAGCCTGGTGCAGGAAGCCACATAAGGTCTTGCTGTGTAACTCCTGGCCTGGTCTGGGTTACTCACACTCCCTCTTAAGTAAATTGCATGTTACAGAACCTGGTCCCAGAGTGTGGGAACCACAGTGACTGACACCCCCGACCCCTGGGTCAGGTGGAAGTTTCCTAGTGTGAGAAGCAGAAAGAGGCTAGAGTTTGTGTTTTTAAAAGGCCAAAAAGAGACAATGAAATCCCAAAGATGGCAAAGTGGTTCTAGTGTCAAAACTCAGGATTTTAGGCATCATCTGGCATTTATGGCCTCCATATACCAGGAAGATTTAAGTGTGCTCCCACCTATAGGCTGGAGTTGTACTGGCTCAGAGGTTCCCCAAACCAGCTACCCCTCAGAACCCACTGGGCTACTTTTCATGAAACATCAGTTCCTAGGTCCTCAGAATGAGTAAATCAGAATTTCCAGGAATGGGGCATGGAATCTGAATTTTTCCAAGCTCCCTGGAGGAGCCTAGTTGCAGAGCCAGGTTTGGAAAGGCTGCCCTAGATCACCTTCCATGTACTCTTCCACAATCCTAGAGACCTATATGAGTTATTGAGTTTCATACAGTCTGCCTACATGCTCCGAGACATACACGCTAAAATGCACTTCCTTGAGAATAAATAAGAAAAAGAAAATCATAAAACAGAAACACAAATTCATTCCCAATGTAAGTAAAGACATTACAGCCCTGGCCTCTACTTCTGGCCAAGATGACTCTTCCCCCAGCTCAGAGTATACCATGTTGAACGGAGAGGGAGAAAGGCAGTTTGCTGCAAGATCGATGCTGGAAGTGGATTCTACTCCATAGACCTGTGCCACAAATGTGCACCCTCTTCCCCATGAGCCACTGTAGACATGGGTGCCCCATATAACTCCTGATTGAGTCTGCCCTGTCACTTCCCTCAGTCCATGAGTAGAAGATCTACATGCTCAGTGCATACACACATGCTGTGCTCAACCCCAAGGGCTAACTTCCTCAGAACAAACTCCCCTAGTGGAACTAGCTCTGACTTTAATCCAAACCCATGTGGTTCTGCCACAGCACCCTGACTTCGACCCAAATTCAGCACCATTTAGGATCCAAGGGGCCAGCTCAATTTATACTTTAATGAGATTCATATGGTTTGTGACCAAAGAAGATGAGGAATTGTATCCTTTTTCAAATTGAACTCTAGCTAAAGTCCCTTTCTCAGGCCCTCCTACAAAAAGTTCACCAAAAAAACACCAAATGCTCTAAATAATAAAAGTTACCAAAATAGAAGATACAGAAGTCCATTTCCCATTCTTCCAAGAGCCTACTCTAACCCAATATACGCATATTTGTATACTTAAGGTAGATTTACAAAAGATGTGAGACCAAAAGAATTATTCTATGTCCCATCCTTAAAAAAGAAATAGAAGATATGACAATGAAAAAAAATCACATTATCCATCTTGAGCGATATAAATCAATATCCATCTACACCACTGATTTTAACACTTAACCAAAGAAAAACAGTAATAACAGTAATCACCTGACCTTGGATGGTCCTATTGTTTTGTTCTGTGATAGCAACTTAAGAAACAAATTATTTAATAGGCACCTGGCTCATTATGCATTACAAATTAAATCTTCATTTATCTATATGCTCCAAATAGTACCTATCCATCGCCATCACTTAAAAACACATTGCCCTTCTTTCTAGCCTTGTTAATTTCCAGATGCTAATTAAATTTAAACTCATAAAAATACCTGTTTAGCATGCATGGTGAGATCATCCTTCAATATCCATTACTCACTGTACATTCCAGCATGTTTACCCACTGTTTTCTGTTTGTATTCTCATCTATGTGCCTTAGTTTCAAGGGACAGACTGGGGATTTAACCTGGAATTCAGTATCTCTCCCATTTTGATTCCACCCATGTTGTCCCCTCTGCTTGATGCCTTTGTAAGCAACTTTCTTTCAAATTATTGCTGAGAAGAATGACTTCCAGATAATAGCACTTAAATATGGAACAGTAGGATGATAAAGGAATCCTGGAAGAGAGCTATCTTTCAGCCCCTTTTCACCAGGCCGTTACACAAAAAGAGAAGACCTTCGATCTCTAGAGATCCACGGTAACTTATTTATTGCCATAAGAAGGCTGACAGACAGTCTGAAAGCCACGCAGATAATGAATGGCATTGCTCAGGACCAGCACCTAACATAAAGCACACCGCCATCCCACATGGGTATTCCAAAGGCCTGGGAGAAGACTCAAAGAATCACCCAGCAGGAAAATTACATTCTCATTCTGTTTTCTCACTAGCACAAGTCCTCACAAGTGGACAAATAGCAATAAAAAGAAAGAAGAGCCCCGCCTTGAGACTGCCGTGTTGGGCTCAGCCCTCTGCCTCTGCACGAGGTGGCTCTCCTCTGGCCAGCCTTTCTCAGCTGAAGAGGTGCTCCTCTCTCAAGAACTTACACTGGGACTTCAGATGCATTTCACCCACATAGGGAGGTCCAAGCTGCCATGCCCATTTTAACAGAGAAAGGCAGTGTACCACCACACATACAATCACTCTCTACAGCAGTGTACAAGCACGAAAACAGGCATGGGCTAGGCACGGTGGCTCACGTCTATAATCCCAGCACTTTGGAAGGCCAAGGTGGAAGGATGGCTTGAGCCCAGGAGTTCAAGATCAGCCTAGACAACATAGCGAGACCCCATCTCTACAAAAATAAAATAAAATAAAATAAAATAAAATACCCAGTCATGTTGTTGCATACCTGTAGTCCTAGCTACTCTAGAGGTTGAGGCAAGAGGATCTCCTGAGCCCAGGAGTTCGAGGCTACAGTGAGCTATGATCATGCCACTGCTCTCCAGCCTGGGCAACAGAGCAAGACCCTGTCTCTTTAAAAAAAAATTAACTTAAATAAAAACAGGCTATGATATGCACTGCACATCCTTTGAACCCAACAAAAGGCAGAAGTAAGCATTTGAACTACAGTGCCTCTGTGACAGAGGCATCCCTACCCCTTCAGCCTTTATTATGAAACTCAATAAACTTTTCTGTAAACAGCCAGATAGCAAATATTTTAGACTTTGTGGGCTACATTAAATCTGTCAAATCTTCTTTTTCTTCGTGTTTTTAAACCTTTTTAAAAGGTATAAATAATTCTTAGCTGGCAGGCCATTATAAAAACAGGCCACAGGCCCAATTTGGCCTATGAGCTACGCAGTTTGACAACCTCATCTTATTTTAAAATACAAAGTACAAATTGTTTGAGTTTCCCAAACTCATGAAATACAGCCATCACGCCCGGCTAATTTTTTGTATTTTTAGTAGAGACGGGGTTTCACTGTGTTAGCCAGGATGGTCTCGATCTCCTGACCTCATGATCCGCCCACCTTGGCCTCCCAAAGTGCTGGGATTACAGGCATGAGCCACCGTGCCTGGCCAAGAAAGAGAAAACTTTTAAAGCAGCCACAGAAAAAAGATGCATTACATACAAGAGAACAACAATAAAGATTATAATTGATTTATCATCAAAAACAATGCAAGCCAGAAGACAACGGGTTCACATCTTTATAAAGCACTCAAAGAAAAACTATAAACCCAGAATTCCATATCCAACGAAATATTCTTCCAAAATGAAGGAAAAAATCAAGACATTTTCAGATTTTAGAGAATTGGGACCCAGCATACTTGAGCTGCATTTAGAAATATTAAACATTCTCCAGAATGAAAGGAAATAATACTAGATTGAAATTCAGTTCTGCATAAACAAATGAAACATTCTATAAGTGATAAATACATGGGTGAGTATAGCAGCATTTTTCCTTATTTTTCTGCATCCTTGAACTCCCAGGCTTCAGCAACCCTCCACTTCAGCCTTCTGAGTAGCTAGGACTACTGCAAACTAGTACTACAGACACATGCTACTATGCATGGCTACTTTTTTTTTTTTTTTTGTAGAGACAAGGTCTCACTATGTTGCCCAGGCTGGTCTCAAGCTCCCAGCCTCAAGCGATCCTCCTGACTCAGCCACCCAAAGTGCTGGGATTACAGGCTTGAGTCACTGTACCCAGCCTTTCCTTGTTTCTTCATTTCCTTAAAAGACAATTAGCTGGTCCATCAAAAGATAAATGGATAAATAAAATTAACCATTTCACCCTTTTAAGGTGAAATAATATTTCCTTTAAATTAAATTCCTTTAAAAAGGAATAAAGTTCTCATACATACTACAACTTGGATGAACCTTAAAGACATCATTCTAAGTGAAATAGACAATGGTGATGGTTTCACAACACTGTGAATGTAATTAATGCCACTGAAATGTACGCTTAAAAATAGTTAAAATGGCCCAGGCATGTGGCTCATGCCTGTAATCTCAGCACTTTGGGAGGCTGAGGTGGGCAGATCACCTAAAGTCATGAGTTCGAGACTAGCCTGCCCAACATGGTGAAACCCCCTCTCTACTAAAAATACAAAAATTAGCCAGCATGGTGGCGCACACCTGTAATTCCAGCTACTCAGGAGGCTGAGGCAGGAGAATTGCTTGAATCTGGGAGGCAGAGGTTGCAGTGAGCCAAGATCGCACTCCAACCTGGGAGACGGAGCAAGACTCCATCTCAAAAACAAAAAAAAATAGTTAAAATGGAAAATTTTGTTATATATACAATTACTTGTCACTTAACTATAAGAATACATTCTGAGAAATATGTCACTAGGCAATTTTGTCATTGTACAAACATCATAGAGTGTACCTACACTAACCTAGATGGTATAATCTACTACACACCTAGGCTATATGGTGTAGCCTATTGCTCCTAGGCTATAAACCCATACAGCATGTTACTGTACTGAATACTGCAGACAATAATAACACAATGGTAGGTATTTGTGTATCTAAACATAGAAAATAAATTTTTCAGGCCAGTATAATCTTATGGGACCACCATTGTCTGTGTGGTCTGTCACTGATCAAAACATCATTATGTGGCACATGACTGTACTTTGAACTGAAGAAGATTGGAAGCACCTCAGAAGCAAGGTCTTTCTGACCTTCTCATGTCTTCCTGTCTGCCAACCCTCTTTCTCCCCTGAAAGCAAATCATAGAACTAGAATTTATTTTCCCCAAGGCAGGTCATAGAAACCAGAATTCCTCTTCCCCAAAGTAAGCCATAAAACCTAGAAAGGTCGCTCTCTCTTTCCTCCCTTCTCCCCTGAAGACTCTCATTCCAGAGGGATCCTGTCCCATACCAGGTAGGAGGGGAAGAATGCTACACAGAGAGGCCAAAAGAATCCGAGCAGACAGGCTTTGCTGGGTTTCCCCTTTAGTCTATTACCATTAGATCATACCCTTTTGTCCAATCACATTTCTACATGGCTGTCCATTCTTCATCGAAGCTAAGCATAAATGTAACCTAAGCATAACACTTTTCCCTAGGTATTTGGGTCTTCATTTCTGACGGGTCCTGAGACACACAAAACTTTGATTAAATAAATTTGTAATGCTTCTTTCTTGCTAACCTGCCTTTTGTTATCAGAGTGTTGGCTATGTCCCTTATGATGGATGAGGAAAGATATCACACCTTTCTACCCCTGCAGCAGTTTGAGTTGGGTTTTCTGTCCCTGGCAACCAAAAGGATTCTAAATGATTCATTCCTGTGGGAAGGGGTCTTGTAACCTAGAGAGCAGATACACTTGCAAGTTACATTTGTAGAGGGGCAGCCACTATTAGCAAGAGAAGTTTATTGCTTAAATCAGGAGTCAGAAAACTTTTAATGAAAAGGGCCAGAGAGTAAATATTTTAGACTTTGTGGGCTACATGGCCTCTGTTGCAAATATTCAACTGTGCTACAATACAAAAGTAGCCATAGACAACATGTAAAAGAATGAGTGTGGCTGTGGTCCAATCAAACTATGGACACAAATTTGAGTTTTGTGTAATTTTCACATGCCACTTATCTTTCTTCTTTTGATTTTTTTAAACCATTTTAAAATGTTAAGCCCATTCTTCAGTCATGAGCTGTACAAAAACAAGCAGTGAATGGGAGTTTCCCCACAGGCTGAGTTTGCCAACCTCTGGCTTAGATCCTCGTCTCTGGGTGAAGTGATGATCCTCTATTGCCTTCCCAGGGCAGGAAAGATAACAGGTCTCCCTGGCTACAATTACAAGGAGGGCAAACAAAGTGGATGGGACTTTCCAGCTTAGTTCTGAGACTAACTATGATTGGATGAGAAAACAGTCCAGTGGAAAGAGTAAAAAATAAAACAAATGCTCTGCCCTTCTTCTGAACTGCAGGTGTGTTTGGGATAAGCTACGAGAAGGATTATGTTTTCTGAAAACAGATTCTTCCTGCCATGCCCATCCCGACACTGCAGGGCTTAGAGATAAGATTCTAATTATTTCTCACTCCTAAATATTCTTGCAAAATGAGATCCGTAAAGGTATCATTCCAATCTCTCCACTGCATCAAGACATTGAAGGGAAAGACCTTCTTGGCTAGTAGGCAACAGAAACCCTGAAATGGTGGGACAGCCTTCAAACATAAGGAGAAAAGAAAGCCTTAAAGTAGATGAAAAATGGAGACATATATTCCTTTCCTCCTTAGAATTAGACTATGCGTCACCAAGAAGGAAAACCATCACCTAACACATGTTCTGCTGCAGCAGTCAGGGGTCTTACGGGGATGCAGAACTTTTTGACTTGATCAGAAATAGAAAAGAAACTGGGGGAGGAACAAAGACAGCACATTTCAAAAACGAAGAGTTGCCAGATTTAGAAAATAGAAAAGCACCCAGTTAAATATGAATTTCAGATAAACAATAAATGATGTTTTAGTATAAGTATGTCCCAAATATTATATCCTGTGCTCTATCTGGCAACCCTACAGGCTGTGGTGAGGGAAGGAGCTGAGGTCTCCCAGCTCTGTCTGCAAAGAGGAAAGTGGGACGTTGGGAAGGAGATGGTTGCCCAGAGCTTCTGGGTACTCATCAGGCATCACTTTTTTGTTCTGATTTCTTACACTGAAGGGTAGCACTTTTCTACCCTTCATGTAAAATAAATATTTGCCAATTGGTAAAGGCACCATGTTACTGTGAGGCTTTCGTACCATGAAAGCCTTAGATTTCATGTGGGTAAAATTCTGTGGCCCCCAATGCCTTAGAAGAGCATGGATTACAGGTGTGAGCCAGGCACGGCAGCTCGTGCCTGTAGTCCCAGTGCTTTCAGAGGCCAAGTAGGGAGGATCACTTGAAGCCATGAGTTTAAGGTTGCAGTGAGCTAGGACTGCGCCCCTGCACTCCAGCCTAGGTGACGGGCCAAGACCCTGTCTCAAAAAAAAAAAACATGGAAGATAAGGCTGTGGCAATAAACTTCCCTCTGTCTTTGTCTTTCCCTCCTCTCCCCTTGCCTGTATCCCTTTCTTCCTTCCCTCCTTCCTCCTCTCTATTTCAAACTCTATGTCTTTCTGCATTTTAGTTACAGTCTTACCTAGTTTCTGCTTAAATCCCTTATCATATAAAGACTTAGGGAACCTCAAAAATGAGCTACTTAAATGGGTAAATTCCTTTTAGTTCCCCCACAGACTTCCAAAACAACACTGATTCTTCCATTGACTGAAATAAAGATCTCCTTTCCTCCAGCTCTGAACTAGCAATTCCCAAACTATAAATGTTCAATTACTTCCCAGACAGCAAATGCACAGTTTGCCTCCTCCATGCTATATATTTTCTGTGGTTAGCATTATTGTTTGCTAAATACACTCAGACACTCTATTTACCTCTGGCCACAACTCTGAGACCTTTATGTGGCTTCCAACCCTCTAGGAGCAGCTCAGATAAATCACTGCTCAGCCATTTAGCACACAAAGAGGAGAAGATTTCAATTTTCCAAATAGGGCCATTTGTTTAATTTATTTGGCTGCTGGGGAATTGTGGAAATGATGCTAATGTAGACTGGGAAAGAATACCACAAAGCCCTTCAGGTTTCATCTCACCTCTGATGGGACAGTCCAAATATTCTTACCAGTATCTCTTTGAAAATTCAGCAAGCTTCTATTCCTTCAACTGGGTGGTGAGTTCATCAGTGTGTCCGTTGTATTGTTATTCTGTATGCCTTACACTGAAATTATAAATATCCTTGGCATCTATTCATATTTTAATAAAAAAAATTTAATGCAAACTCCATGTATCCCCACCCCCTAAGAAAGAAGTAAAATGCCTTGACCTTTATCCCAACTGGCAAAGCTATCACTTTGCAGAAAGTAAGTCAGAGAGTAGATTCTTCACAGGTGGTTACATTTATTGCACATCTAAAAGACAAATTGTTGCACTACATAATTGGAAACCTGAGTTCCAATCCCAGCTTTGCCCATATATAAGGCCATCATTAGTCAATAAATTCCTCAAAAATAGGGATCATATCCTACTGTCCACTGTTTCCCTCTAGTTAATTCTTACAAATAAATTATACATGATCTATTTGCCTAAAATATATAATATTATAGAGATAGATGAAGTTCCCCCTTGGAGCTCTTCAGTCTTTTTCCCACCAAATACTAAGAGATAATCACTATCATAATCTGACCTGTATCTTTCCCAGGCTGTTTACCTGTGCCATAGAATAGATACAATATTGATTTTTTTGTGGTTTCTTTTTCACATAAATGGTCATAGAGTACATATAACTCTACAACTTGCCCTTTTCATTTTACAATATATTTTTAGATCAATCCATGTGGATATGGATAGCTCTAATTTTTTTCCTGCAAATTTCTGTGCAATATTTCACCATCTAAATATACCACTTCCTACCTATCTACTCTCTGATAAGATTTACACTGTTTGCAATTGTTCTCAATGCCAACAATCAACCTCTTTGCTTTCTCCAGTGCCTGTGTGCCAGTTTCTCTAGAGCAGATGCCTAATGGGGGAATGCTAGATCATAGGATATGGACATTTTCCATTTTAAGAGGTAATATCAAATTGCACCCACCCCCAAAATCAGGGATCATTTTACCATTTCCACCGGAAGCGCAGAAGAGTAGCCTGTTTCCCCACAACTCAGCAACACTTGATATTAATAAACTTTCCATTTTTGCCACACTAATAGGTAAAAAAAAAGTGGTATCTCAATTTGCATGTCCTCGCTAGCTTAGTTGTCAAATGTTATTTAGTCTTTTATGTTTTCCTCTTCTGTGAAGCCCATATTTATATCATTTACCCATTTGTTGCCTTACTCTTTCCTTATTGATTTGTAGAGTTCCTCACGTATTCTGAATACTAATTCTCTGTTATGCATGTTGCTTTTGTTTACTTTTTGAAACACCAACACCTAGCAAAATGCCTGGTTCCTAGTAAGAAGTAGAAATTATTTGTTGACTACATGAATAACTGAATCTGGCAAAAGCGCCATAGAGTGGAGAATCCCTCTATGACTCACAACAGAGTTACAGTATTTTCATTACTTAGTTATAAAGACCAGGCAAGTAGGCACATTAAATATGACCCATTAAACCATGTGTCCTACTCATTTCTGAACCCCTAATTCTTAGGGAAGGGTCTTCTATGGAATAATCACTCAATAAATGTTGAATGAAGAGCAGAATGGAAGAAATCAAAAAGGCCTCCTCCTTCTCACATACCTTAGAGACCAACTTTCCATCCCATAATAAGTTAACAACAAATTGTAATAAAATCTGGCAAGTGGCCAGTACAGAAAAATGTATTCTCTCTCTGCTCCACTCAAAATCTCTTGATCTCCACAGCAGGAATTGAGTATCAGACCAACAGTGGGTGCATCACAAGACAAGCAAATAGAAACAAACAGAATACTCCAAGCCACTTGACTCAGTGTAGGGAATGCAAGTTAAAATCTGATGGCTTCGTCCACTGCTCCTCCCGCTGGACATCAGGGAATGGACTGAGGGGACGGGACTGCTCCTCCCCCTAACCCATCTCTTCCTTCTTTTCCTCCCCTCACCTCCCATCTCTGCACTTCGAGGTGCTCCCTTTTTTTTCTCTCCAGATTGTTGTTCTTTTCTATAAAGTGTTGATCCCTGGATTTTCCTGGATTGTCATGATTTCTATTGAAAGACTCACAGCAGAAATACCACCCACATTCATATACATACAAATATGTTTCTTTTCTTCTGCTTTCTTGCTCCATCAGAGCTCTGTGGAGCTATTTGATTTAATTATTTCTGGCACTATGCCCATCAAAATGTGCAGCTCTTCAAAAGGATGGAAATGACAGTGAATCTGCCTCCTCCTGAGCTATTGAGGTTTTCATTTGAATCCTGTTGTCTTGGAAACAAGCGAATTTCATTGAATGTACACCCACTGTAGTGGTTAAAACATCAGCTAGAGGCACAACTCCCCCGCAATCCATTCCGTGTCTTGCCCAACTCACAGGTTGGTTGGCTGCTGGGGTGGAAACGGACTGTGTCAAGACATCTGGATTCCAGCCTCACCTCCAGTTCTATCCACGTGGTTCTAAGCAAAACATATCACCTCTTTGAGTCTCTATTTCCTTATGAAAAAGAAATGAGAATAAAAGCACCACCTCTTCCATCTATCTTAGACTCATTGGAAAGCTCTAAGGAGAAGATAGACATGAAACAGCACTTTGGAAACTGCAAAAGGCTAAACAAATATAATCACATAGTTGAATTACTATATTCCTCTTGCTAAAAACAAATCCCTACATTTTAGCTCAGATATGTATAAATAAGGTCGCTGGCTTTTATCTTTTCCTAATTGTAAAACAGACCACCCTTAAAGACTTAAGCACCTGTCAGCTAAAAATAACTGTTAATGACTAATGGTTACTCATATTTTTGTTCATTATGCTAAATCAAAAGAAACTTCATGCACACAGGAGGCAGAGGTGTGTGCCTGTTGCTGCTGACTGCTCAGTGTGTCCTATTAGGAATAGCCTAATATTACTTCTGCTTCAGTTAGCTCTGGCTGCGTAACAAAACACCCCCAAAAGTTAGTGGGTTTAAGCAATCTTCTTCTTTTGCTCATAATTTTATAAATCAGAAATTCAAAAAAGTGTTGCCTGGGGCGGTTCATCTCTACCACACTTGGAGTCACCTGGGGCAGCTGGAGTTGGAGGATCTGCGTCCAGGATGGCTTCTCCACTCATATGTCTGACTCCTCAGCATTTCTCAGCATCCCTTTCTCCCACATGGTATCTCAACTTCCAGCAGCTCTCTGCATGGTTGAGGGTTCTCACAGCATTACGGTCTCAGGGTAGATGCTCTTATTCCATGGTGTCTGGCTTCCAAGAGGCAGGAAGTAAAAGCTGCTAGGCCTGTTAAGGGCTATGCTTAGAAATCAGACAGCATCACTTTTGCCATGTTCTACTGGTCAAAGCAGAAACAGGGCCTGTCCATATTCAAGGGGGTGGAGAAATCAACTGCACCTTTTGATAGGTGAGTGGCAAAGTCACATTGCAGAACAGCATGTGGAATGGGAGACACTATTGGGATCATCCCTGGAAGATACACTCTGCCATAACTTCTCTGTCATTCCTAGCAAAGCATCCCCCAGTTCAGCCACACCAGAATTAAAAGTCCCAGGTCAATAAAGCACCTACTAAGACTTTGACCATGTCTAGGCCTTATTATCAGAGCTTGGGGTTTTCTAGGAGCCAAAGGAACACCTACAGATCAGATAAAGACTCCTAGGAAACTCCAGTCTGGTTCACTCACATCTGGAACCAAATGTGGTACCTCAGTCCTCTTCACATCTAAGCACATTTCTAGGAGCACCTTTGAACACAAGAACCAACTGGGACCATGAAAAACGCAACATTCAAGACCATGTTTATGTCTTGCTACACATACATAACATGTATCATCTTGAGTTAATTACATAACCTCTCTGGGTCTCAGTTTCCTCAATTGAGCAATGGGGGATTTATACCTCTACTAATTTACTTTCCCACAATTCTTGAGGTTATCAAATGAAATGATGTATTTAGCTGTCTTCTTAGGTTGTAAACCAATATATCAACATCAATTATTATATTAGAGAGACAAAAGAGGCAGATCTTGGCTTTGCCTCATTATGAATGTATGACTCTAAGCAAGTTTAATTAAATACTCTGTGCCTCCATTTCCTCTTCCAAAATGTGTGGTTTGATGTGCCATATTTCACAAGGCAGCATTTAAATGCAAAAACGCCTAACCACCGACCAAGAGAAAATGAATGCATATTGTAGCCACCATGGGGAAGAGCTATAGGTGTGGTTTTGTCATTGAAAATATTAAGCCAAACATGGGATAGCTAGTACAGCAAGGTACATCTTTCGTAGCAGAGTGCATACAATATATAGTGACTTAGACAGGGCTCTGTAACCAGACTTGTGCACTTACATCTTAATTCCGCTTTGATCAGCTGTGTAACCTAGTGCAGAATACCCAACTTCTGGCCTTTATTTTCTCATGTATAAAATGAAGGTAACAATGTCACCTTCCTTGTAGGGTTGTTGCAAGGACTAAATGACTCAGTGCACTGCAATCAGTATATGAAAACATAATAAGCATTAATAAATGTTAGCTATTACTATTCATTGCAGTCTTTTTATATTTGCTATATATCTGTTTTGGTCACCTGGTAAAATCAGGGGGGATCTTCACCCAAAGTGTGATTCAAATGTTAAGGCTAATGACTCTTGGGTTTTTGGAATAGACAAGTATGCTATCTGCAAAAAATGAGAATTTTCTATTTTCTCTTTTTAAGAACTATGCCTCCTATGTCTTTTTCTTGTCTTAATGCATTGGTTAGAACATAGAAAGTTAAATAATAATGACAGTAGACACCCCTACCTTGTTTCTGACTTCAAGGAGAATGCCTTTAGTATTTTGCATTAAGAATGATTTTAGCTGGTCTGATGCAGTGGCTCATGCCTATAATCTCAGCACTTTGGGAAGCCGGGGTGAGAGTCGCTTAAGCCCAGGAGTTTGAGATCAGCCTGCACAACATAGTGAGACCTCATCGCTACAAAAACATTTAAAAGTTAGCTAGGCCTGGTGGCATGTACCTGTGGTCCCAGCTACTGGGGAGGCTGAAGTGGGACAATTGCTTGAGCACAAGAGTTCCAGGCTACAGTGAGCCGAGATCGTGCCACTGCAATCCAGCCTGGGCAACAGTGCAAAACTCTGTCTGAAAAAAAAAAAAAAAGAAAAGAAAAAGAAAATCTCATCTACCCTCTTAGATGTTATCAAAAATAACTATTGATTTGTATCAAATGCCTTTATAGAATCTATCATGATGAACTTTCATTTTTTTCCATCTGAATTATTTGTTATCATCTTGAATATAGGATTTTCTATAAATTAAATATTTTTTCATTGAAGTGAGTATTATTGGACATAGGCTATAGGAAACTTGGACTTTAATCCTAGCTCTATTTTATTTACCACATCCAAAATTGAAGGCTCCAATATGTTATTCATTAGAACCGAAATGGAAGATAATTTTTTTTCTTCGTATCTATTTCAGGTGAGGGGAGAGCTAAAGGGGCAAGAGACATCTATTTTAGACCTTCGCATAGTCTATTGTGGGATCCAAAGGAAAGTCTCCAATTTTTCCCTTCTCATTATTCCAAGACTCACTGAAAGATGTTCATTCAGATTTCCACAGCTTGCATAAAAGCTTTCTAAAAATTTTACTCCTTTTCACTCCACAATTATTTTTAAAGATACCAGCAATTTGCATTCTCTTTTTTGTTTAACATAGAAGAGGCCTCTCCGGCCAACATAAACGCCATGGAAGTAGACTATAGAGCTGATAACCATTCCCTGGAGGCCACTGAAGTCCACAGTACATGGACATGGCAGTTTGAGGTTTTTTTGTGACAGGATCCGGTTTATTCTGCCTCAGCAGGGTTGTCCCGGGTAAAGGGAAGTCCTGAGGGCCAGTTAAGGCCGATGGTGGAAGAAGAAGCGGGCATGCAACCCCTAAAATTCAGTGAAGCCAGGCCTAGGCCTAAAGACAGCTGGGATAGGTCAGGACAGGGTGGAAGGAACTGGACTGGAACCATGCCTATAGGGCTGTGGACCCAGGCTACACAGGTGTCCAGGGAAGCAGGGCACAGGGTCATGTGACATGCAACACTGGCGCAGGGATCACAAGTAAGTGCAAAAACAAGTAAGCACAGACTCACAGGCCAAAGGGTCACCCAGCCACGACTAGGCTGGTCATGTGGACACAATGGTGGTGTCACATACAGCTCACAGGGGAGCTGCCTGAGTGGCAGGTTTTGAATCAGAAAGAGTTTGCTGAAAAGCATGCTTTCTAAAATGATGGGAACGATTCTCCAGACACACCTACAGATTCAGTCAGCCTCCTCCCCATGGTCTTTGGTTCCTCTAGGGTTTCTTTAACTCCTCTGAAATGTGAAGAAGGTAGCCTCTCCCTAGGGATAAACGTTTTGGACAAAAGTGGTAGAACTGAAAATGCTTATGAGGCCCTTAGTGACCTCTAGTGCAAAAATAATTGTCATCCAGACTGGGGAACAAACTTATCTAGAAGTTAGACAAGGCAATTAAATTCACTTTCTTAATTTGACACTTATCTGCTAAGAAGGTTTAGAATAATCTTGCACCCTACCTATGCAGCTTTTTTCTAGGCTAAAAATATGAATAAATCTTAAACTGTTTAACAAAGACATTCTCAATTATAAGATGAAATTAAGTATCTATAATACTTAACTTTTGAGATATTCAGGTATAGGTAGGGAAAACAAGAGTCAAGAGGGATGGCTTTGGTGCAGAGAATCTGACTCCTACTTTTTAATCCACATAGACAGAACAGGGTCAAAATCCCCAAACTTACCTCCAGGAATGAGCTATGGCTGGCCACCAGGAATTCTAAGAAGGAGCAAATATTTCCTTCCAGTTAGAGTTAAAAGTGGTAGAATCCCCAGGCAAACAGAATTATTGGCTCCAGTGACCCCACCATAAAAACAGCATGTATGTCCTTGACCTCACGTTGGCCTCTGTCTCCATATGGTACCCCCACCAATTTCAGGTTCACATCTTATCACATTGAAGTCTAGCAGAAAAGTAAGCAAGTTTTGCTTTCAATAGTCCAAGGAAAACCTGGGACTCACTGAGAGGTAGCATAACATAGAATACTAAGCAATGATTCTGGAGCAAGGTGCCAGGATCCAATGCCAGATCCCCACTTCCTAGCTACGGAACCTTGAGAGAGTTAGTGAATGTGACATGCATTTCACTGCTCACTAAAATCTGGTTGTGCTGACTATTCTTCATTAGCCCTTCCAAGTCCATTCTCCATCCTTCACCACCTTGACCTGTGCCAGAGGAGGCTGATTTCTATAGCTTCCATCCATGAGTACCCTTGTCCTTTGGCTTCTAGTTGAGTTGAGTCAGTAGAAGGTACTGGCAAGAAACTACAGCATGAGATGAGTGCGAGATCCATGCATTTATTTTTCCTGTAGTGTCATCGATTGGGCTCTTAGATTTAGTGATTGGGAGCCTGTGAATTAAACTAACAAAAGATAAAATAGCAAGAGAAAAATACAAAATTTTATTTGCATAGTATTTGAGAAATGGCAGATTCTTCGAGTCACAGAAAATTGTGACTCAAAGAAGTGATTAAAACTTGGGGCTTATATGCCCTCTAACAAAGAAAAAGGAGTTAGTTAAGATTTTAAGGGACAATAAATGGTGGGAAATGACTGAGAAATATAGGGGGAAAACTAATAGAAGGTAAGGTTCATTTTAGTAAAGTCTGTTTATGCAATTTCTCATCCCGACACTGACTTTTCATCTCCAGTGACAGGAGTCATTCTTTCCTCCTACTACAGGAAACCTCCCTTCATAGGGAATTCAGGCTGGACATGGTGGCTCACACCTGTAATTCTAGCACTTTGGGAGGCTGAGGAGGGAGGATTGCTTGAGCCCAGGAGTTGAAGACCAGTCTGGGCAACATAGTGAGACACCAACTCCACTAAATAAATGAATAAATGAATGAAAGAATGAATGGATGAATGAATACCAGGCATGGTGGCATATACCTGCAGTCCCAGCCACTTGGGAGGTTGAGTTAGGAGGATCACTTGAGCTTGGAGGTGTCAAGGCTGCAGTGAGCCACGATCATGCCACTCACTCCAGCTTGGATGAATTTGCAAGAATTCAAAGAATGGTTACTTCCACAAACACACCACATTTTTTTTTTACAAGGGGAGGGGGGAATTCATAACAGTTGAATTCTTTTGGAAGGCTCTGCTTTTTCAGGTATATAGGGGGAGTGCAGAGAAAGTCTCTTCTGTATCTGTTGATTCTCAAATAACTTCAACTCAAAATAAGCCTTATGCCACAATGACATATTCTGGACCCCTTCAGAGGATTAGAGTTAGAAGTGTTTATAACACAGTACAGCCTATAAAAGGAGCTCAGTAAATGTAAGCTTTTTTCCTACTTGTTATAGAAAATTTCAAACATATATTCAGAAATAGAAAGGGTGGTATAATTAACCCCAAGCACCTATCATCCTGCTTCCACAATTATGGGCTCATGGTGAATCTTGTTTTATTCTAACCACCCTCCTGTAATTATTTTGAAGCAAATCTTTGACACTGTATCTTTTCATCCATAAATTTTAAAAGATTTTTTTAAACAACTACAACATTGTTATCACACCTAAAAAATTAACAATAATTCCTTCATATCATCTAATATCCAGTCAATATTTGACCTTCTCCAACTGTCTCATAAAATTTTTTAAGTGTGTTTGAACCAAGATCCTAGTAAGGGTCACTCAAGTCGCTTTTAGTCTATAAATTCCCCTTCATCTGTTATGCCTTGTGATGTGTTTGTGGGAGAAACCAGCTTGCCCCGTAGTGTTTCTCACAGTCTGGATTTTGCTGATTGTATCCCCATGGTATCATTTAACATGCTCCTTTCTCCCCTGTATTCCCTGTGACTTGGCAGCTAGATCTAGGCTTAATCAGATTCACATTTAATTCTTTTTAATCAAGAACACTTTGTAGGTGGTGATATGTTTGGTCGGCTCTCTTTCTGTAATATTAGCAGCCAGTTGTCATCATTGTCAAAATTCATTAATCCATTAGAGGCTGCAAAAAGGTAATATTCCAATTTTATTATTCTTTATTCATGTATGGCAGCAATAACTGTATAAAGAGAAACTTCCCCTGAAGGGACAGCTCATAAGGGAATAGTAGCATAAGTGTTTGATTCTTTCTCTTTATTTGCCTGATTTCAAATAATGAGTTTGTTCCCTAGCATTCTTTAAAGATGACTATTTAGGGATTTTCTTCAAGTAGTATTCATCCTCATGGATTTAAAGATACTTTTTGTGTTTAAATCCATTGTAATTTCTATCCTTATTGATGCTCAATTTGTCCCATCATTGGCCAGGTGGAACCTCTTTAAGTTCATTCATGAGTTCTTTTGACATGTCTCTAACCATTTCTTATGACATCCTTGATACTTAGTATGACAAGATGTTCCAGACTCATCCTGTGTATTTCCTGCCTCAGACGTGGAGTCTGCCATTTCTCCAAGAACCCCTCTAGTTCCTTTAATGGGAAATGGTATTTAGAGACTACAGTACAGGCTGTAGAGATGGCCAATGCCATTACTTGGTTGGTCATTGTTTTCATGTCTTTTCCATGGATAGAACTGGCAAATGCAAACATATATATGATAAAACACATTGTGCATTTCTACTGATACTTCCAATTCAAATTAAAGACCGTGGCTTTTTATTTTAATATATTGGAGTGTATATCTTTACCTCCCTTTTTAATGTCAAAAATTCAATCTCATTGAAACCAACATAATTATTCATTTGTCTTCACAATAGTCTCAGTATAACAAAACCAATCATACCCCTAGAAATTAGAAGTGAGAGTATATTGCCAGGAAAAAGAAAAAATTCTAGGCAGATAAAACAGCACATGCCCACTATAGGGTCACCACCTTACCTCTGAGCTACCACCAACACAGAAGTCCTGGGAATGTGGAGGGGGGTTAGACCTTCCTCCCTATCTGGAAATGAAGAGGAAATACTCCACAATGATAGAATTAGTCATTCGATTTATGTGAAGAAAACCCCACGGGCACCAGCAAGAAGGTGCTTGGCTCTGACTCCTGTATTTTCCCTGTTGCTTAGCTCCAGCAGATGGGAGTGAAGGGAGCAAGCTCAATTTTGACAAGCAGCAGCCACAACAACTTAAGCACAACAGCCAAGGAATACATTCAAGATTAGACTGTTTTCTTCGTGCCCATCCATCTTTCTATGGGAACTCAGAGCTCACTACAAGAGCCTTTTCTAGGCGACGCTGGCCCAAAAAATAATAGCCTTTGAGAGGCTGGAAAAGCAAAACATTAAGGCAATGGAAGAAATAAAATGGTCTTTGTTTAACTCTTAACCAATAAGAATGACCATGGGGATGCTTGAGAAGTGAGATAAGCAATAAAACATTTCCTGGAGGTATAATGTGGCCAGGGGTACTAGGAAGTTGACTCCAGGGTAGCCAGGTGGCTCAGGGGTATTTGACTAGAGCTCGGCTTCTCCTGCCTTCCTTAGAACAATTCCCAGCTCACAGGAGCAACCCCAGCACCCAGAAAGCAGTGTCTGCATTATGCCTGTTAAATAATGTACCTGTCTTTGCTTCTCCACCAAGGTTCTCCACACCCTGATCAGAAGTGTCTGCTCCTCCACACTCAGCTAAGCAGCTGATTCACTAAACCCCAAAAGCCAAAATGAGGGGAAAACAACATTTGGAGCAAAATTTTCCAAAATCCTCGGCCTTGGTGTTATGAGGGTCAGAAATGGAGTGAGGGCTGGATAAGGGTCAGAGATAGAGTGAGGGCTAGTAAGACACTCAGATTTTCAGCAATGTGGACATGGGTTTATACCACACAGAAAATCCAATTTTTCACACGTTACATCTGCTTGCCTCCCAATTCCAATATCTGTGTGGTGTTTCAAGATATCTACAATTAAATTGACTTATGTGTGTGTATCTGTTGTGTGTGTGACTTTTATTATTCCCATTTTACAAATAAGAAAATGAGATTCAGAGAGGTTGAGTAACTTGCCCAAGGGCATACAGCTAGTAAATGGTGGCACCAGAGTTGGATCACAGGTCTGGTTGACCCTAGAGTCATACAGGCCTCATGCCAGCCTCAGATTAGAGGACACAGGGGACATCTACCAAATATTCATTCTCAGGAAACAACTATTTCATTAAAGCGTAACATCCTCTCTTTTAGCTAGGATGTTTTCAGCCGATAATACCAGAAAATTCAAGTACCACGCTTAAGCACAGAAGTCTGAGGTAAAGCAGCTGTATCAATGGTTCATTGGTGACTCAGTGTCAGGGGTCTGTCTGGGCTCCACTTCTTAGTGCTTCCCATGGCTTTCTTTAGCCAAATATCCAATTTCATTTCTTACAAATTTTACCTTACACAAAACACTAGCACATGAACACAATTCTGCCAAGCTCTTTGCCACTTTATAACAAGGATCATCTTTCCTCCCATTTCTAATAATATGTTCTTCATTTCCATCTGAGACCTCATCAGAATGGCCTTCGCTGTCCAAATTCCTACCAACATTCTGTTTGTCATTACTTAGGTATTCTCTAAGTTTGAGGCTTTCTCTCCAGCTCTCCTCGTTTCTTTCTGACCCCTCACCAGAATCGCTCTTCACATCCCTTTTTCTTGCATGCACTTCAAAACTCTTCCAACCTTTACCCATCATCCAGTTCCAAAACTACTTCCATATTTTTAGGAATTTATTACCACAGCACCCAACTTCTTGGTATCAATTTCTGTCTTTCAGTCCATTCAGACTGCTATAACAGAATACCATAGACTGGGTGGATTATAAACAACAGAAATTTATTTCTCAGAATTCTGAGGGTTGGGAAGTTAAAAATCAAGGCACCAGCAAATCCAGTGTCTGGTGAGGGCACTGTTCCTGGTTTGGAGAGAGCCACCTTCTCGTATCCTCAGTGGCAGAAAGGCCAAGGGAGCTCTTCTGGGGTTTTTTATAAGAGCATTAATCCCATTCATGAAGACTCCACTCTTACAACCTAATCACCATCCAAAGTTCCCACCACCAAATACTATCACACTGGGGATTAGGTTTCAACATATAAATTTTGGGGAGACACAACTATTCAGTCTACAATAATAACCAATGGTGACGAATCACCTATGTAGCAAAGCAACAATGATGCTAAATGAAAGGGACAGAAAAATAAATGTAGGCAAAGATGATTTTTTTTAAGAAGTGATAGTAAAGCAAGCAGAACACAAGCTGTTGAGGAGCCAAGAAGTTCTAAATCCAAAAAACAGCTGAATTTCTCACACAAATCTCTGCAAAGTCTATGTCTGCAGGACAGGCTTGGCAGAAAAACTTCTCAAGATCTATATACTCCAGCTAGGTGTGGTCTGCACCTTATTACCAAGAGAGCAAAAGTCAATATAAATGGAAGAAAAAAATAATATGAAGCTATTTCATCTTGATTATAATTATATTCAATTAAATTCAATAAGCAATAAGTATCCACTAACCCCTTCAATACCTCAAGCAACATGCTATAAGTTGTGAAGGAGCACCAAGCATGAATAAGACAAGGTTTCTGCCTTCAAGAAATATATGATAAATAAATCACAGATTTGTTTTAAAAAATCGTTTTAGGCCCATAAGAACCCTAAAAGAAAACCTAGGAATACCATTCAGGGCATAGGCATGGGCAAGGACTTCATGTCTAAAACACCAAAAGCAATGGTAACAGAAGCCAAAATTGACAAATGGGATCTAATTAAACTAAAGAGCTTCTGCACAACAAAAGAAACTACCATCAGAGTGAACAGGCAACCTACAGAATGGGAGAAAATTTTTGCAATCTACTCATCTGACAAAGGGCTAATATCCAGAATCTACAAAGAACTTAAACAGATTTACAAGAAAAAAACAACCCCATCAAAAAGTGGGCGAAGGATATGAACAGACACTTCTCAAAAGAAGACATTTATGCAGCCAACAGACACATGAAAAAATGCTCATCATCACTGGCCATTAGAGAAATGCAAATCAAAACCACAATGAGATACCATCTCACACCAGTTAGAATGGCGATCATTAAAAAGTCAGGAAACAACAGGTGCTGGAGAGGATGTGGAGAAATAGGAACACTTTTACACCATTGGTGGGACTGTAAACTAGTTCAACCATTGTGGAAGACAGTGTGGTGATTCCTCAAGGATCTAGAACTAGAAATACCATTTGACCCAGCCATCCCATTACTGGGTATATGCCCAAAGGATTATAAATCATGCTGCTATAAAGACACATGCACACGTATGTTTATTGCGGCACTATTCACAATAGCAAAGACTTGGAACTAACCCAAATGTCCATCAATGATAGACTGGATTAAGAAAATGTGGCACATATACACCATGGAATACTATGCAACCATAAAAAAGGATGAGTTCGTGTCCTTTGTAGGGACATGGATGAAGCTAGAAACCATCATTCTCAGCAAACTATCACAAGGACAAAAAAACAAACACTGCATGTTCTCACTCATAGGTGGGAATTGAACAATGAGAACACTCGGACACAGGAAGGGGAACATCACACACTGGGACCTGTTGTGGGGTTGGGGGAGGGGGGAGGGATAGCATTAGGAGATATACCTAATGTAAATGACGAGTTAATAGGTGCAACACACCAACATGGCACATGTATACATATGTAACAAACCTGCATGTTGTACACATGTACCCTAGAACTTAAAATAAAATAAAAAATAATAATAATAAAATTGTTTTAGGCAAATCAGTTTCCTCAATCAACTTTTGGTGAATTTAATTTGGCTAAATGGCTTTGGGGAATTGATCTTCAGAAAATCAATCTGCTGCCATGTGAACAACTAACTTTAGGATATCATAATGGTATAAAAGGAATAAAAAGGAATACAAATAAGCTTCTTTTGGTGATGAGAGAAAAGAATTTCTACAGGAACACTTGAATGAGTCTTGAGGAATGAGTAGGAGTTTAATAGTCATAGAAAGGAAGGTAATAGCACGACACAGAAGTGGCAAAGTGCCAGGCCTGTTTTGTGACAGCAAATTCCAAAGTTCAAGCAGATAGAGACCCTACCCGTGCTCCCTCAGAGGGTCTAAAAAGTATTCTAGTTCCTGCTGTCATTCCAAAAATGACTGTTCTAGTCAGTCAGAAACAAGCACAAGAACAAGGCCTACCAAATGAAACCAGCCATCTTTTCAGTGTTCCCATCAGTCCCGCTGTTTGCCGTCCCATCTGCCCTCCTAGTCCTCTCTACCTGCCCCCACCCAAAACTAAGCCAGGAGAATACAACTGGCAGCTGCAGGCACTTGAGAATGTTCCTCAGACCAGCAATCCTTGCCCAGGCCAATACAAAGGCAATCAAAGAGCAAGGCCTGGAAGTGCCCTCATTTCCCCAGCTGAGGAAAGCCCGCCAGGATCCAAGTCTGGGATTCCTCTTTCCAGTTTCTTGTTCCAGTCATAAAACAACACTCTCTTAAAGGGAACATGCCTTAAAAAATTAAAAAATTAAAAATAAAAAAACAATCCATCCTCAAAATTATTCAAATAAAGTTAGCTACAAGTTTGCCCTCTCTTGCCTTTTATCGGAGGAGAGTACACCGCAACCAAATTCCCTGGCCAGATGGCTAAGGTTTCTGAACATCCGGGCAGTTTATCATGTCACTCAAGTGTATCATTTTTTTCTAAATACTTTTTTTCTCTTTCTCTGTTTGTTTCTGCATTGGAGCCTCCACCCATGAAATTGAAAGATTTATAGTAGAAATTCCTTTGTTGCATCAGCTTTGGAAATATGGATTACAGTATTCTCTGAAAAACATTTATTACCCTGAACTGTGACTCAGACGTTGTTGCATTTCTGGGGTTATAGATTTTCTTTCAGCTAAACTAAGGCTCTAAGTCACAGTGACAGTTGTAATGTGTGTAATACCACAGTACCAGATTCTATTACACACATATTTTTGCTAGAGGTTTACGATGTTAAAAAATTTCTTCTCTTTTCCAATACCTTTCTGTACCTGTTGTGTAAATATATTAGAACCTATAACACCAAAGTCAATTTTCAGATGAAATGTGCACAACAATGGTAGTTTGTCCTTTAAAGAAAAAAAGGGGAGGGGGAGAATGTTGCATCCAAGCTAATGATATTCAAGCACAATATTGAATTGTAATAAAAGATGAATGAGAGAAAGTGTGTGTCATTGTGAGGGATGGAGAAGGTTACAGAAAGCCGAGGCCAGAAAAGGATTTATCATGGATGTTGCTGCAGGCATTGTGTTGAAAAATCTGCAGGCTTATTAGCAAGTGTATTTAATGGGAAAACAGACCAGTCCCCTAAGGAAAGAATTTCTAAAGATTATCTTTTATATAAGATTAAGATAAAACTTGAAAAAGATGTGAGAGAAATCTCAACTAATTCTCAAGGGGGTGAAACTTCAAATTCATCAATGGGTCCTGTCAATTCCATAAGGAAGAGGTCTTTGTTAAAGTATTGGTGCTGTAATTTTTCAAGGTAGGTAAGAAAAGGAACAAATAAAAGAACCCGGGAAGCGGAGCTTGCAGTGAGCTGAGATCGCCCCACTGCACTCCAGCCTGGGCGACAGAGTGAGACTCCGTCTCAAAAAAAAAAAAAAAAAAAAAAAAGAACGAAGTGGACTTAATTAGCACACCCACCTGCAAAGCCTTAATCCACTAGAGAGTCATGCCAACAAATCCTTCTACTTTTCTTTAGAATCTGAATTTTATCTAACATTCAAAATAGTTCTCCTAGGTCTTTAACTATATTGCTGTCTGTCTCCTAAAAGAATCCAATGTGACTAACACTTTTATGGGAGGGAAAATCTGATTGCAGTTGACCAAATCATCTGAAGCAGAGAGAGTGGAAAGATACTGAGAGCAGAAATATTTTAAAATTCCTCCTTTACACTAAATTTTAACTTCTTACGCTTTCAATCTTCTGCTTAATCAATAACAAAAAGAATAATTAACTGAATTTCATTTTCCCTTCCATAGCTTCTACATTCATATGACAATGGTAAACAATAAAACAATCTAAAGGAGACAGAATGAGAAGAAAAACTGGGAGATAGCTCAACCCGGTCAATCAGCTCCATATTCCTCAATGGGAGATGATGTTCACCTCAAAGTTTGTTCTCAGTGGCAGAAAGTGCAATTGTGATTTTGTCCAATTTCAGTTTATTCATTAATTACTGAAAGAAAACCTTGAGACTATCTGGCTTTGGGGCCTTTTAGTGGTGTTTGCTTTTTGTTTGGTTTGTGGGAGGAATCTATTATCTTGCTGTGTCTTGTTTCAAATGTAAATTTACAATGCTGTAAAAATAAAAATATTAAAATTCCTGTCAGTAATAAGTATGTACTACCATAAAAATATTTATACCCTTTGATCTAATGATTCTACTTGTGTGAATCTCACCAAAGAAAATTACCTAAAATGCAAAACAACTTAAGCTCAAATATTTTATGTGAAAGATTATTTCCAATACAAAAGGAGGAACTGCTCTTTTAATAATTTACCTTCTTATCTTTTCAATAATTTGTTTAGGTGGCAATGGCCCAATCTCAGATGTAAATCATGGCAATGATTAGTCCAGGAATGGGCATGAGACCCAGTTCTGGCCAAGGAGATATAAGAGAAAGCCTCCCTTGGAAGGATCCCCAGCAGTAGAACTAACTAAATCAAAGGGTGTAAGTATTTGTAAGACTCTCAGTATTTTACAAAGTTTTCCTCTCCTGCCTCCCACTCCCTAAAAAGCACATTTTTTAAAAGTCCCTTTTCTACCTGTCCCCTTGCTTCCTGTTTAAGACTCAACTAATACAGACCCAAAGCTTGGAACTGTGGCAGTCATCTTGAAACTAATATAAAAAACTCCCAATGAGTCACAGAGATGTCAACCTATCACCCTGATCAACCCTGGAAATACTTACTTCCATATTGTAGGGAAAGGCATTCTAACTTAAATGCCTCTCTGTACTAACCCTAACCCTTCTAGAGAAATATATGTGTGTGTGTATATATATATATATATATTATATATATTTCTCTAAGTGTGTATATAGATACACATTTAGAAATATATATACACATATATATTCCTAAATGTGTATCTATATACACACTTATATATGTATATAGATACACATTTAGAGAATATATAATACATGTATACATATATACATATACATAGATACATATATGTATCTATGTATACATTTAGAGATAGAGAAATATATATATTTATATATTATATATAAATACCTTATATTATCTAGAGAAATATATATTATACATTTATATATTTAATATATAAATACATATTTTATATAAATATATAAAAATGAAATATATAATATTTATATATTATATATAAATACCTTATGATCTCATTATCTAGAGAAATATATTTATATATTATATATACATATATTATATATTATATAATTATATTTAATATAATTATATAATTTATATATATAATATATAAATATATTTCTCTAGATAATGAGATCATAAGGTATTTACCTACCCATTTTTGTATTTTTATATATTTTTCAAATTGTATACAGTCAGCATATGATATGGTTTGGCTCTGTGTCCCCACCCAAATCTCATCTCGAATTGTAATCCCCATGTGTCGAGGGAGGGAACTGTAGTCCCTACACATGGAGGGAGGGAGGTGATTGGATCATGGGGGTGGTTTCCCCCATGCTGTACTCGTGATAGTGAGTTCTCACAAGATCTGATGGTTTTATAAGTATTTGGAAGCTCCTCTCTCCTGTTGCCTTGTGAAGAGGGTGCTTGCTTCCCCTTCACCTTCCACCATGATTATAAGTTTCCTGAGGCCTCTCCAGCCACGTGGAACTGTGAGTCAATTAAACCTCTTTCTTTAAAAATTACCCAGTCTCAGGTAGTATATTTATAACAGTGTGAAAACAAACTAATAGAGCATACATTGCTTTTATTATCAGAAGCAACAATCTACTAAAAAAAAAAAAAAAAAGACCGCCGGGCATGGTGGCTCATGCCTGTAATCCCAGCACTTTGGGAGGCCGAGGAGGGTGGAACACCTGAGGTGGTGAGTTCGAGACCAGTCTGATCAACATGGAGAAACCCTGTCTCTACTGAAAACACAAAATTATGGGGTGTGGTGGCACATGCCTGTAATCCCAGCTACTTGGGAGGCTGAGGCAGGAGAATTGGTTGAACCCGGGAGGCAGAGGTTGCTGTGAGCTGAGATCAACCCATTGCACTCCAGCTTAGGCAACAAGAGCGAAACTCCATGTCAAAAAAGAAACAAAAAAGCCAGAAAAGGCTCCTGTAAATTCAGAGAATTAAACTGAGAGATTATATACCAGTTCAAAAATAAAACCCAGGGTTAATATGGCCAAGTATCATTTTCTAGCCTAGGGGCCATGAATATTGATCACCTCCAAGGACCTCACTGATCTAGCCAGAGAAGGAAAAATTGTTGAATTAAGTGCAATTTCTGATAACTGGATTATCTATCCTCACCAGTAACAGAAGAATTATGACTTTTTCTTTTAAAAAAAATAAATTATTTTTACAAACGTAGCTCTTGCTCATAGTAAGAAAAAAATCTAGCAAAACAGAATAGTTTACAGAAGAAAATGTTTCCTATCACACCAGTCCATCCAAGTAACCACTGTTAATAGATCTGTGTGCATTTTCCAAAACATTCTACTAAGGCATATACAAACTTTTTAAAATAGACATGAGCTCTTGCTATGTAAACTCTTACACAGGTTTCCTTCCCACCACCCCCATCCTTGGCATCGTATTGTGGACATTTTTCTATGTCTATATATAAGTTTACCTCATTCTTTGTAATGGCAGCATGGTGTTCTAGTGAACAGATATACCACAATTTATTTAATGGACATTACAATTATTTAGAATTTTTCTGGCCAGGCGCAGTGGCTCACACCTGTAATCCCAACACTTTGGGAGGCTGAGGCGGGCAGATCACCTGAGGTTGGGAGTTCGAGATCAGCCTGACCAACATGGAGAAACCCCCATCTCTACTAAAAATACAAAATTAGCCAGGTATGGTGGTGCATGCCTGTAATCCCAGCTACTTGGGGGGCTGAGGCAGGAGAATCATTTGAACCCAGGAGGCAGAGGTTGTGGTGAGCCGAGATCATGCCATTGTACTCCAGCCTGGGCAACAAAAGCAAAACTCCATCTTAAAAAAAAAAAAGAATTTTCCTCTATTACTGAGTTTGAAGGGGTCATCAATAATACCCTCCATTTTCCTATTGGATTTCAGAACAAACTGAAAGATGAAGACATGGGATTCAGACACATAAAAATTAAGTATCACTTTCATTACTGGTTAAGGTGATTTGGGAGAATATAGTTTAGGTGTGAAAGCCAAATGAGATTGCTAAGAAGATGCCCACCACCACCACAATTTAACTTAGACTCCAAAACTGCAGGCTTCCTCACAAGGACAGAGCTCACCCTACAAACAAGAGCAAATGAAACCACTACCTCTGAAGGCAGGTGGATCCAACCAAAGGAAGAGGAATAAAGGAACTAAACATGAGGGGATGGGGTAAAAGGCCAGGAATGTTAGCCTGGTGGAGTTCCCTCCACATGGAAACACGAAGTCAGGAGAAAGAAGGCCTCTGCCCTCACCATCCCAAACTATTACAATTACAGCAAATATCTTTGTGCAAATAAATTTGTGCTGTTTTTCAAGTTTTGCTGTAGGACAAATTCCTAGACTGCTGGATCAAAGGATAGATCTATTTAAAATATAGAAACATATTCCAAGATACCCTCCAAAAATGTAGTATCAATTTATAGTCCCACCAAGGGCGTTTTAGTCTCTCCTAGTCAACTACCCTCATGTTTTAATATCTATTATCAGCGTATCATCCAATAGATTAAAATTGACATGTCTTTGACTACCAATGAAGTTGAACACTTTTTCATAAATGTATTAGGTACTTATATTTCTTCTTCTGTGGCTGGCTACTCAGGAACATACACTTGTTTTTCTAGCAATGATAGTCCATTAGTTTGCATCTTCCACCCTCTCTCACTCAGTCCTCTGCAACCAACCATACAGATTTGTGAGATGTTCAGATGGAGTTAGAGGTGGCATTTCTGAGAATGAATTCAAGTTTTCCTCTGGAAAAATAGGCCAGGCAAACCTGTTCCTTTGCTTTTTCTAACACTATGCTTGCGAAATTATTTAACCAGTCTGACACAACTATAATAATAAAACACCAAAATATCACTGAAAGCCAAGAGGTCAAATTTGAGATCTAGCTCTGCCATTTAATAATCTGGGTCACCTGAGGGCAACCCACTAAATCTCTCTAAGCTTCAGTAGTTTTTATCAAATGACAGTAGAAGGAGATGAACCAGATCAGTAGTTATCAAGATATCGGGGGAACCTGCCCCCAATATTTCAATGTAGGTTCTTTCTATTCTCCCTAAGTGTCAGCCGGTCTGAGAAATAAAGAGAAAGAGTACAAAGAGAGGAATTTTACAGCTGGGCCGCCAGGGGTGACATCACATATCTGTAGGTGCGTGATGCCCCCCTGAGCCACAAAACCAGTAAGTTTTTATTAGAGATTTTAAAAGGGGAGGGGGTGTACGAACAGGGAGTAGGTCACAAAGATCACATGCTTCAAAGGGCAAAAGGGAGAACAAAGATCACATGCTTCTGAGGAAATAGGGCAAGGACAAAAGCAAAGATCACAAGGCAAAGGACAAAATGAGAATTACTGATGGCCGGGCGCAGTGGCTCATGCCTGTAATCCCAGCACTTTGGGAGGCCGAGGCAGGTGGATCACGAGGTCAGGAGATCGAGACCATCCTGGCTAACACAGTGATATCCCGTCTCTACTAAAAATAAAAAAACTTAGCCAGGCATGGTTGCAGGCACCTGTAGTCCCAGCTATTCAGGAAGCTGAGGCAGGAGAATGGCCTGAACCCGGGAGGCGAAGCTTGCAGTGAGTCGAGATCGTGCCACTGCACTCCAGCCTGGGCGACAGAGAGAGACTCCATCTCAAAAAAAAAGAAAAGAATTACTGATGAGGGTCTATGTTCAGCTGTGCACGTATTGTCTTGATAAACATCTTAAACAACAGAAAATAGGGTTGGAGAGCAGAGAACTGGTCTGACCTCAAATTTACCAGGGCAGGATTTTTTCCCCACCCTAATAAGCCTGAGGACACTGCAGGAGAGAGACCAGGGTGTATTTCAGTCCTTATCTCAACCACATAAGACCAGGGCATATTTCAGTCCTTGTCTCAACTGCGTAAGACAGACACTCCCAGAGCGCCCATTTATAGGCTTCCCCCCAGGAATGCAATTCTTTTCCTAGGGTCTTAATATTGTTTTCCTTGCTAGGAAAATAATTTAGCAATATCTCTCCTATTTGCATGTCTGTTTATAGGCTCTCTGCAAGAAGAAAAATACGGCTCTTTTTGCCTGACCCCGCAAGCAGTCAGACCTTATGGTTGTCTTCCCTCATTCCCTAAAATCACTGTTATTCTGTTCATTTTCAAGGTGCACTGATTTCATATTGTTCAAACACCCATGTTTTTCAATCAGATTTCATATTGTTCAAACACACGTTTTACAATCAATTTGTACAGTTAACGCAATCATCACAGGGTCCTGAGGTGAAGTACATCCTCAGCTTATGAAGATAACAGGATTAAGAGATTAAAGTAAGACAGGAGTAAGAAATTATAAGAGAATTATCAGGAAAGTGATAAATGTCCATGACGTCTTCACAATTTATGTTCCTCTGCCACAGCTCCAGCCAGTTCCTCCATTCGGGGTCCCTGACTTCCTGCAACATTAAGATTTCTTTTTAGCAAAAGAACCCTTGTGTGAGTACAAAATGTAAAGGAGAAAAAATCAGCACAATTCTCTTGAAAGTCAAGGTGGGAGACCCCAACCCCCAAGCTCAATGGCCTCCAGCTGGTCCCCTGCAGTGCCCCCTTCACATACTCCCCATGGAATTTTTAGGACACAACTGGGCTCAGCTTAAAAACCACTGGGCTTAGAAGAACTGTAAAGTATCTCCCAGCACTACTCTAGTTAGGATTTAAATGAATAGAAATTCTGAATCACTCTAGTATACAGTCCCTCGGAATCTATGGAGGATTGGTTCCAGGAACCACCTTGGGTACCAAAATCTGCAGATGTTTGAGTTATTTCCATAAAGTGGTGTCATATTTGAGCACAAGCTATGCACATCTTCCTGTATACTTTAAATCATCTGTAGATTACCTATTATGCCTAATACAATGTAAATGCTATATAAATTAATGTTACACTGACTTATCTGTATTATTTTTTATTGTTGTATTGTAGTTTTCTTGGATTTTTTTCCAAATATTTTCTATCTGCAGTTGGTTGAATCTGTGGACTCAGACATGGTGCGAAGGCTGATTGTATAAGCAAGTACTTC
This sequence comes from Homo sapiens, assembly GCF_000001405.40. Taxonomy (NCBI): domain Eukaryota; kingdom Metazoa; phylum Chordata; class Mammalia; order Primates; family Hominidae; genus Homo; species Homo sapiens. The sequence goes on from NC_000014.9 coordinate 34,282,985, forward strand.
TCTATTTCCCTCATGATATGGTCTGGCTGTGTCCCCACCCAAATCTCATCTGGAATTGTAGTTCCCATAATCCCCACATGTCATGGGAGGGACCTGGTGGGAGGTAATTTAATCATGGAGGCAGTTGCCCTCATGCTGTTCTCATGATAGTGAATGCATTCTCACGAGATCTGATGGTTTTACCAGGGGCTTTTCCCCCTTTTGCTCAGTAATTCTTGCTGCCACCATGTGAAGAAGGATGCATTTGCTTTCCCTACCACCATGATTGTAAGTTTCCTGAGGCCTCTCTAGCCATGCTGAACTGAGTCAAACCTTTTTCCTTCATAAATTACCCAGTCTCTGGCAGTTCTTTATAGCAGCGTGAGAATGGACTAATACACCTCACTTGGGTGTGCTTCTAACCTTGAAGATAAGTTAGTAAAAACTGACACAAATAGCATTGTAACAGAATGATCCTCGGTCAAAATGGACTCTAGGACTTCTTGAACTCTCAAAATATTCAGATTTGGGTTCTGAGATTTGGGGATATGTCCAATATCAAATTTTTGTAAGATTCCTTTGTTGGTACCATAAGATCCAGCCTTGCCCTGTAGGTAAGAGTGGGGTTTCCCCTTGATGGGATTGGTTATTTACATTGTTAATTGGCCTGAGGTGACATCAACCCAACAGTAAAACTGAGGAGTTTGGGAAGAAGTCTTAAATCAGGTGAGGAAAAAGTATCCCCAGGACTTGCTTCATAATGTGTGGGGTCCAGGGCAAAATGAAAACACAGGGCCCCTTGTTCTTATCTCAAATGTCTTATCAGCATATTTATCCCAAACAAGCAAACTGTGCATTACACAAAAGGAATTCTGATGAATTCAAGTATCTTCTTACAGGAAAACAGAGATTGTTCTTTAGGGAGGGTTAGGATTATGCATACTCCCTTGGTTTTATACAAAGTGTCCTACCTATCTTTATGGAGATGCATTAAGCCTGTGGCCAAGCAAAGTTATGCCCACAATCAGGCCTCAAGAAAAATCATCCAGGCACATAGGAAATTAGAATCACTGCATTTGCAAGATTAGGTTGTGCCATGGTTAATTTTAGGTGTCAACTTGACTGGATTAAGGGGTATCCACATAGTAAAGCATTATTTCTGGGTATGTATGCCAGAGTGTTTCCAAACCAGACTGTCATCTGAATCAGTGGACTAATGAAGCTCTGCACTCACCCAGTGTGGGCAGGTACCATCCAATCTCCCAAAAGCCCAGATAGAACAAAATGGCACAGAAAAGGCAAATTCACTCTCTCTCTTCTGGGGCTGGGACACCCTTCTTAAGCTCTTGCCCATCAGAACTCCAGGCTCTATAGCCTTTGGACTTGGACTCTGAGACTTGCACCAGCAGCTCCCCAATTTCTCAGGCCTTTGGCCTAGGACTGAGAGTTACACCATTGGCTTCCCCAGTTCCAGAGCCTTCAACTTGATCTAAGCCATGCTACCAGCTTCCCTGATCCTCCAGCTTGTAAATGGCCTGTGGTGGGATTTCTCAGTCTTCATAATCAAGGCTGAGGGCCAACTCCCCTAATAAATCCCTTCTCATATATTTATATATCTAGATATAGATATACCATTGGTTTTTCTCTCTAGAGAACCCTGATTAACACAGCTTGTATCTTTGCTTTGAGGTCTTAATAAGTAATGGGAGAAAGGTGGTATAAGCAAAAGGAACTTTCTGTAGTGTAGGCCCAGTTTGTATTGTAGAGGGGTTGTCTTTGTAGACAAGAGTATCCTTTAAAAGAATTTGCTCGCCCTAAAATATTTCTTTCACGTAGTCACTCTTGCCTAAACATTGCCAAGGGCTCCCCAATGCCTGCTGGATAAAGGCCAGCATTCAGGCCCTCTATCATTTGACCCAACTTTATCTCTAACCACTCCCCAGAAGGACCCTCTGCTTCTGCCCATCAGAGTGAGCACCACTTTTCCACCTCCCTGTCCTGGTCCACTGCCTAAAAGCCTTCCTCACTATCTCTGCTTACCGAAGTCCCACTCATCTGCTAGAGTTACATGTGTTTATTTTATTTGGCTTTCTCTTTTCTTTTATCCTTGTCTGTTATGAATATATATTACCTATATTACTTTTTAAATTATTTTTAATTTTTTAAAAATATTAGGCCAGCCACAGTGGCTCACACCTGTAATCCCAGCACTTTGGGAGGCTAAGGCGGGCAGATCACTTGAAGTCAGGAGTTCAAGAGCGGCCTGGTCAACATGGTGAAACCCTATCTCTACCAAAACTACAAAAATTAGCTGAGTGTGGTGGTGCTTGCCTGTAATCCCAGCTACTCAGGAGGCTGAGGCAGGAGAATTGCTTGAACCCGGGAGGGAGAGATTGCAGTGAGCCGAGACTGTGCCATTGCACTCTAGCCTGGGTGACAGAGTGAGACTCCGTCTCAAAAAACATATATAAAAAAATATTTAGCCCATCTTTGAAAACACAGTTTAAATTTTACTTCCACCATAATTATCCCAGATGAGAGAAATGTTAATAATAATAATAGCTAACATTTATTGCACACATACTAGAAGCCCACCACTGTGCTCAGTTTACATATAAATATACTACCTCATTTACTCTTCACAGCCAACCTATGAGTTCCCAAGCTACAGATTAGAAAACTGAGGGTCAGGCTGGCCACGGTGGCTCACGCCTGTAATCCCAGCACTTTGGGAGGCCAAGGCAGGCAGATGACGAGGTCAGGAGTTTGAGATCAGCCTGATCAACATGGTGAAACCCCGTCTCTACTAAAAATACAAAAATTAGCTGGGCATGTTGGCATGTGCCTGTAGTCCCAGCTACTCAGAAGGCTGAGGCAGGAGAATTGCTTGAACCCAGGAGGCGGAGGTTGAGGTGAGCCGAGATCTCACCACTGCACTTCAGCCTGGGTGACAGAGCGAGACTCCGATTTAAAAAAAAATGAAAAATGAGGGTCTGTGAGGTTGTTATATAACTTACACAGGTTTCACTGCTGGCAAGTGTCAGAGCTAAGGTGTGAACCCAGCTCACTGCCTCACTATCCCCCTCACCCCCTACACCCAGTTGCTGCCGTTAACAACCACTTTCCTATAGTTGGTCCATAAGGCAATAGCCATGAGCTGCCTCATCTTGTAGATAATTGTGTATTTACCCATTTCTTCTTCTATACTATGACTTCTTTGAAAGCATTTTGGGGTTTTACAGAATGTCTAGCACAGAATTATACATATAATATATTTATTGAATTTTTCAGATAAGAAAACTTAAGGCAAAGACTAAGCAAGTTGCCAAGCTGGAATTAGAAACCAACAAATCCTAGTTCAGCCCTGCATGCTATCTTTCCACCACACACATTGTCAATTCTAAATACATATTATTGAATGAATTTATTTCTGGGGCCTTCTTTACTGGATCCCTTTCAAGCCACACAATTTGGTCATAATTGCAAACCAATCTGAATATTAATAATAATTGGAAACATAAATTAAAATTTGATAACTCAGTTTTCCAAGTAAGTTGAGTTGGCTAGATAAGAGTTAATGCCTAATATGATAGAGTTTTCTGCCAATGTTCATTTTATTAATGCAAAACAATTTTAAAGCATTGTAAAAATAGCGGCACTATTAGTAGTAGTAAGAGTTGTATGAAAGATTTGCTTAATTAAATTGAGTATCAGATTTTTATTAGAATACATGTTTAAAGTTGATCATCAAATAATACCTAAATTTGAAGTCGTTTTTACATTATATTTATTTAATGACATATTACTGAAAAGTTGTATTTTTTAAAGTTATGCACACCCAGAATAAAAATGCTTAATAGAATAATTCTGTCACAGAAACTATGGTTTAACCTCCTTTAACAGAAGCAGCTGGAAACCCTGACCCTAAACTGTGAGCCCCCTACCAAATCTTAGGCATAAATTTGACAACGAAAGTTATCAAATCTTCTAACAAAAGCAATCCTCCCGCCTCAGCCCCCCAAGTAGCTGCAACTACAGGTATGTGCCACCATGCCTGGCTAACTTTTGTATTTTTTTGTAGAGACAGGGTATCACCATGTTGTTCAGGATGGTCTCAAACTCCTGGACTCAAGTGATCCACCTGCCTCAGCCTCCGAAAGTGCTAGGATTATAGGCATGAACCACTGCATCTGGCCTCTGTGGTTACATTTTTCTAGTGATTACTAAAACAAATACATCACTATTAAAATTAAAAATTTTCATTCATGTACCACCTGAAATCACCCCAGTGGTACACATACTACAATTTGGAAAATACCCTATTGTGTAAATAAAGACCACAGACTCAAAATTTTAAGTAAGGCTCTGTTGTTCACTAAAGTTGCAGGGAGGAGGAAGAAAGCACACCCACACAGCAGTGTCTCAATAACAAATATTCTTTTATATATCTTTTTTTCCATAAGTTATTGGGGTACAGGTGATATTTGGTTACATGAGTAAGTTCTTTATTGGTGATCTGTGAGATTTTGGTGCACTCATCACCTGAGCAGTATACACCACACCCTATTTGTAGTCTTTTATCTCTCACCCCACTCCCACACTTCCCCCAAAATCCCCGAAGTCCATTGTGTCATTCTTATGCCTTTGCGTCCTCATAGCTTAGCTCTCACATATCAGTGAGAACATACGATGTTTGGTTTTCCATTCTTGAACTAGTTCCCTTAGAATAATAGTCTCCAATCTTATCCAGGTCACTGCAAATGCCGTCAATTCATTCCTTTTTATGGCTGAATAGTATTCCGTTGTATAAATATACCACAGTTTCTTTATCCACTCATTGATTGATGGGCATTTGGGTTGGTTCCACGATTTTGCAACTGCAAATTGTGCTGCTATAAATATGCATGTGCAAGTATCTTTTTAATATAATGACTTATTTTCTTCTGGGTAGATACCCAGTAGTGGGACTGCTGGATCAAATGGTAGTTCTACTTTTAGCTCTTTAAGGAATGTCCACACTGTTTTCCCTAGCGGTTGCACTAGTTTACATTCCCACCAGCAGTGCAGAAGTGTTCCCTGTTCACCACATCCACACCAACATCTACTGTTTTTTTGATTTTTTGATTATGGCCATTCTTGCAGGAGTAAGGTGGTATCGCATTGTGGTTTTGATTTGCATTTCCCTAATCATTAGTGATGTTCAGTATTTTTTCATACGTTTGTTGGCCATTTGTGTATTTTTTTTTTTTTTTTGAGAATTGTCTATTCAGGTTCTTAGCCTACTTTTTGATGGGAGTGTTTGTTTTTTCCTTACTGATTTGTTTGAGTTCTTTGCAGATTCTGGGTGTTAGTCCTTTGTCAGACGTAGCAACTGTGAAGATTTTCTCCCACTCTGTGGGTTGTCTGTTTACTCTGCTGACTGTTCCTTTTGCCATGCAAAAGCTCTTTAGTTAAATTAAGTCCCAACTATTTATCTTTGTTTTTATTGCATTTGCTTTTAGCTCTTGGCCATGAAATCCTTGCCTAAGCCAATGTCTAGAAGGGTTTTTTCAATGTTATCTTCTAGAAATTTTTAAAGTTTCAAGTCTTAGATTTAAGTCCTAATCCACCTTGAGTTGATTTTTTTGTAAGATGAGATGAGGATCCAGTTTCACTCTTCTACATGTGGCTGGCCAATTATCCCAGCACCATTTGTTGAAAAGGGTATCTTTTCCCCACTTTATGTTTTTGTTTGCTTTGTCGAAGATCAGTTGGCTGTAAATATTTGAGTATATTTCTGGGTTCTCTATTCTGTTCCATTGATCTATGTGCCTATTTTTCTACCAGTACCATGCTGTTTTGGTGACTATGGCCTTATAGTATAGTTTGAAATCAGGTAGTGTGATGCCCCCAGATTTGTTATTTATGCTTAGTCTTGCTTTGGCTATGCAGAGTCTTTTTTGGTTCCATATGAATTTTAGAATTGTTTTTTCTAATTCTGTGAAGAATGATAGTGGTATTTTGATGTGGATTGTGTTGAATTTACAGATTGCTTTTGGCAGTATGGTTATTTTCACAATATTGATTCTGCCCATTATGAGCATAGGATGTGTTTCCATTTATTTGTGTCTTCTATGATTTCTTTCAGCAGTGTTTTGTAGTTTTCCTTGTAGAAGTTTTTCACCTCCCTGGTTAGGTATATCCCTGAGTATTTTTTTTTTTTTTTTTGGCAGCTGTTGTAAAAGGGGTTGAGTTCTTGATTTGATTCTCCGCTTGGTTGCTGTTCGTCTATAGATGAGCTACTGATTTATGTACATTAATCTTGTATCTGGAAACTTTGCTGAATTATTTTACCAGTTCTAGGAGCTTTCTGGAGGACTCTTTAGGGTTTTCAAGGTAAACGATCATATCATCAACAAAAAGTGACAGTTTGACTTCCTCTTTACCAATTTGGATGTCCTTCATTTCTTTCTCGTCTGATTGCTCTGGCTAGAACTTCCAGTACTCTGTTGAAGAATAGTGGTGAGAATGGGCATCCTTGTCTTTTTCCAGTTCTCAGAGGGAATGCTTTCAACTTTTCCCCATTCAGTATTATGCTGACTGTGGGTTTGTCATAGATGGCTTTTATTACATTGAGGTATGTCCCTTGTATGCCAATTTTGCTGAGTTTTAATCATAAAGTCTTGCTGGATTTTGTCCAGTGCTTTTTCTGCATCTATTAAGATGATCGTGTGATTTTTGTTTTTAATACTGTTTATGTGGTGTATAACATTTATTGACTTGTGTATGTTAAAACATCCCTGCATCCCTGCTATGAAACCCACTTGATCACGTTGGATTATCTTTTTGAAATGTTGTTGGATTCAGTTAGCTAGTATTTTGTTAAGGATTTTAGCATCTACGTTCATCAAGGATATAGGTCTGTAGTTTTCTTTTTTGGTTATGTCCTTTCCTGGTTTTGGTATTAGGGTGATGCTGGCCTCATAGAATGAATTAGGGAGGGTTTCCTCTTTCTCTATCTGTGGAATAGTGTCAAAAGGATTGGTACCAATTCTTATTTGAATGTCTGGTAGAATTCTGCCGTGAATACATCTGGTCCTGGACTTTTTTTGTTGGTAATTTTTTAATTACCATTTCAACCTTGCTGCTTGTTATTGGTTTGTTCAGGATATTTAATTCTTCCTGATTTAAGCTAAGAAGGTTGTATTCCTCCAGGAATGTATCCATCTCTTCTAGGTTTTCTAGTTTATGTGCATAAAAGTGTTCATAGTTGCCTTGAATGATCTTTTGTCTTTCAGTGGTGTCAATTTTAATATCTCCTGTTTCATTTCTTAATGAGGTTATTTGGATTTTTCTCTCTTCTTTTCTTGGTTAATCTTGCTAATGGTCTATCAGTTGTATTTATCTTTTCAAATAACCAGCTTTTTGTTTATCTTTTTTATTTTTTTGTTTCAATTTCATTTAGTTCTGCTTTGATCTTGGCTATTTCCCTTCTTCTGCTGGGTTTGGGTTTGGTTTGTTCTTGATTCTCTAGTTCCTTGAGGTGTTACCTTAGAATGCCAGTTTGTGCTCTTTCAGTCTTTTTTATGTAGGCATTTAGGACTATAAACTTTCCTGTTAGCACTCCCTTTGCTATATACCAGAGGTTTTGTATAGGTTGTGCCGTTATTGTCGTTCAGTTTGAAGAATTTTTTAATTTCCATCTTGATTTCATTTTTGACCCAATGCTCATTCAGGAGCACATTATTTAATTTCCATGTATTTGCATGGTTTTGAAGGTTCCTTTTGGAGTTGATTTCCAGTTTTATTCCACTGTGGTCTGAGAGAGTGTTTGATATAAATTCAATTTTCTTCTATTTATTGAGGCTTGTTTTATGGCGTATCATATATGGTCTATCTTGGAGAAAGTTCCATGCACTGTTGAATAGAATATGTATTCTGTGGTTGTTGGATGAAATGTTTTGTATATATCTGTTAAGCCCATTTGTTCCAAGGTATAGTTTAAATCCATTATTCCTTTGTTGACTTTCTGTCTTGATGACCTCTCTAGTGCTGTCAGTGGAGTACTGAAGTCCCCCACTATTATTGTATTGCTGTCTATCTCATTTCTTAGGTCAATTAGTAATTGTTTTATAAATTTGGGAGCTCCAGCATTGGTGCATATATGTTTATGATTGTGATATTTTCCTGTTGGACAAGGCCTTTTACCATTATATAGTGTCCCTCTTTGTCTCTTTGAACTACTGTTACTTTAAAGTTTGTTTTGTCTGATATAAGAATAGCTACCCCTGGCTAGGCACAGTGGCTCACGCCTGTAATCCCAGCACTTTGGGAGGCGGAGACAAGTGGATCAACTGAGGTCAGGAGTTCAAGACCAGCCTGGCCAACATAGTGAAACCCCATCTCTACTAAAAATACAAAAAATTAGCCAGCCGTAGTGGTGGGCACCTGTAATCCCAGATACTCAGGAGGCTGAGGCAGGAGAATCACTTGAACCTGGGAGGCGGAGGTTGCAGTAAGCCAAGATTGCACCACTGCACTCCAGCCTTCGCAACAAGAGCAAAATTTTGTCTCAAAAAAAAAAAAGAATAGCTACTCCTCTCACTTTTGGTGTCCATTTGCATAATTTTTCCTTTTTCCACCCCTTTAAGTTTATGTGAGTCCTTATGTGTTATGTGAGTCTCCTGAAGGCAGCCAACAGTTGGTTGGTGAGTTCTTATCCATTCTGCAGTTCTGTATCTTTTAAGTGGAGCATTTAGGCCATTTACTTTCAATATTGGTATTGAGATGTGAGGTACCCTTGCATTCATCATGCTATTTGTTGCCTGTGTACCTTGGATTTTTTGTTTTTGCTTTTTAACTTGTATTTTTGTTTTATAGGTCTTGTGTGATTTATGCTTTAAAGAGGTTCTGTTTTGATGTGTTTCCAGGATTTGTTTCAAGATTTAGAGCTCCTTTTAGCAGTTCTTTTAGTGGTGGCTTGGTAGTGGCAAATTTTCTCAGCATTTGTTTGTCTGAGAAAGACTGTATCTTTCCTTCATATATGATGCTTAGTTTCACTGGATACAAAATTCTTAGCTGATAATTGTTTTGTTTGAGGAAGCTGAAGATAGGGCCCCTGTCCCTTCTAGCTTGCAGGGTTTCTGCTGAGAAATCTGCTATTAATCTGATAGGTTTGTTTTTTTTTTTTTTACAGGTTACCCAGCGCTTCTGTCTCACAGGTCTTAAAATTCTTTCCTTTGTCTTAATTTTAGATAACCCAATGATAATGTGCCTAGGTGATGATCTTTTTGTGATGAATTTCCCAGGTGTTCTTTGTGCTTCTTGTATTTGGAGGTCTGGGTCTCTAGCAAGGCTGGGGAAGTCTTCTTCAATTATACCCCCAAATATGTTTTCCAAACTTTTAGATTTGTCTTCTTCCTCAGGAACACTGATTATTCTTAGGTTTGGTGATTTAACATAATCCCAGACTTCTTGGAGGCTTTGTTCATATTTTCTTATTCTTTTGTTTGTCTTTGCTGGATTGGATTAATTCAAAGACCTTGTCTTCAAGCTCTGAATTTCTTTCTTCTACTTGTTCAATTCTATTGCCGAGACTTTCCAGAGCATTTTGCATTTCTATAAGTGTGTCCAATGTTTCCTGAATTTTTTATAACTTCTTCTTTATGCTATCTATTTCCTTGAATATTTCTTCCTTCACTTCTTGTGTCTTTTCTTTTTTATTTCCTTACATTGGGCTTCACCTTTCTCTGGTGCTTCCCTGATTAGCTTAGTAACTAACTTCCTGAATTCTTTTTCAGGTAAATCAGGGATTTATTGGTTTGGATCCATTGCTGATAAACTAGTGTGATTTTTTGGTGGTGTTAAAGAGCCTTGTTTTGTCATATTACCAGAGTTGGTTTTATGGTGCCTTCTCATTTGGGTAGGCTCTGTCAGAGGGAAGGTCTAGGGCTGAAGGCTGTTGTTCAGATTCTTTTGTCCCACCGGGTGTTCCCTTGATGTAGTACTCTCCCCCTTTTCCTATGGATGTGGCTTCCTGTGAGCCAAACTGCAGTGATTATTGTCTCTCTTCTGGGTCTAGCCACCCAGCAAGTCTACCCAGCTCCAAGCTGGTACTGGGGGCTGTCTGCACAGAGTCCTGTGATGTGAACCATCTATGGGTCTCTCAGCCATGGATACCAGCACAGTATTTGGGGTGTCTCCTGGGTCCTGCAGGAGCAGTCTGCTTCCTTCAGAGGGTCTGTGGGTCCTCTCAGGATACTCTTTTATATATTTTCATGTGGAACAAATATGAAGAACTAGATTGGTGACTTGAGTAAGCCATATCAGGAGTCTTTTCCAAGAACTGCTTTTGTTAGCAATGAAGTGCCTCCTGGATTGAGGGATCCTGTGCAGAGAGGTCTCTTGTGACCAAAAGAACTGGGTACTTCTAGCAGGAGTGGGAAGTGGAATCTTCCTCAAATCACAGCTTGGAATTTTGTCACAGCATTACTATCCAACATCTCTGTATTTTCCCTTCCTCTGTCTTGCCAAAGACCTTGCCCCTACCTAAAGGAGAGGAAGTGGGACAGGAAAGAAAAGAAAAGGGGTAAGAAAGTCCCATCCTACCATGTCTGAATTGCATGGTCTTAGTCAGTCCCCATGACTTGCTGCTTCTTGCTTTGCAGAACAGAAAAAGCGGCCAACACACAGTATCATGGCCGTGCCATGGTATAAGACAGAATTCAGATAAAACCCAGTGGCAGCCTTTGTGGTGGACTTACCCACCTCCTCTCTGATGACTGACAGGGCACAGAAAGCAAGTGACTGATCTGGGTAGGAATGACAAACTGGGATGCTCCACCAAATCAGCAAAATAACACGTTGCCACCCAATGCTTCTGGCTGCAACATCCAGATCTGCCATCTCTCTCTTGTCTCACAATCATGTGTCTTTTGTATTTCAAAAGGACTGGCTAGACTTAAAGTGAATTTTTTACATATTAAGTATGTAAAGTCACCTCAAACTTTTGTGATTTTTTAATGATTATAAATGTAGTAGAAGGTTAATATAGAAATATTTTTTAATCTTTTTACTTTATATTTTCAAAATCTGAAAAGTATAAAGAAGAAAAATAATACCCAAAGTTAATATTATTGTTGTCATTTTAATTTTTTTTTTTTTGAGACATAGTCTTGTACTGTTGCCCGGGCTGGAGTGCAATGGCACAATCTCCACTCACTGCAGCCTCTGCCTCCCAAGTTTAAGCAATTCTCCTGCCTCAGCCTCCTGAGTGTCTGGGATTACAGGCGCCCACCACCACGCCTGGCTAATTTTTTGTATTTTTAGTAGAGATGGGGTTTCACTACGTTGGCCAGGCTGGTCTTGAACTCCTGAGCTTAAGCAATCTGCCAGCCTCAACCTCCCAAAGTGCTGGGATTACAGGTGTGAGCCACTACACCCAGCCCATTTTAATATTCTTCTCTCTAGTTTTTTTCTGTACATTTTCACAACCTTAAAAGATACTGGATTTTTAATTTTTATAAATATTTCTTGTAGTTTCTTTTGCTGTGCAGAAGCTCTTTAGTTTAATTAGATCCCATTTGTCAATTTTGGCTTTTGTTGCCATTGCTTTTGGTGTTTTGGACATGAAGTCCTTGCCCATGCCTATGTCCTGAATGGTAATGCCTAGGTTTTCTTCTAGGGTTTTTATGGTTTTAGGTCTAACGTTTAAATCTTTAATCCATCTTGAATTGATTTTTGTATAAGGTGTAAGGAAGGGATCCAGTTTCAGCTTTCTACATATGGCTAGCCAGTTTTCCCAGCACCATTTATCAAATAGGGAATCCTTTCCCCATTGCTTGTTTTTCTCAGGTTTGTCAAAGATCAGATAGTTGTAGGTATGCGGCGTTATTTCTGAGGGCTCTGTTCTGTTCCATTGATCTATATCTCTGTTTTGGTACCAGTACCATGCTGTTTTGGTTACTGTAGCCTTGTAGTATAGTTTGAAGTCAGGTAGTGTGAAGCCTCCGGCTTTGTTCTTTTGGCTTAGGATTGACTTGGCGATGTGGGCTCTTTTTTGGTTCCATATGAACTTTAAAGTAGTTTTTTCCAATCCTGTGAAGAAAGTCATTGGTAGCTTGATGGGGATGGCATTGAATCTGTAAATTACCTTGGGCAGTATGGCCATTTTCACAATATTGATTCTTCCTACCCATGAGCATGGAATGTTCTTCCATTTGTTTGTATCCTCTTTTATTTCCTTGAGCAGTGATTTGTAGTTCTCCTTGAAGAGGTCCTTCACATCCCTTGTAAGTTGGATTCCTAGGTATTTTATTCTCTTTGAAGCAATTGTGAATGGGAGTTCACTCATGATTTGGCTCTCTGTTTGTCTGTTGTTGGTGTATAAGAATGCTTGTGATTTTTGTACATTGATTTTGTATCCTGAGACTTTGCTGAAGTTGCTTATCAGCTTAAGGAGATTTTGGGCTGAGACGATGGGGTTTTCTAGATAAACAATCATGTCGTCTGCAAACAGGGACAATTTGACTTCCTCTTTTCCTAATTGAATACTCTTTATTTCCTTCTCCTGCCTGATTGCCCTGGCCAGAACTTCCAACACTATGTTGAATAGGAGCGGTGAGAGAGGGCATCCCTGTCTTGTGCCTGTTTTCAAAGGGAATGCTTCCAGTTTTTGCCCATTCAGTATGATATTGGCTGTGGGTCTGTCATAGACAGCTCTTATTATTTTGAAATACGTCCCATCAATACCTAATTTATTGAGAGTTTTTAGCATGAAGGGTTGTTGAATTTTGTCAAAGGCTTTTTCTGCATCTATTGAGATAATCATGTGGTTTTTGTCTTTGGCTCTGTTTATATGCTGGATTACATTTATTGATTTGCGCATATTGAACCAGCCTTGCATCACAGGGATGAAGCCCACTTGGTCATGGTGGATAAGCTTTTTGATGTGCTGCTGGATTCGGTTTGCCAGTATTTTATTGAGGATTTTTGCATCAATGTTCATCAAGGATATTGGTCTAAAATTCTCTTTTTTGGTTGTGTCTCTGCCCGGCTTTGGTATCAGAATGATGCTGGCCTCATAAAATGAGTTAGGGAGGGTTCCCTCTTTTTCTATTGATTGGAATAGTTTCAGAAGGAATGGTACCAGTTCCTCCTTGTACCTCTGGTAGAATTCGGCTGTGAATCCATCTGGTCCTGGACTCTTTTTGGTTGGTAAACTATTGATTATTGCCCCAATTTCAGCTCCTGTTATTGGTCTATTCAGAGATTCAACTTCTTCCTGGTTTAAGAAACTACCATCAGAGTGAACAGGCAACCTACAACATGGGAGAAAATTTTCGCAACCTACTCATCTGACAAAGGGCTAATATCCAGAATCTACAATGAACTCAAACAAATTTACAAGAAAAAAACAAACAACCCCATCAAAAAGTGGGCGAAGGACATGAACAGACACTTCTCAAAAGAAGACATTTATGCAGCCAAAAAACACATGAAAAAATGCTCATCATCACTGGCCATCAGAGAAATGCAAATCAAAACCACTATGAGATGTCATCTCACACCAGTTAGAATGGCAATCATTAAAAAGTCAGGAAACAACAGGTGCTAGAGAGGATGTGGAGAAATAGGAACACTTTTACACTGTTGGTGGGACTGTAAACTAGTTCAACCATTGTGGAAGTCAGTGTGGCGATTCCTCAGGGATCTAGAACTAGAAATACCATTTGACCCAGCCATCCCATTACTGGGTATATACCCAAATGACTATAAATCATGCTGCTATAAAGACACATGCACACGTATGTTTATTGCGGCATTATTCACAATAGCAAAGACTTGGAACCAACCCAAATGTCCAACAATGATAGACTGGATTAAGAAAATGTGGCACATATACACCATGGAATACTATGCAGCCATAAAAAATGATGAGTTCATGTCCTTTGTAGGGACATGGATGAAATTGGAAATCATCATTCTCAGTAAACTATCGCAAGAACAAAAAACCAAACACCGCATATTCTCACTCATAGGTGGGAATTGAACAATGAGATCACATGGACACATGAAGGGGAATATCACACTCTGGGGACTGTGGTGGGGTGGGGGGAGCGGGGAGGGATAGCATTGGGAGATATACCTAAGGCTAGATGACGAGTTAGTGGGTGCAGCGCACCAGTATGGCACATGTATACATATGTAACTAACCTGCACAATGTGCACATGTACCCTAAAACTTAAAGTATAATAAAAATATATATATATATATATTTCTTGTAAAAATATTTAATTTTCTGTTTTATGAAAGTATGATGTGTTCATGAGAGAGATAAAAATAACCACTCATGATCCCACCTCCAGGAGACAATGATCATTAATATTTTTATTAGTTTAAGTATAGTATTTATTATCCTGACTCATTTACCTTTCTACATAGCATTAAAATTTCTGTAAACATCATTTAGTTAGGGGAGAGGAGGTCACAATTAACATTTTTAAAAGTTAGGCTTATTAAAATATAATTTATATATAGTAAAATTCACCCTTTTTAGGTGGGCAGGATGATGAGCTTTGACAAATATATAGAGTTGAGTGACCACCACCCAAATCAAGATGTATGTCATCAATACATGTTAACCTCTCCCTGTAAAAACAATCACTCTCTGAAAACCTATCCACCTGAAATTGTCCTCTGTATGGGATAGGAGCTCAATAATGGCAGGATAAATTTATAAATGATAGACAGGGAGACGGACATAGCTAGTGTCAGTATGCGGATATGAGACGTTTAATGTTAGAGTAGGTAGATAGGCAGATATGAGCAGGGCAGGATAGGGCCCCAAAGAATGTCAGGTGACTGTCAGGCAATTATCAGGCAGCTGGCAACAGGGAGAGGGAAATTTCCTAACAGGACATATCTTGAGCTTACGAGCAAGAACTTCCTAATAAGAACTACAAATAGTAGAGTTTGACTTTCCTCTGGGGACATGTCCAGGCATGCACAGAAAGGGGCAAAGTGGCAGAGTTTGACCTGGATATGACCTTCCTCCGGGAACACTAGACCTGTAAGGCAAAACTGCCCTAAGAGAGCATGTGCATAACTTCAGCCACCAAATGGCATATGTGGCCCCACCCAGATAATGGCAAAACGCTGTGTAGGCACTGATTAGCCAACAGCCTGCCCAGAGGGAGGGATGAAAGGAAAAGACTAGGGGAAAAAAAAAAACAGAAAATAGTAAATCTATAGAGCCCTGAACCAACCATCAGGCAAGGCACTTAATCTTTCCAGTTGCCTACTTGGTTCCTTCCAAGTGTACTTTTCTTTGCTTCAATAAACTCTCCTTTCTGCCTTAAATCTACTCTGTCTCTTGGCCGAATTCTTTTTCCCAAGAAGACAAGGATCAAGCACTGTGGAGCCTGCCCAGACTTGCCGCCAGTAACATTACGAAGCCAGCCTGACTGGATGTGAATTCTTTTTCTCCACTTATTGTGTGAATTTGGAAAATTAAAACTTCCTTAGTGGCAATTTCCTCATGTATAAAATGAGGAAAATAAAAACTACTTGAGAGAGGTATCCTGAGTATAATAAAGTAACACATGCAAAGGGCTTAGAATACAACCTTGCACAAAGTAAACAACTGATCAATGGTAGTTATTATCATTTTTACAATAACAATAATAATAAGCAAAATATTCGATATTCTTGCATCTTGGAAAGAGTCAGGCCAACCTGGGTTTGATTTCTGGCTTTTCCTTCAAGTAGTTGATAGGTCTTTTGCTATGTAACCTGGCTTGAGAAATAGGTTGAGGGTTAAATGAGATATATTCATTCATTCATTCAATAGACAATTATTGGGTACCTACCGTGTGCCAGGCTCTGTTCTAGACACTGAGGATATAGAAGTGGACAAAACAAAGTTTCACTCCTAATAGAGATTATACTATAGTGAGGAAACAGGTAATAAACAAATAGATATATGATAAACTCTCACACACGGATAAGTGAAGAGAAAAAAGGCAGAGAAAAAAGAGTGTGTTGTTTTTGATATGGTGATATATAAGCATCGCCCTTAAGGAAATGAGGGAGGGTGCCATGCACGTTTCTGGGAAGAGCATTCTGGATGCAAGGAATAGCAGGGCAAAGGCCCAGGTGAAATGAGCCTGTCATGTCAAAGGAGAAGTACCTGAAGTAAAGTGCTGGAGAAAGGGAAGTTAAAAGAGGTGAAAGAGGCCACACGCAGTGGCTCATGCCTGTAATCCTAGCACTTCGGGAGGCTGAGGTGGGCAAACTGCTTAAACTCAGGAGTTTGAAACCAGCCTGGGCAGCATGGCAAAACCCCATCTCTACAAAAAATACAAATAGTAGCCATGCATGGTGATGCATCCCCATAGCCCCAGCTACGTATGTGACTGAGGCGGGAGGATCGCTTGAGCCTGGGAGGTCAAAGCTGTACTGAAGTGAGCCATGTTCATGCCACTGCACTCCAGCCTGGGTGACAAAGCGAGACCCTGTGTCCAAAAAAAAAGGAAAGATCAGAGAAACACCAGGGGCCAAATCACTTAAGCCTGGGAATTCTAAGAGGGATAGGAAGCCACTGGAGGGTTTTAAGCAGGAGCTTGTGTTGATCAATTTGCATTTTAAAAGGATTACTCAGGTAACTGTTTAGCAAATAGTCTATAGGAAGATACAGTAGGCTGGTAGGCAGCCAGAATTGACTGGCCCTGTTTGAGAGATGCTATGATATGGTAACAGGTCAGATCAGGTGGCAGAATCCAAACAACTCAAAAATATCTATGACCTGTTGGGATAAATTATGTCCCCCCCCAAAAAAAGATATATCGAAAGCCTTGGCCCGGTGAGCTGGCTCACACCCATAATTCCAGCATTTTGGAAAGCCTAGGTGGGAGGATCACTTGAGGTCAGGAGTTCAAGACTAGCCTGGCCAACATGGTGAAACTCCATCTCTACTAAAAATTCAAAAATTAGCCGGCTGTGGTGGTGGTGGCTGCCTGTAATCTCAGCTACTTGGGAGGCTGAGGCAGGAGAATCACTTGAACTCAGGAGGCAGAGGTTGCAGTGAGTCGAGATCATGCCACTGCACTCCAGCCTGGGCAACAGAACAAGATTCTGTCTCAAAAAAAAAAAGACTAATCCCCAGTACCCCGCAAGGTGACTATATTAGTCCATTTTCAAGCTGCTGATAAAGACATACCTGAGACTGGGAAATTCACAAAAGCAAGAGGTTTATTGGACTTACACTTTCATGTGGCTGGAGAGACCTCACAATCATGGCGGAAGGTGAAAGGCACATCTCATATGGCAGCAGACAAGAGAAGAGAGCTTGTGTAGGAAAACTCCCCTTATAATAACCATCAGAACTCATGAGACTTACTATCATGAGAACAGCATGGGAAAGACCTGCCCCCATGATTCAATCATCTCCCACTGGGTCCCTCCCACAACACACGGGAATTATGGGAGTTATAAGATGAGATTTGGGTGGGGACACAGAGCCAAACCATATCGGTGACATTATTTGGAAATGGGATCCTTATAATTAGTTAAGATGAGGTCATACTGGATTAGGGTGGGCCCCTAATCCAACACAGCTGATGTCCTCATAAGAAGACAGCCATGTAAAGACAGAGACACAGTGAGAACACCATGTGAAGACAGAGGAAGAGATTAGAGTTATGCTGTCACAAGCCAAGGAACACCAAGGATCTACGGCCACCACCAGGAGCCAAGAAGAGGCAACCAAGTATCACCCCCACAGGACTTGGAGGAGGCACAACCCTACCAGCACCTTGATTTTGGACTTCTAGCCTCCTAAAGTGAGAGAATAAGTTTATGTGGTTTAAGGCCTCTCTGTTTGTAGTACTCTGTTATAGCAGCCCAAAGAAACCAATACAGTACCTATAAATGGTCCTTCTTCTCCACCCACTGCCTGCAAGTTTGGAGGATGCTGGAGTCAACCAACAAACCCCGTCCTTCAGCACTAACACAGCCTCATACTCATAAAGATGATTAGGGAACACTGATGGCTATGACAATGGTGATTTATTTTTCCTTTGTCGTTTCCAGTACACAAAAGGCAAATCTGTGCTGAAGACACCAGAAATCTTTCCAATTAATGCTAATGGGTGACCAGCTCTGTTTCACTCCTTGGGAAACAAGGCCACTAAGAGGAAGTTATCAGTAAGAAATTTATGTTTTAGTAGCATGTTTAATTATGATACACCATGACTGTCTCTTGCACCAGAATTTAGCATGCAAGATTTACAGCTCTTAGCACAATTTTTGCCTTTGTTGTCTCAAAGAGCCTTGTTTCTGATGTTTTATTAGACTAGCAACCTCTGTTCAATTGTGTCATACTGCCCCCTACTGCTTTGATCTTATCATCTCATGCTGGCTGCTATTATTTTGAGTTGGTTTTCAGGATGTGTGGTCTTTTTTTGCCAGGGTCTGAACACCTGCCCACTCTCACACCCCGAAGAACACAAAACATTGGGATGGTGGAGAAGGGAGTGGGAATCTCATTTTTTTCTTTTAATACAACCATTGAACAACCACAAATACATCTATATAGTTCTAAAGCACACCATCTGACTTGTTTAAGCTTACAAGAGATACTAAGTTTCTAGAATAAGAGCACATCAGATTCTTTATTTCTTGAAGGTGGAGAACATCTTCAAGAGATATCCTCACTTTTCATGAGATGAAATTTTTTTAAGGGAAGCTGATGAAATTTTAACTAATCCAACCAGCCAGAGGAAAGCCATATTACAAAAGGGGCCTCAGAGGAAAGTGGGATTTCTTTTCTGCTTCAAAGGCATAGATGGCAATGCTATGAAAAAGCGGCCTGCAGGCGAGGGTCAGAGCGCACCCCACACCCACACAGCCACCAGCCACCCTGAGATGGTGTGTGTACCAGCCATCCCAGCCCCAGCCCCACCCCTAGCCCCCTCTGCCGTTCCTCCTTTGCCTGTGTTCTCTTCCAAAGGTGATAGGTCAGCCCTCAGCCAGGAAGAAAAGTGGCTGAGGGTCAGGAAAAGGGTATAGGGTTACATAGGATTACATTAGTAAGGAACCTAGAAATGAGCCATTTGGGCTTCGTAACACAAATTGGTTCTCAAGGTATTCGGCGGGCGGTGGGTGGGAGGTCCTCTCAACCAAAAAATCTCAGAACCAATTCCTCCGACTCTGCTAGTGGATTTAGCTTTTGTTTTTGTTTTAATTTAGGCTGGGTGCAGTGGCTCACGCTTGTAATCCCAGCACTTTTGGGAGGCTGAGGCAGGAGGACTGCTTCAGCCCAGGAGTTCAAAACCAGCCTGGGCAATACAGTGAGACCCTGTCTCTATTAAAAAAAAAAAAAAAAATTTTAAACAAAACCACCTGGCCTCATAGCAGGGCAGCTTCCCTAATTCCTGATGTTGCCTGTTTCCGACCCGCAGAACTCCAATGGTCCATGGCTTGCGCTGCTCTTACCCGGCCTTCCCATGGATGACTACTTAACTGGATCATCTGAGCTTTGCTTCCATGCGACCACACATATTCTCCTGCCACAGATTTGGTACACTTTGGCATACACTGTAGGCCTGTGACCAGCTCTCAGTCTGGTTTCCTGGGACGCTTGTCACCACTGGAGCTTTGTTCAGATCCCTGAGCCACATGCACACACCTTTATTCTCTGTGCAACTGCCTTGTGTCCTGCCCTGTCTGGGCCGGCAGCCTCCAGCGGGGCTTGCGGGGCAGGGGAGGATTCTTTTACTCTGCCTGCACCATTTACTCCTCGGCTTGTGCTTGGAGAAGTGCTCTCTCCCAGGGATCACAAAGGAGAGCAGGCATGGGGGAGGGGGTGGAGAATGCCGCAAGAGAACATTTACCCTTCCTGCACTGTGCCAGACAAACGTAGAACCTATTCCATAAAAGATTTTTTATGTTGCATGGTCCAAGAGAATAGCCCAGCTGCTATCTTTGGCTCTCCTCCATTTCTCACTCCCATTCATAAAATCTTTAGAGAAGGCCATGTGCTGCTTTCTCACAGAGAGGATCAAGTTGTGCTCCAACCCAGAATATAGTTTCATTTGGATGCAGGTGGCTATAAGGGCCCTGAACAGTCTGTCTTTCTAACTACTCTGTCTGTCTACTCTAATTCTTCCTACCTAATTATCCCCCATCATGAATCAATAAATCATATGCCGAGCCTCTCTAAAGACCCAACACCATGAAGAAGCTGAGGGACCACAGAGTTTACCAAACCTCTGGTATTCATGGATTTAGCATTCACAGTGGTACCAAAGACCCATGACCTATAGCAATTTGTCTTTTGCTGAGACTCAAATTTGAATGTTGAACACCATAACACCAGTGTTTGGGAGACAATCACTTGGTGAGTGAGCCTAGTTGGCCTAGTTAGCTTTTTTTTTTGAGACAGAGTCTCACTCTGTCACACAGGCTGGAGTGCAGTGGCACAATCTCGGCTCACTGCAACCTCCGCCTCCCAGGTTCAAGCAATTCTCCTGCCTCAGCCTCCCAAGTAGCTGGGATTACAAGTGCCCACCACCATGCCCTGCTGCTTTTTGTATTTGTAGTACAGATGGGGTTTTGCCATGTTGGCCAGGCTGGTCTCGTACTCCTGGCTTCAAGTGATCTGCCCACCTTGGCCTCCCAGAGTGCTGGGATTACAGGCGTGAGCCATCACGCCCGGCCCCTAGTTAGCTATTCTAAAATCACAATGTTATAATTATTTTTTTCAATTTGCCATATGCCAGGTACTATACTAATTATTGCCTCTATGTTATCTCACTTAGCCATGATTATAGCAACCTCATTCCCATTTTATAGGTGAGAAAACTGAGATTCAGAGGTTAAGAAATTTGCTCAAGATCATACACCTAGTCAACGTGATTGAGCAAGACCATAGAGCTAGTGTGATTAAAATCACATAGCTGTTATAGTTAGTGTGATTAAGATCACATAGCTACTTGGTGTGATTTGAGCAAGATCACAGAGCTAGTTACAGTGATTAAGCGATCACAGAGCTAGTATGATTGGGGCTAGCTGAGCAGGAATTTGGTCCCAGCTCTGTCTTACTCCAAAGGTCAAGCAGTTAACCATCTCAATTCTCCCTCCTATGTCATTCTCTCCTCACTTCAGGGCACACAGCAGTGGTCATAAAGCCATCAGAATGTTGTTACCACATGGAAAATGGCACTAAGTGCTAGAGATACTTTTAGTGAATGTTGAAAGAGCTGTTTGTGGTATGAGAACGCACAAAGATTACACTTGGCTCTGAATGGAATACACGTTGGAAAAGGTGAAGAGCCTGAACAAAAACAACTCCACTTTTACAAATCAGAGAATTCTGAAAGATCCGGGATGTCAAGGTTGTTAGACACACAGAAAGAAACAGGGGTCTATATGCAGCTGTATATGAATATCAATATAGATATATAGATAAGGCATATTTGTCCTGCTCTCAAGAGTCTCACACCATTAGCTCACCATGAAAAAGAACAATTCTGCAGTAGGCTGGGCACAGTGGCCCACACCTGTAATCTTAGCACTTTGGGAGGTCAAGCCAGGTGAATCAATTCAGGTCAGGAGTTTGAGACCAGCCTGGCCAACATGGCGAAACGCTGTCTCTACTAAAAATACAAAAATTAGCTGGGCTTCATGGCATGCACCCGTAGTCCCAGCTACCTGGATGGCTGGGGCAGAAAGATGGCTTGAACCTGGGAGGTCGAGGTTGTGGAGGTTGTGGTGAGCCGAGATGGTGCCACTGCACTCCAGCCTGGGTGACAAAGTGAGACCCTATCTTAAAAAAAAAAAAAAAAAAAAAGTCTGCAGTGGCTGACCACTGAAGGCATTCACAAAGAGAAGGGCATGGAAGCAATTGGAGATGTGCCTGAAGAAGTAAATCTTGAGTTAGGCCTTAGAGTTAGGCACACAGTTTAGCTGCGTAGAGGAAAGAAAAGAGAGCTTTTAGGCACATGAAATAGACTGAGACAAGACTCAGAGACATAAACGAACGTAACAGACACAGGCAATTGTAACCCAGTGCATAAGCTCCACGAGGGCAGGACCTGTGTCTCAGCTTACCAGTATCTCCAGAGACTAGCACTGGCTAGGCACTCCGAAACTATTTGTTGGTAAAACAAAGAAAGGAAAAAAGAAGGGAAGGGCAGAGGAGAGCAAGAGAGAGAAGCGAAGAAAGACTAAACAAGGAATCAACATGTTTGTGCAGAAAAGGGGAATAGGTTGGTAGGATCGGGATCGGGTGGAGTGGAGGTAGGCAGGGCCTTGACTAGAGTCAGGGCAAGGAGCCTATGAAAGTAGGAGGCAAGAGGAGGCAGATGAGAGCACGCTAGAAGCCACGGAATATGAACCAGCGCATCTACGGGGTGAAGACTCCGTGGGAGGGGACACAGCCCGGAGGCTGGGAGAGCCCTTAGTAAGCTAGCGTGGCAGTCTAGACACAAGAGGAAGAAGAGAGGATGACCTACAGGGATGGCAGAAGGAATGGGAGAAGGGATGAAAAAATTGAAGAGCCTATTGAAGGGGAAAAATCTATCCCATGTTGATAACAGTTGCATTGGTAGAGATGATAGGGAGAAATTTCTTGTGGGAAGCTTAGAAAAGTGGTAGCACACTTAGAAATGGGGAAGTTAATATGGTATAAGAAGACGTAATATGGTTTGGATCTGTGTCCCTGCCCAAATCTCATGTTCAGTTGCAATCCCCAGTGTTGGAGGTGGGTCTGGTGGGAGGTGACTGGATCATGGGAATGGATTCTTCACGAATGGTTTTGGCTTCATCCCCTTGGTGCCATTCTCATGATAGTGAGTGAATTCTTGTGAGATCTGGTCATTTTTAAAGTGTGTAGCACTTGCCCCATCTCTCTTTTGCTCCTGCCCCTGCTATGTAAGATGCCTGTTCCCTCTTTGCCTCCCGCCATGATTGGAAGTTTCCTGAGGCCTCCCCAGAGGCAGAAGCTGCTATGCTTCCTGTACAGATTGCAGAACCATGAGCCAATTAAGCCTCTTTTCTGTATGAATTACCCAGTCTCAGGTATTCTTTTATAGCAATTGGAGCATGGACTAATACAAGAGGTAAAAGAGGCTGGCTGGGCCCGGTGGCTCATGCCTGTAATCCCAGCACTTTGGGAGGCCAAGGCGGGTGGATCACCTGAGGTCAGGAGTTCAAGACCAGCCTGGCCAACATGGCAAAACCCTGTCTCTACTGAAAATACAAAAATTAGCCAGGCGTGGTGGTGGGTGCCTGTAATCCCAGCTACTCAGAGGCTGAGACAGGAGAATCACTTGAACCTGGGGTGGGGGCGGGGGCGGGGGCAGGGGGTGCGGAGGTTGCAGACAGTGAGTGGTGATGGCGCCAGTTCACTCCAGCCTGGGCAAAAGAACGAAACTCCATCTCAGAAAAAAAAAAAAAAGAGGTAAAAGAGATACTAAGTTCAGTATGTACATGATATATACCTTTTTCTATTTTTTTGAAACGGAGTCTTGCTCTATCACCCAGGCTGGAGTGAAGTGATGAGATCTCAGCTCACTACAAGCTCCGCCGCCACCCCCACCCCAGGCTCAAGTGATTCTCCTGCTTCAGCCTCCTGAGTAGCTGGGATTACAGGCACTTGCCACCACTTCCAGCTAATTTTTGTATTTTTAGTAGAGACAGGGTTTTGCCATGTTGGCCAGGCTGGTCTCAAACTCCTAACCTCAGGTGATCCACCCACCATGGCCTCCCAAAGTGCTGGGATTACAGGCGTGAGCCACCACACCCCGCCAGACATAGAATTTTAAAAGCTCAAATATAGATCTAAATCTATAGATAACATTCTGCATAGTTGAGTCCACGAGTTTGTTCATGGTTTTATACAAAGGTATGTTTGTGGGGTCAATATATATGGTATGGCCACTAAGCAATTTGAATCGAACTATAGAATTTCAGAATTGGAAGAAACACAAGATTGTCTAACACTTATCTGATACACAGCAGACATATTCAGAACACTCATGCAGTGCACAGCAGTGTTTGTCAACTAGCATCTGTTTGGATAACGTGCAGTGAATACAGCTCACTTCTCTTCGTGTGGTTGGACAGCTCTGTTTGTTAGAAAGTTTTCCCTAATATTGACATCTTTGACGAAGTGAAGCTTACTTACACCCTAATGATTAAGAGCCTAAATTTGGCAATTTTAAAAAATAGGTGAGAAAAATATTGCTACTCTTCCAATATCGACTCTCCCCTTCTTCCTTGGGAAAAAAAAAATCAAAAATTAATGGGACACATGTCTGTCCAGAAAATGACTACCTTCCCCAGATTCGCTCCCAGGTAGTTTGCCATATGACCTAGCTTTGACCAAAAAGATGAAAGCAGAAGTGATGTGGAGAATTTCAGGGTCCATGCCCTAAAAGGAAAGGAGCTTGCATTGCATTTGCCTCTTTTTCCTCCTTGCTGTTTAAAATGTTAGTGGGATGCTGGCAGCTGGAACAGCTATCTTGAATAAAATGAAAGGTGCACATTGAGGATGGCAGAACAAAAGCTAGAAAGAGTCTGAGACTCTCACCTTCTCAACCACAGACCCTCATGGGAAAGTAATAATGTTCCATTTTGTTTAAGTTATTTTATTTGGGTTTCTGTTATAGCAGCCAAATTATATGCTACTTAATGCTGTGAGTTCTCATCTCTGGATCTGTCATTTACTAACAAGTTACTTAACTTCTCTGAGCCTCATTTTCTTCATCTGTAAAGGTTATCCTACCCCATAGGGTTGCAGAAGAAATTAGTGCACTGAACTGCACTTAGCACAGTGAAGAGTTAATAAATTGTAGCTGTTATTGTTACTACTTTTTTTTTTTTTTTAGAGACAGTTTCTCATGCTATCACCCAGGCTGGAGTGCAGTAGTGCGATCATGGCTCAATGTAACCTCAAATTCCTGAGCTCAAATGATCCTCTCACCTCAGTAGCTAGGACTACAGATGTATGCCTCCATGCCCAGATATTCTTTAATTTTTTGCAGAGCAGGGGTCTTGCTGTATTGCCCAGGCTGGTCTCAAACTCCTGCCCCCAAGCAATCCTCCCACCTCCCACCATGACCTCTCAAAGCAATCAGGATTACAGGTGAGAGCCACAATACCCAGCCTACTACTACTATTTATTAATATAAACATTAGCTAACTCAAAAATAAATCTAATCAACTAGAATTCCTTAGAAGTACAAAAAAAATTTTACTGAACTTCAATATAGTAGTTGAGGATGAGTTTATTAATCTGAACAACTCTGACATAGAATAAATGTCTTCATTTCATAGTCAAGAAGCCCAGAAAGGTACAGAAACTAGCTTGGAGCAATACAACAAGTAAGCGGCAAAGCCTGAATTAATTTTATATCCTTCATCCCCTTGAGGGTCAATCATTTGAGGAGCAGGCAATAGGACAGGAGGGTGTGTGTGGGGGTGTGTGTGTGTGTGTGTGTGTGTGTGTGTGCCAAATACTGTCCAGGAATTTCCCTGTGTCTTTTCAACACCCAACCTCCTATGTTTCTAAAGTACCCAAAAGTCATCACCATGGGAAGGGGCTGGACACTTCCTTTGGGAAGAGGCTGTTCCGTCACTACTCAGGGTGTCTCTCCAGCACTTTGCAAGTCTCTCACTAATTGAGAAGGTGCCAGTGTTTTCCTTCTATATGAGGGAATATCTAAGCACACAATGCTAGGCCACCCTAAGTTACTGTCCTATCATCCTTCCCTAAGTTCCTTCATTTTCTCAAAGTTTTACCTTTTTCCTTTCCTTCACACAGCTAAAATCTTAACAGAGAGAGCACTACCTTTAAAACACTGCTCAGTTCTCTTTGTCCAAAAGTTACCTTTATGTAGGCTATAAAAAGCATTAAGAGACAAGAAACACTAAATATTTGAGGATCGATGAATGGTTGTGGGGACAGAAGGAAGGAAGGATGCAGTGATAAAACCTCCTAAAAATAACCATATCATCTGGCAAAATCAAGAAAATGTTCTGTTACAAGGAGAGACACATGAAAAGGGACAGTTAAGTTGTTAAAAGATAAATTTTGGTTTCAAAGGGAAACTTTTTCATAAAACTAAGACATTCTCACTGCAAAACACATTGTCGTTTCACAAAAACAAAGAAATAAAACTTCCCTTTGTTTTGACTCCACAGCTTTGCTGCCTAGAAGTAACCATGCCTCTTATTTCCTTCTAGAAATTATCTTTCACATACAATACTATATATATTACACATGCCTGTGTACATATGCCCATAAAATTATGTTTTTTCTTCTTGCATTATTTCTAAAATGGACCATAAAAAACTATTTCTTAAATTCTGATTCTTAAAGCAAAACTCCCTGCTTTAAAACAAGCAGTACAAGCCTCACACATGACAATGTAAGGTCTTCACAAGAATCAGCAAAAGTCCAGGTATTCTGTGAAACAGAAATAATCAAATGCCGCAAAATATTTAATTTCCTATTCCAGGAATGTGAAACAGGTGTAATTAAAATAACACTTTTTTAATTAAGTGACCTCTCTTGACCAATCATCTGTGAATAATTCAGATTTCTCCCTTATTATTACTGTAAAATTGAAACGAGGTCATATAAACAGGAAGATCCTCTTTAACTATCTTTAAGCACCAGCAATATATATTTTCCACCAGTTAAAATCCTTAATGATACAAAAAATCTGTCAAGCATAACTCCCCCAATTCATTTGCCTGAAACCATCAATATTTTATCATGCACTTGCAGTTGGCTTTAATTTAACAGTCCAGGTTACTAATCAAACAAAACACCCAAGTCATTAAAAGTTAGCGTGCCATTTAGAAAGTGCATTTCAGGTTTATTAAAATATCTTTCATGCAGCCATTAGAAACCTAAAGTTTTAATTACAATCAGATATTTAGTTCTACTCTGGTTATGCATTTGGCACTCTCTTACAACTGCCCTGAT
The DNA here is from genome assembly GCF_000001405.40 of Homo sapiens. Classification (NCBI taxonomy): domain Eukaryota; kingdom Metazoa; phylum Chordata; class Mammalia; order Primates; family Hominidae; genus Homo; species Homo sapiens. The sequence continues at coordinate 34,309,939 of NC_000014.9, forward strand.
TAATCTTCCAGACCAAGTTCATCCATTACCTCCTGAAATTATTTTCCTCTCAACTTCTCCAGAATTCATCTTTCTACTCCACCCACCACAAATAAGTAAAATGCATTTTAAAGGTGTGCAGAATAACTACCCAAAAGATAACTTATTTAAAAGACTTCATTTCAAATATCATTTACCCCTCATAAAATTCCAAAGACGCATCATTCAAAAAGACAAATTGAAATTGAAAATTAGCCCTTCATGTCTTTATTGTCAGTTTTCATTATACATTTTTCTTTCTAATGATAGGGAAATTTCAACAAGCATTTTCTTACAGTTTTCTAACTGAGTGTCCTTTTCCTTTACCTTTCCAATTTTTCCTACTTCTCTTCCTGCCCTGGCTTACCCTAACGTTCTCTGAAGGGGATTAGCAACATATAAAACATCAGATTTCATGTTAAAGCTAGCTCCTCTGAATTTCAGCATTTAGACCCTCCATTATCACAGTTACTGTAGGTTAAAATACATTTTAGATGGGATTTAGGACTGATGGTATGGAATCACTTTTAATTTCAAATCCATTAAGGCCTAACCCCTTTATATTTCCTTTAAAATTTGTTTGAAAACTAGAAATTTTCTTTTTTTTTTTTTTAAGTTTATCTGTCTCTATCCATAGCTTATCAGAAGTGGCTCAAAGGAATCAGTTGGCATCTTCAACATTCTGCCAGGAAATCTTTCTGCCCAAATCCACCAGTTTGCTAGGTTTATTTTCTATTTTCCACATTATTACAGATAACAATGTTGCCAAATTTTTCTCCACAAGGATCACATTTTTTCCCACCTCCAAACCCAATTTTCTCCATGTCCTTCCATATTCCACCAGCAGTCTTTTCAATGGCCTCCCAGCTTTTACGAACTGGCTCCTCAAGGACTTCCAGCTTCTGCCAACTGCCCAGCCCTAAAGCCAATGTCACATGCATTAGGGTTTTATTAGCACCCCACTCCCAGGTACCAAATTCTGTTCCAGTTATCTATTGCTGCTTAACTAACAGCTTAAAACAACCTACATCATGTCTCATGATTCTATGGGTCAGGAATTTGATCAAGACTTGGTTGGGCAGTTCCTTTTATCTACAAGGCATCAACTGCCATCAGTGAGGCTACCTGCTGGTAATCAGCTCATAAATGGGCTGGTTGGAGAGTCCAAGATGGCTTCAGTAGCATGTCTGTCACCTTTGTGGGGATGGCCTGGAAGGCTGGGCTCAACCGGGACTATTGCATACTAAGACTCCAACATGGCGGTCTCTGGGTATGTGGACTTCTTACGTGTTGGCTCAAGACCCCAGAGAAAGCTTTCCAAGAAAAAGAAGTAAAAACTACCAGTCTTTTATGGCATGGGCTCAGAAACTGGCACACTGTCACTTCTACCATATTCTTTTAGTCAAACAATTATAATGAACAGATTGAAGGAGCAGAGACTCAGATTTTACCTGTCAATGAGAGGAGTGTTAAAAACTTTGTAGCCATTTTTAATCTACCACAAATTCTTTAAGCTGGGTATTCTTATTCTTATTTTACAAATGAGGAAACCTGGAAGTGTATATTCAAGGCAACTTGAATCTATGCTCCTGGGTTGCAAAATATAATTTTTAAATTAGGAAAACAAAGATTAGAGAGGATAATTAATTTGCCTAAAGTCATACAGTTAGTTAGGGCAGAGCCAGAATCCTAACTTAATCATCCATCTGCATGGGAAAGTAAGTAAATTCCCTGACTACTCCCAAAAAGTGGTGATTAAAATCACCGTCATTTTCTAGAGAAACCAGGTATGTGCCTCTGTGGCCCTGTTTTTTGTCAACTCTGGATACGACTTTCCTTTTCTTTCATCCCTACTCTCAGGTGGATTTCCACAAGGTATACTTCATGAATGTTTATAAAAGAACACGTAATCACATACTACAAAGGTCTTACCAAGGCAATGTCCTATTCCATTTATGAAAGTGCATCTGACAAATTCAGCCTGACAATATGATCTCTCAGAGGTAGAGGAAATAATGCAGGAAACTGCTTTTCTGGACCAACATGGAAGAATTGTTTGGTGAAGATAAAGTGACAAGAACCTTGGGGAACAAAGAGACTCTGTCATTTTGGAACAATGACCATTGGCATAGGGAAAACTGACAGTTTCCTGTCCTGTGGTGGCAGGAAAAGAGCATAACTCTGGAGACTCAATCTGGAGTTCTGTAAGGAAAGATTATGCAGAGAAGGTAGGGCTTTCAGAAAGAAAATTCTGAACTAATTACTGGAAATTGTTCCTAGAAGAAGAATGGAGAGCAAGGACTGATGCAGCTACACCGAAAGTACCTTAGTAAGCTTAGGGCTGGAAAGGACGCACGTACCACAGAGGGAGATCCACAGCCAAGAGGAAATGCAGACATGGGTCCAAACCTATGGAAACTGTCAGGAAGGCTAACACCCAAAATGTGCAAGTGCTGCTAAGGACAGCAAGCAGAAATAAAAAGGTTTCTGTGACCTTGTTTGGAACAAGGACAAGAAAGATAGAAGTCACTTGAGTAGAGATTATGGTACGCTGTTAACAGATCATAGAGAAAGCAGGACTGCTCAACTTCTATTTTGATTGTTTGGTTTTTTGTTGTTTTGGTTTTTTGTTGTTTTTTTTTTCTGAGACAGAGTCTCGCTCTGTCACCCAGGTTGGAGTGCAGTGGTGCAATCTTGGCTCACTGCAACATCCGCCTCCTGGGCTCAAGTGATCCTCCCACCTCAGCCTCCTGAGTAGCTGAGACAACAGGCATGCGTCACCACACCCAGCTAGTTGTTCTTCTTCTTCTTCCTCTTCTTCCTCCTCTTCTTCCCCTTCCCCTTCCCCTTCCCCTTCTCCTTCTCCTTCTTCTTCTTCTTCTTCGAGTGGGTTTCACCATGTTGCCCAGGCTGGTCAACTTCTATTTTGCTTCTTTCTTTTCTTTAAAGAAAATAGGCATTTGACTGGAAAGAATAATATGAATATTGAAGAAACTGAAGCCCAGGTGGAGGAGATGGTGGTGACAAAAGCCCCTTGCTATTGCAAATCGGTTCACTTCTTCCTAAGAATCCAGTATAATTTAATAAATAGGATATCAGAACTCTGTAAATGCAAGATTCTCCTCTGTACAGTTTACGATGTAAAGGAAAAAAAGTGTGCCAGTCAGCTCCAAGATGGAAGGCTCAAGTGTCCACACATAGAGAATGGCAGGAAGACAGAGTCTAAATGGAGCTGGCGGGGTAGGAAATGAGGAGCGGCTATTAGCTGTGTTAGCTGGTATGGGGTTTCTTTGGCAATAATAAAAATGTTCTGGAATTAGATAGTGATGATGCTTTCACAACTTAGTATTCTAAAAGCTGACAATATGATCTCTCAGAGGTAGAGGAAACAATAGAGGAAACGGTATCACTGAACTATATACTTTAAAATGTATAGATTTTATGATATATGAATTATACCTTGATTATTAAAAAAATACATCATCACATGTTATCTGTCTCCTAGGTATCAATTTTCTTTTCCATGTTCACTCATCTAAAAAAAATCAGTGACCATATGCACCAGTTAAAGGACAAAACAAAACTCTGTTTTGAAAGTTCTTATTCTTCGTGACTGATGGTAAAACATACAAAGAAGTTTAACTTTTAGTTTTATGAAAAAAATAAGGGCTATAACCAGACCTAGAACATAAGACAATAATAATAAAAGCAAATACTGGTTTATGTCATTCAAAAAAAGAAAAGAACAAGAAAAGTAGATGGAATCACAACTGTGCCAATATTACACTAAATTACCCATCACAAGAAAGCTGGATGGGATCATCAATCAGCTAAAGTCATGAGTTCAGTTCCTCAATAACTCTCTAGGAATCAACCACATGTGCAACTGATGAAAGAGGTATGACGAGGAGCAAGAAGGGAAAAGGCTTAGAAGCTTTAGTGGCCACAAGCTTTACAAGGAACAGCAGAGGGCTAGGGCCACTGAGCTCTTACTGACCCTGAGCTGAGATCTAGTGTCCAGTGGCAGGTGGTGCTGGGGGGGATGGTCCCACTCTAGTTTATATGGATCATAATCATATCTAGTGCACTGTATGCCATCCTGGGCGCCAGCATCTAAGAAGATCACAAGTATACTAGAACCTGACACAATATTGAAGGTCTGACACCATGACCCAATTGGAACGATTAAAAGGACAGACACTATTTAGCTTGGAAAAGTGAAGACAAAAGAAAAATTGGAAAACTGTCCCTCAAAAATTATCATGAGGCTGAGCACAATGGCTCATGCCTGTGATCCCCGCACTTTTGAGGGCCAAGGTGGGCAGGCAGATTGCTTGAGCCCAGGAGTTGAAGACCAGCCTAGGCAATGTGGAGAAACCCTGTCTCTTCAAGAAACTTTAAAATTAGCTGGGCATGGTGGTACATGCCTGTAGTCCCATCTACTCAGGAGGCTGAGGCAGGAGAATTGTTTGAGCCTGGGAAGTTGAGGCTGCAGTGAGCTATGATTGTGCTGCTGCAGTCCAGCCAGGGGGACAGAGCAAGACCCGGTCTCAAAAAAAAAATTACCCAAAGGATTTAATTTATTTAGGGACTCCAAAGAGAAGAGTGAATTCTTCATGAGTCTTATTAGCAAGACCTCCAACATGGAAAAACTTAGAAGTCACCAAACATTTGAGAACTGAGTTGAGTAACCTCAGACATAATAGGTATGTAAACCAGAAGTCACAATTAACTGTTGTCACAAATAAATATGAGGGAGCAAGAAAGGGGGCCTCCATTTTAAAGAGGAAAAGAAACCTGACAGTCAGGGACAAGGAAAAAGAGAAAAGACAATCAATAGAGATATATGTTTGGTGAATCCCCAAGTGCGTCGCAGGAATCGTGTTATTAAAACATCCCCACGCAAATTTTAGGCAGCCAAACTGGCATCTACTTACCATCCAACATTTAGAAACTACTTTTCTAGAGAGCTCCTTTGATCATGCCACATCTGCCCTTAAAAACCCTTCAATCTCCATTATTGCCAAAAACACAATTCAAAGTTTTTAACTTGCCTTCAGAACTCTACCTAGCAGGGCCCAGATATACTTTTTTTTTTTTTTTTTTTTTTTGAGACAGAGTCTCACTTTGTAGCCCAGGATGGAGTGCCGTGGCACGATCTCGGCTCACTGCAACCTCCACCTCCCGGGTTCAAGCGATTCTCATGCCTCAGCCTCCCAAGTAACTGGGATTACAAGCACGCAACACCGTGTCTGGCTGATTTTTGTATTTTTAGTAAAGATGGGGTTTCACTATCTTGGCCACGCTGGTCTCAAACTCCTGAACTCAAGTGATCCACCCACCTTGGCCTCCCAAAGTGCTGGGATTACAGGTGTGAGCCACCTACCATGCCCGGCCCAGATATACTTTTTAAAATTTACCTCCCATTTCTTGCTATCATCAGTCCTGTGCTCTGGCAAACTCATGTAGCTGTCGCTCACCAAGCCTGTATCTCTATTTGGTCCTTGTGTGCATCTGTTTATTCCATGTCCTCCACCTGGAATACCTCCCCTCTATGCATCCACTGAATCTGCTATTCATCCTTCCCGCCTTAAAGCAAAGGATCAAAAGCCAATTCAAATGTTATCCCACAATCCATATCCTCCTCTGAACTCTTGATCACTTAGTGACTTCAGCTTAGGTCTCCATTTCTTCATCTATAAAGTTATCATAATAATACTAATGACTTCATAGGGTTGTGTGAGAATTGAATTTACAAATGTGAAGTACCTAAAACAGCGCCAAGAATATATAAAATCTATAAATTATGATTATTCTTATGATTAAGTTTGATCCTATTAGTATGATCCTTTTTACAAAAGGAAGTTAGTAAAACAAGCTACAGGCCAGGTGCAGTGGTTCATGCCTGTAATCCCAGCACTTTGAGACACCAAGGCAGGACTGCTTGAGGCCAGGGATTCGAGACCGCATGAGCAACATAGGGAAACTCTATCTCTACAAAAAATTTCTAAAATTAGCTGGGTATGGTGGTACATGCCTGTAGTCCCAGCTACTTGAGAGGCTGAGGCAAGAGGATGGCTTGAGCCTGGGAGGTCGAGGCTACAGTGAACTATAATCACACCACTGCACTCCAGCCTGGGTCACAGGGCAAGATCCTGCCACACATGCACACAAAAAAGCCACAGTTCTCACTGTTGCAGTGGTTCCTGATATGTATCAGGAACTCCCTTTGGCTAGCACAACTGCTGGTCTAGGCTGCTTGCCTGGTGAGTGACCTAGACCTCCAACTCTGAGGGCTCCTGAGCTCCTGGTTTCCATGCCCTTGGCAGGCTACAGCAGCTATAATTCCTTTGTCACATGACAGCATCAAGAGATCCCAGTGGATCTCCTTCTAAACATACTATTTCCTAACCCCATTATGGGAAAGCAACCCTACCTCCTCATGATCAAGGCCAATTACTCCTGCCAGTATAACTCCTTTCTTAGCCTGATGATCTCATGTCATGAGAGGCATAAAATGACAAGGTAGAGTTTTCGGTTTAGTAGGATTCTGAGAATCCTGATGTATTCCCCTCTGGGAAGCAGAACCTCTAGAATGCTAGGACCCAACACTGCAGGACAAGAAGCACAAATTTCCCACGCAGGTCACTGGGATTCATGGTGAGCTTCTTCCACCCCTTCCTCCACCTCTTGGAACCCAGACTCATTCTACACAAAACCACATAATGGCCATTGACTCAAAAGAAACACTACACCTTAAAGGACAGTGTTCCAATCTTGCAGATTATCATCTTCAAGGTGACACTTTGACCATACCTTCCAGAGGCTATTCCAAGGTTGTTCAGCCAACTAGTATACTATGCAATACACAGTAAGATCGGTGACTTCACGATCATATGTCCAATTGTCATTTCTAACATGTGGTCATACGCTGGTCTGTGTTATATGTTAGATCCCATTTTAGTAAATCAGACACTCTGGCCAGGTGCAGTGGCTCATGCCTGTAATCCCAGCACTCTGGGAGGCCAAGGCAGGTGGATTGCTTGTGCCAGGGAGTGCCTGACCAGCCTGAGCAACCTAGTGAAGTCCCATCTCTACAAATAACTTATCTTAAAAATTATCTGGGGCGGGGCACAGTGGCTCATGCCTGTAATCCCAGCACTTTGGGATGCCAAGGTAGGCGGATCACCTGAGGTCCGGAGGTTGAGACCAGCCTGGCCAAAAATGGTGAAACTCCGTCTCTACTAAAAATACAAAAAAAAAAGAAATTAGCTGGGTGTGATGGCAGGCACCTGTAATCCCAGCTACTTGGGAGGCTGAGGCAGGAGAATAGCTTGAACCGGGGAGGCAGAGGTTCCAGTGAGCCGAGATTGTGCCATTGCACCCCAGCCTGGGCAACACGAGTGCAACTCCATCTCAAAAAAAAAAAATTAGCTGGGAGTAGTGGCGCATGCCTATGGTCCCAGCTACTCGGGAGGCTGAGGTGGGAAGATCACTTGACCCCAGCAGGCAGAGGTTGCAGTGAGCCATAATCCCACCAGTGCACTCCAGCCTGAGTGACAGAGCAAGACCCTGTCTCACAAAAAAAAAAAAAAAAAGACACTCTATGAACCCTTGGATAATGGTATTGGCTGAGGAACTGAAGGCAGGAAGGGCAAAGCCATACCTAGAATACATTTTGATTCATTCCAGTTAAGAAGAATTGTTGCCCTTTCCAGTGCAAAAGGGATCTGACACAGTCAACTTATGACCAAGTCTACTTGGTCTCCTCAATGTGTTTATCATACTGAAGGCTCAGACTCAACCTCTGCTGCCAACAGCTCAAATAGTCAGCAGTGGCAGTCACTAGATCAGCCTTGGTGAAAGAGAACTCAACACAAAGATAACCTCTATCTCTGCCACCATGGCTATCCATTTATAGGCCCCCAGAGAGACACTGGGTGACCAAGGACAAAGGCTAGCTGACATCTACTGGATGAGTCCTGACAACCTGGTTGACCACGACTCTTCTGCAGTAGATGTTCTCTAGTGAGCATGAAGGTACAATAAAAAGATACTGACACTTTTTGCCCACTCCTATAAGTGTATGCATATGTCTCCTCTTAACACCAGGGGGAAGATATTGGTGAGTACACCCGGTCATCCAGTTTGTGTGAAAAGAAAAGTTGTCCAAGCCCAACATATACCTGCATTCCTGGACTGTGGAAAACAGTTTGGCTATCAGTCAGAGGCCTAGAAAAGTGAGGGTGTACTCTTGGCCCTTCCAGGTAAAAGCAAACTGCTTCTGGAGGTTCTTCCAAATTGGTATGGAGAGAAAAGCATTAGCTAGGTCGATAGCTACATATCAAGTGCCAGGGGGCTTTATTGATTTGTTTCAGTAAAAATTCTGTATCTGAGACAGAAGCTACAAAGTCACAATCTGATTAAGATTATAATATTCTCAGTCATTCTCCAAGATCCATCCAAATTCTGCACAAGTAAAACTGACGAGTTAAATGGGAATGTGATAGGTATCATAAACCCTGCCTCTTTCAATTCTTTAACGGAGACAATAATATATATAATTTAAAATAAATACAATATTCCTTCTGGTTTACTATATTTATAGGGAAGGGAAATTCCAAAAGCTCCTACTTAGTCACAGAGCCAGATGGGGATCCTAACAGTAACAAGTATGTTTATTCCAATATGGCATCCAGGAAGTGGGAAAATAACTATAGGAAGGGTTCATGGATCAACTGGGCCACTGTGAGTTGGAATTAATTAAAGTTTCCATTTATCACTTGACCACAATAAGCCCCCACTTTGACTACTAGACCACGGTAGCATTTTGCTTCCTTGGGAATTAACATCAATTCAGAGCCAGTGTCTAGTAAAACCTGCAAAGTTTAGGTATTGCCTTTTCTTCAGTGCACAGTGACTAGTAAATGGCCACAGGTCCCATTGAGGAAGGCTTGGGGGAATATATAATATAAACTTGTGGCAACATTGCAAGGTTCTTCTCAAGGGAACAAGCTACCCTTCAAGCAAGGGATTCTCAGTCTTTGAGCTGGCTTAGGTCTGGGAAATGGGTGAAGAGCCATAACTCTCCACTGTGGTAATTCAAGTCAAGTATTTGGCCACCCGATCTTAAATTTGGTTTCAGGTATTGTTGAGGTATTTTCCCTGCCAGATATATGAAGCAATATTCCAGGAGAATGCCCACATCCTTTTTATTCCTAATGACACCATGATAAATTGGCCTCTGGTGAAGAACCCTGCAGGCACCCTCCTACCCTTAGCGGTGCTGTTTGCTGAGGTTCTGGTGAACTAGAGGTCCAGAACTGTAGCAGCCTGCCGGAGCGCTACAAAAGCTTGCAGGGTAATGAGAGTCAATGGGCCTCCGCCCACTATTGGCAGCCACACCATCAGAGGAAAAAGAAAAACAATCACACCAAAACCAGGAAGAGACATGCCTCCTTCCTGATACTTTGCAGTATCCCTCCAGTACCCTCTATCAATAAATCCTAATATTGCACCAGATGGCAAAGGAAAAATGATTATATAGTCAGCTCAAAAATCACAGAGCAGAAAAGAAAAATTGGAGGCAGGGATTTGGAGCTGAGAAACAATATGTTGATAACTGACACAGTAATCAACTGTGAGACTTCTGATTCCTTGCTTGAAAATATGCCAAGGCAGATCTATCTCCTTTAATGTGGGCCATGATTTTTTCAATGTTCCAGGAGCCATTTAGCAGCATAGTTGAGAATGTCTCCAAGAACCCTTGCCAGAACATTAAATCCTGAGTCACAGAAGAATATATTCATATTAACAATCTCTCTCCTCATCTAACTCCATATGACAGTCTACACTAGCAGCCCACCACTCTCAAGAGCCATTCCCAGGCTAATATGCCTGTTCACATTAGCCAGCTCCTGCAGTTCAGCTCCTTTCTCCCTAAGCAGGACCAGCACTTCCTGAGTTGTGACATGACAATATTTGATCCAAATTATTAGTCTAATGGCCAGGAAGGGAGATGAGAGTAGATCAGGAGGACAGCACATAAAGCATCCACTTCAGTTACAGCCTCTACACGGTCTTCAGACAAGGGATAGGTGCTATTACCCTCTAGCAAAAGGAAATGGTCCATTTCCACAGGCTCAGAGGACTCAGGAGGAATCTGGGGCCAGTGTCATCTAGTACACCCAACTGTCCCCATCCCAAGTCTCAGGGTTTAGACTTTCCCTATCACGACATTGACTTGTGAAAACCTGCTAATTCAGTCTTCTCTGAAGTTCTGCTACTCTTATACTCAGATCCTAAGCCTTATCTTAAGCATGTTCTGCCTTCTGGCTGCTGCATTAGAGGTCTTCAGACTTCCACACCATGCCCTATTTTGGAAATGAGTTTGTTATTTTCTCTCTTCAGTATAGCAGTAAGCACCCAAAATCAACCAATTAATTCAACTGTCTCTGAACATCCCTTCTACCTACATCCCTGTCCCAATTCATCACAGATAACAGTCTTAGCATTTGCAAGGCTACAATATGCCTACAACACTCCACTTACTGCAGTGATAGTCCTGTTGCCAGCTGGCTGATAAGTTATCCTACTTTAGAACCCCATCCTTAGAATCTGTTGCCTTCAGTCAGCTATCTTAGGGAAGTTTCTGTGCAAGTGCTTTATTAAGAAAGGGACCTCAGGAAAAACTGGTAAGAGAATGGGGGAAACAAGACAGGTAATGGGAGGAAACCAAGCAAGGTACTGTATTAACCTACATTAACTAATCGCCCCAAAACTTGGCATCTAAAACCAATACACCTTCATTATCTCACAGTTTCTGTGTGTCAGGAATCCAGGTACAACTTAACTGAGTCCTCTGCTTCATGGCCTGTCACAAGGTTGTAATCAAGGTATTGATCCAGGCTCATTTAAGAGCCCAGACTGGGAAGGATCTACTTCTACACTCAGTCAATGATTGTGATTAGCATTTAGTTGCATACAGGTTGATGGCCTGAGAGCCTTGGTTCCTTGCTGACTGTTGGCCAGAGGCTCCCCTCAGTTCCCTGCCAGAAAGCTTGCCTTGCTGAAGCGTACAACCTGAAAAAAAAATAGTCTGTTCGCAAGACAGAAATCACAATCTTTTGTCATCTAATCATGGAAGTGGCATCCCCGCACTTTTGCCATATACTAATGATCAAAAGCAAGTCACCCTGTCTATCCCACACTCAAGGAGAGGGAATTACACAAGAGTATGAATATAAGGAGGCGGGGATCGTTGGGGACCACCTTAGACGCTGCCTACTGCAAGTTCAGTCTCAAAGTCCACAGCTGGTAGCTTCAGCATGATCCTGCAGAACTCTGGAAGTAAGTTAGGCTTCAGAGTTGTTCCAACCCAGGGAAAGGGGGCTAGGGCTTTATATTCCCATAACCAGTCATTGGTTAGTGGTCCCCTCAGTGGGGCACAAATTTCCAGGCAGGTGCTCTTTATGCGTGCATGTAAGGTGGGTTCCAGTAGGTGGGCAGACCTCAAAAAAAAAAGAAGGGTTGTAGGTATGGGCTGTTGGAAGTGAAAGCATACTGAATCTCTGGTTAAAGGGAATAGTAAAAAAAGGCCCTGGGCAGAGCATCAGTATTGTGCTTTCCAGTGAATGATGGAATGAAAAAGGCACTTTCCATAAGGTTGTCAATAGCAGTAATAATAAAGCTCCTATTACTTCATGTGGCTATTCTAGTCAGAGGTCTTTGATTTCAAGAAAAGAAAACCCATCCTGGCTAACACGGTGAAACCCCGTCTCTATGAAAATACAAAAAATCAGCCGGGCGTGGTGGCGGGCGCCTGTAGTCCCAGCTACTCGGGAGGCTGAGGCAGGAGAATGGCGTGAACCCAGGGGGCGGAGCTTGCAGTGAGCCGAGATGCGCCACTGCACTCCAGCCTGGGCGACAGAGCAAGACTCCACCTCAAAAAAAAAAAAAAAAGAAAAGAAAACCTACTTGTTTGAACTATTGAAAGGCTACTGAGAAACTGCTCACAGGACCTAAGAGCGGTACTGTCATGGCTCAAAACTCCTAATCCTGGGAACTGGGAAAAGGAGAAGCACAGAAGACCCAGGAAGCCATTCTTTTTTTTAATTTATACGTAATAGTTATTCATATCCAGAAAGCCACTCTTACTTTTTCTATTGCTCTCTGAGATCAAGAGACCTTCATTTGCTTTTCTTTCTAGATCCCTGCCTCACTTTTCTCTCTGAGAACAGATTTTCTCTACCCACTGATCCACAGATCATGCTTGCTTTTTTAGCCCCTGGATAACTTTTCAGATCAGCTCTCTACAAACAGTTGCTTCAGTTTCTCCAAATTCCTATGGCTACATAGAATACAATGTTTTAAAATATTAACTGTAGTTATCTAGAAGTAGCAGAAGTATAAATAATTTTGCTTTTTGTCCTATTCTATATCTGTTTCCAAATTTTCTACAGTTAACACGCAATGCATTTATAATCAGTAAAGGAAAAATCTGGCTGGACTAAATTTTCTCCACCTCATCCCAATCCTCCATCACCATCTTTATTTCTTCACCTCTCCCCTTCCTGGCAGATGACCTTAGGAAAGATATAGTATTTTTTTTTTTAAGAGATGGGGTCTCACTCTGTCACCCAGGCTGGAGTGCAGTGGTGCAATCATAGCTCGCTGCAGCCTTGAACTCCTGGGGTCAAGCGATTCTCCTGCCTCAGCCTTAGCCTCCCAAGTAGCTGGGATTACAGGCACATGCCACTGTGCCTGGCTAATTTTTTTTTATTTTCTGTAGAGACGAGTTTTTGCTATGCTGCCCAGGCTGGTCTTGAACTCCTAGCCTTAAGGGATCCTTTCACTTCAGCCTCCGAAAGTTCTGGGATTACAGGCATGAGCCACGTGAGGCCCAGCCTGGAAAGATGTAGTATTGTTAGAATAGCGCAGCTAAGTTAAGCAGTGAGGGGCAGTCACTGTGAGCAATGGAAAGTTTTATTGTCTTATTTATTATTTGCTATGAGGATCTGAAGAACCTGAAAAGGCATACATGAAGCATTCTCCCAGGACGAAGATGGGACCTCGGGAGGAGGACTGATGGTACCATGGGGCAGGAGAGGAAGAAAGGAGACCGACCAGGATAGACACCATATGTACTGTTGGGTGACTCTGGGGAGAAGGTCGAGTTTGGCGCCCCCTTGTGGACTTGGTGTATAATCACAACTATGTAATCTCCATATTCATCTACAAGCTATTACAGGTATCAATAAGGAATAGCCAATAAACAAAACCAAACCACAGTCTGAGCGATCATATAATAAGTAACAAGACAGAGGTTCAAAAAACAGTGCCAATGAAGAGATCTTTGATTTTCTCTTCGCCTGTGATCGTTTTCCTCCCTCTAGCCCAACCCTTATATAAGTATTTTAGAAACCAAGAAAAAAAATGCCAGCAACTCCTATAGATCTCTAATATAATACCGATATACAGACACATAATAATGGGATACTTTTCAAAACACTGCTAATCCTGTTAGCTCATATCGAGTCCCAGCCTGCACGATTGGGACACAAGACTATTGTCCTACCCTGTGTCATGCCAGGCTTCAAATAAGCATCATGATAAAGGAGAGAACCTTCCTCCGTCTTCTAGTAGAATGGCAAATAAACCAACCTGTACATGTCAAGTTCTTGTCTACTTTGTTTTTAACATTAATAAAGAAAAATTTGATAATTTTCCTGGTTGTGACATTACACTGCCTTGGCTCCAGAAATTCTTCCTTGTAGTTAACTTACGTCTCTCATGTAGTCATATAAGTCCATTTCTTCTTGTTCTATTCTTCCTTGTGGTGGAGATTAACAGCGGCTTATCATCTTCCCTAGAAATCCTTCCATTGTTAGAGCTTACCATGGCATTACCTATCCTTTTTTTTTCTTTTTTTTTTTTTTTTTTTTTTGAGACGGAATCTCCCTCTGTCGCCCAGGCTGCAGTGCAGTGGCGTGATCTCGGCTCACCGCAACCTCCGCCTCTCGGGTTCAAGCAGTACTCCTGTCTCAGCCTCCCGAGTAGCTGGGATTACAGGCCCGTGCCCCTACGCCCGGCTAATTTTTGTATTTTTGGTAGATACAGGGTTTCACCATGTTGGCCAGGCTGGTCTCGAACTCCTGACTTCAGGTGATCCGCCCGCCTCGGCCTCCCAAAGTGCTGGGATTACAGGCGTGAGCCACCGTGCCCCAGCCTACCTATCCATTCTTTAAACACCAAGTAATCCACTTTTATTTGACTTTACCTCATTCACTTCATTTTCCAGTTTCCATTAAATTTGTGGCTTCCCTGTGAGTCTACTCCATAGTTTTCTTGCTCTACTAAACCATGGAACTAAATCGTGTGCACCTCTGGGTGATTTCTCAGCATTACACTCTCCCTATTATAAATGAAAGAAACACCAAAATGTAAAGGTATTTCTTTGATGTGCTGGAATATATGGCTATACTGATGCATGCGATATAAATTCTTTTTCTTTTTTTTTTTTTTTTTAAAGTGCAGGACAGAGGGGTCCGTTTTTGAAAGTTATCGATACCTAGTAAAATGGCGCCATCTAGTGCCCTGAACTAGTAACAACATTTACAAGAGAAGGGTTGGAAGAAAACTGTAAATCAACAGTGCAAGATGACAACTCCCAAAACTAGCAGGGCCAAGGCAATTTAATAACAATAGGTCGTTTGACTCTGGGGACTATAACTCTTAGTCTATTGACTGAGCCATTGGAGCAGCTTAACAAATAACATAGCTTGTTTTCCAGAGAGAATGTGGCACTGTTCCGAAAGCAGAAGTTCCCACTGGAGGCTTGGGAGGACAAGGAGCAAAGTAAGCACCTGCTTCATGCCAGGCACTGCTCTAAGCATTTTACATTCATTTTTTCACTTAATCACCACATCTGCCTTATGAGGCTGGTATTATTATCCCCATTTTACAGATGAGAAACTGAGCTTTCAGAGAGGCCAAAATCTTACCCTTAGGTTACACAACGGAGTCAGGCCTGACTCCAAAACCCACATGCTTTGCACTACCTCCAGAGAGAGGATACATAGGGAATATGCAACTCCCTTTCTTTTTTTCCTTTTTTTTTTTTGAGACAGAGTCTTGCTCTGTCACCCAGACTGGAGTGCAGTGGCGTGATCTCGGATTACTGCAAACTCCACCTCCCAGGTTCAAGGGATTCTCCTGCCTCAGCCTCCCAAGTAGCTGGGACTAGGACTATAGGCGCATGCCACCACATCTGGCTAATTTTTATCTTTTCAGTAGAGACAGGATTTTACCATATTGGCCAGGTTGGTCTCAAACTCCTGGCCTCAGGTGATCCACCCACCTCGGAAAGGACTGGGATTACAGGCATGGACCACTGCGCCTGGCCCTCAACTCCCTTTCTTATCACTCTCCACAGGGAAGACCAGAGACATACTCTTAACACCACATCTCAGGGACTTGCCGCCACCAGAGAGCCCATGCTGCAATGTACAACTCTGCTGAAAGATGACGAAAAGGAAGTGTGCAAGTCCTGGAACACCAAGAGACTAACAGTGCTGGAACAAGGGCTGGGTAGCAAAAGAATTTCCTGCAGCTCTGTTTCAACATTATTTTTTGTCTTGCCATTATTTTTGTCTACCTTAAGTCAGAAGCTCCTAGGGACCAGAGGTTATATTCTTGATATGTCACAGTGCTAAATAAATATTGACCAACTGACTGAATTAAAAGCATAGTAAAAGTTCCTTGTTCACAGCTGTATCTCTTTTGCCATGACAAAGCTCCTGGCATTGACACAGATTAATCCAAAGAGGGAAGCCTGCATTCTTGGGAAAGAACACAGCTACTCAACTTGAACAAGAAAAAGATACCAGGGATTAAGTCCCTTTCAGACACAGGCTGACTACTGTCACTTAGCTAATGGAGTCACTCCCCAAGTTAACTAACCAGCACATGTCTTAAGAAAGGCATGGAATAGAGAGAAAGGGTCAAAAGCACCTTTCTTTTTTTTTTTTTTTTTTTTTTTTTTGAGACGGAGTCTCACTCTATCACCCAGGCTGGAGTGCAGTGGCGCAATCTCAGGTCACTGCAACCTCTGCCTCCAGGGCTCAAGGGATTCTCCTGCCTCAGCCTCCCAGATAGCTGGGACTACAGGCACATGCCACCACGCCTGGCTAATTTTTGTATTTTTTTTAGTACAGACAGGATTTCATCACGTTGGCCAGGTGGTCTCAAACTCCCAATCTCAAGTGGTCTGCCCGCCTCGGCCTCCCAAAGTGCTGGGATTACAGCCATGAGCCACCGCGCCCGGCCAAAAGTACCTATTTCTCTAAAAGTTAAACCTTGTGCAAAGAAGTAGAGGACTTGTAGGAGGTTACATTTTCATTCACGTAATTATTTTTAATTCAGCCATTAAGTTTATTAGGTAAATGAATCAATGAGGCAATTAGACAGGAAAAAAAAACAGCAATGATTTTACCAAAAAAAAAAAAAAAAGTAATGATGAGCTCCTGCTATAAAAGGATGAAAATACATGGAAAATAGAATTGAAAAAGAACAGAAAAATACAGTGGGTTTATTAAATCTTATGGGTAATTTTTGTTGTGGATTTGGTTTTTTTCCTAAAGGAACATCATTTGAACTATGAGTGCATCCAGGAAAAAATGTGTTGAGAATTTTATTCCAACTGGGAAGATAAGCCAAAATAAGAAAAGGGAATTTTATATTTCTTTTCACACACACACACACACACACACACACACACACACACACGGTTTTGACGCTTTGTAGGAAACTGTAGGATATTCTCAAAGAAAGGAAAACCTTAGCCTGTTACATACTCCAACTTAAAGAAATAAACTAGTATTCTTCAAGGCAGTTAATTGAGTATCTTAAGGCTTCCCAAGGAGTCAATAACATCTTCAAATAGAATCCAGGACACTTAGCTTCTAGGTTTGTCCTAGAATCTCTATACAGCAAAACTCATTATAGCTACGTGGGCCTTATTCAGTGTGGCCCCCATCAGCAAAACAGAAGGCTGAGAGGTTCCAACACAGTTACCATTTGTGTTTATCCATCCATTGTCTCTTGAGGGGTCTCCATAGAAACCACAAATTTGCAAAACTTCTGCCTGTGCTGAGGGGTACACTCCATGCCATGAAATACTGCTTTGCCAACCAGCCCTAATTAGGGTGCAGATGACTGATGGCGAAGGACAAAGCGAATACCGTATGCAAAGACATGGGGATGTGAGACCGTGTTTGTTCAGGTAAAAATAAATCATTCAAGAGTTGGCACAAAAGGTATGCTCATAGGGAGAGATGATATTGAAAAGGTAGGCAAAGCAGAGATTATGAAAATTCTTCTATGAATGCTACTACAGGTATATGTACTATACAAAGTGCTTTACATATATCATCTCATTTCATCCCCACAATATAAGGTTGGCATTACTCTCATTCTCAGTGGTGGACCTGAGACTTTTCTGATTCCAGAGATCATGCTTTTTTTTTTTTTGAGATGGAGTCTCGCTCTGTTGCCCAGGCTGGAGTGCAGTGGCATGATCTCGGCTCACTGCAACCTCGGCTGTCCAGGGTTCAAGCGATTCTCATGCCTCAGCCTCCTGAGTAGCTGGGATTACAGGTGCGTGCCACCATGCCCAGCTAATTTTCTTGTATTTTTAGTAGAAATGGGGTTTCAACATGTTGGCCAGGCTGGTCTCGAACTCCTGACCTCAGGTAATCCACCCAACTCAGCCTCCCAAAGTTCAGGGATTACAGGCGTGAGCCACTGCACCCGGCCCACTTTCTGTTTTCTTTTTCCTTTTTTTTAAACATTTTTGGGACAGGGTCTCACTCTATTGCCCAGGCTGGAGTGCACTGGCACAATCATGGCTCACTGCAACCTTGACCTCCTGGGCTCAAGCGATCGTCCTACCTTTGCCTCCCAAAGTGCTGGGATTACAGGTATGAGCCATTGTGCCCTGCCAGAGATCACCTTCTGAACCAGTACTCTATACCCAATTTCAGAAAAGGAAGCACTATGGATTCACTAAGGACAAGCTATGCTTAACCTTATTAACTCTTAAAATGGAACTTCACAGTATACTTCAGATTAGTGTTTCTCAAACTTAAGTAATGCATGCACCTCTTCAAAAGGAAAAAATTCTCATAAACCCCGTGTTGCCTTAAATTCTCATGAAATATTGTGGCAGAGACCACTAACAGTTCCTTAGCATTAATTCTCCCTACCTTCCTTTTCGTTAATAGAATTCATCAAGTTTTACCCAGAGCTTACATGTTGCAGCCTCCCTTGCAACTGAGTACAATCATATGACAAGTTTTGGCAGTGAGAAGTGAAGAGAACATAAACAACTTCTGGTCATGTTCTCATTAAGACGCTGCCAGTCCTCGACTTCCCCTGGACCCCTTCCCATAGCTGGAAATCCAGTGAAGTGGGGATGAAACTGCTTCAACCATGTGAATGAAGGCAGTACTCAGGACCTTACTATTCAAAATGTGGCCTGCGAACCAGCAGAAGGAGCAGCAGCTGGGACTTTGTGGAAATAGGGGTTCTCAGGCCTCACCCTAGACCTACTGATGCCAAACTCTGCATTTAAATAAGATCTCCAAGTAATTCATATTCACACTAAAATTTGAGAAGCACTGATCCAGGAGAAGGTAGAACAACAAGCTAGAAGGAGCTTGGGTATCTAGACGACCCACCCTACTACACCACCTACCAGCTCAGACTTTTATAAGATAAGTAGACCTTCTATATTTGTTTAAGCACCTTTATTTTTACGTCTGTTTGATCCAAAATGCCAACTATATTAATATGTACAAACAAAACATGATATAAATTCCCACCTTTACAGCTTTTTCAATATAGTGTATTTGTTTTGTACCTTGCCTTTCTTCAATACCACAACCATTATTAAATCACATATATTATAGTGGTTTTATTGAGTAGTTAAGCTGATTATGTGCCAGTCCACAGCCATAAAATTAAAACAAATTTATAAATGAAATAAAAAAGAAAACTATAAAACCAATAAAAATCCAAATGAACAATTGTTTTAATATAACGAGGTAGATGATGTTTTTCTGCTGGAACGAAATCACTCTTCTCTTCACAACACAGCTACGGAACTGATGTTTCCACACAAATGTTTTTGAGTTTGGCATATTTATACTACCACGTGTTTTGTGATGGCTCAATTCTCTTACCAATTGACTCTATTTGAAGTACTGTCAAATCACCATTAGCATCAAATGTCATGATAGCTTTTGACTTCGCTTGGTCTAAATGCATCACTTACATCCTAAGTTACTTCTGTTCTTTTCTCATGCACACAGGATAATCCAAGAAGCACAACTTAACACCAGCTGTGTTATAAATACAACTGCAAACACAATTTATAACATAAGATGGTCATCCAGAAACCTAGAAAAATAAAACTTACATGCACACTAAGAAACTATAAATAAATGTTCATGGCAGCTTTATTTGTAATAGCCAAGAACTGGAAAGAACCCAAACATCCTTCAACAAGTGAATAGTGAAATACACTGCAGTACATTATACAGTAGAATATTACTCAGCAACAGAAAGAAACATACTGATACGTATGACTTGGATGGATCTCAAGTGCATTATGCTAAGTGAAAAAAGCTCATCTTAAATGTTTACATACTCTATGGACCATTTATATAACATTCTTGAAATGACAAAATTATAGTGATGAAGAACAGAGCAATAGTTGTCACAGGTCAGGTTAGGGAGAAAGTGTAAGTATAACGTGGTAACACCACAGAATTTCTTTGGGTGATGGAATTGTCTGCACCCTGGATGTGGCTGTGTTTACATAAATCTACACGTGATAAAATTTCACAGAGCTATGCACACACACATACACAAACACAAAAAGTGCATATAGGCTAAGTGTGGTGGCTCATGTCTGTAATCCCAGCACTTTGGGAGGATGAGGCAGGTGGATCACCTAAGGTCAGGAGTTCAAGACCAGCCTGGCCAACATGGTGAAACCCCCATCTCTATTAAAAAAAAAATTAGCCAAACTTGTTGGCATGCACCTGTAGTCCCAGCTACTTCAGAGGCTGAGGCAGGAGAACCACTTGAACCCGGGAGGCAGAAGTTGCAGTGAGCCAAGAACACACCACCACACTCCAGCCCGGGCGACAGAGCGAGACTCAGTCTCAAAAAAAAAGTGCATATAAAAACTGGTGAAATCTGAATAAAATCTGAACTTTAGTTAATACCAATGTCAATTTCCTGGTTTGCTAATGTGCTGGGGTTAAGATGCTATCTTAAACTAAGGGTATATGGGAACTCACTATACTATTTTCACCACTTCTCATGGGTAATTCTCAAGTATTTATACTCTAAAAGTACTTATACTTCTTAAGAGTATTTATACTCTCAAAGTATCTCAAATTTTTTTTAATCTTAACCTAATAACAAAGTGGACCAAATGGAACATCTTTTGAGACTTTGTACCTCATCATGATTCAGGCAAGGCACAACCAGTGTCAAAATACTCAGAGAAAGAGGCATTTACAAAAGGAAAGAAAAGTTCACCTTCAAAGAGAGCAAGAGAATCAGACTTCTGAAGGACTGGTCGGTTAAATAAAAAATATAACAAGGACTTAAAGGGAAAATGTGCAGTATTACCAAAGTTACAAAATATCCATTCACGTGTTTCTGGTGAGAAAGCAGCAACTTACTCACTTGACTGCTGTATTCACAAAGCTCTCGCCATAGCTCTAAACATCCACATAGCAAATATGGGGTCCGGGAGCTTGTTTTGGAAGGTGCCCAAGTTTACAATAAACATTCACGTTTTATTATTTGGGGACCAGGCCTGTCAGGGTGACTCTGATACTTCTGATTTATCTCAGGGTGCAAAGTTTTTATGTTTTTATTTTTTACTGTTAAAGGTGAAGTGTTTAGACATACTGGAAACAGAGCAGATTTGGCTTTTATGCAGAACATGTGTGATCTGCCAAAAGCACCTTCACTTTAACCCCTGTCATGACTGGGTCTGAGACTGATTTTCCCCACCACCCACTGTGACCCCACTGGGTCAAGGCTTGTGTCTGCGTGTCTGCTGTTTCTCATAGAGTATCACAGTGGAGAAATCATGAAGAATGCAGTCAACAAATTAAGAGGACTTGGAGACCATTCAAGAGTCTGGAACAAACTAATGAATGAATTATAAGAACTTAGGAAATAACAAAACAGTCAACATTCATTGGCTTATGAGATAGACACTACACAGAGTGCTTTCTATATATCATCTCATTTCATCCTCACCACAGAAGGCAGGCATTAGTCTCGTTCTCAGTGATGGGCCTGAGACTCCCCTGACTCCAGAGCTCATATTCGTAACCAGTACACTATGCCCACTTTTAGAAAAGGAAGCACTAAGGTTCACTAAGGACAAGCCATGCCTAATCTTATCACCTCTATAAATGGGACTTCCAAACTAACAGATCTGAGAAATAGGACAGACCTGATTTCAGCAAGGGATTGACAAGATTTTTATTATTAAGGAGAATGACAAGTTTGAAATGAGATCTTAAAGCCAGGACACAAGGAACAGAAACAATCACATGTGGGGATGCTTTCGTGAGAATTAAAGCTGCAGATGAAGAGGCTGGAGTGCATGGATTTTTCCATAGTCTCTAGGTATGTTGTGTGTTTTTCTCGATACGTGAATCTAACCAGTGAAATTCTTCTCACGCCGAGCCCCCAGTTTGTTCCACCTGGAAATTATTAATACCTTGTCTTCCTGCCTTTGACCTGGAACGGCAGTGTGAGAATATTCTCCCAGGGGGCAGCAGAGAGCAGCAGGACGCTCCAGCATTGGAAGCCATACCCTGGAACCAGCTCAGACCTGTCCTCAGGGGCACCCAGGCTGGGCCCAAAATCTCAGAGTGTGCAAACACAAGCCTTCATAAACTGCCCCTACTAAACCTCACCTGCCCCAACCAGCACTACAGATACAAATCACACTGCCAAGGCAAATGGCAGAAGGAAGGGTGAGGCAGGGATAAGAAACTATATACACACCGATGGGGAGGGGGAAGCCTCACCTGCTTTAACCCAACTTGTTTTTCAGGTCCAGAAAAGCTGCACCCTTTGCAGCTTTGCTTCATGTCCATGTATTAAATGCATATTCACGCAGAAAAATGTATCATGAGAGTGTTAAATAAGAAAGGCCCCTGACCTGAGGCTGTCTCTGTACTCTCAGTTCCTAGGTAATGAACCGCAACCTAACTTAGCACATAAACTGAAAACCTAACTTGGGAGAATAACAAACAGCTGAGTCTCAGCCCCTCTGCAGCCCAGCTTCAGCCAATCACAGGCTGCCAACTGATCAGACCCGAGGCCAAATAAGGCAAGAGCTGAGCTGCAACCAACCAGGCTATTTCTGTACTTTAACTTGTTTTCTATATCACTGCTTCTTTGCAGAGTTCTCTGAATCTTTTGTAATTCTGAGTGCTGCCCGATTCATGAATCATTCCTTGCTCAAATAAACTGCTAAATTTAAATTGTCTAGAGGTTGTTTTGTTTTTTTAACAAGAGGCTTGTTTAAAAAGGCTCCTACTGAGGCAGGAGAATAGGATCTGGAGGCAGGAAACCTTCACGCAGACTTCCTAGAACTAAATTGAAAGGAAAACCCTAACTTTCCACACCTAAGCAACAAAACGACCAGAGGCTACTCTCTTTGACCTTTTCTGAACGACAAATGGGAAATTGGGTGTCAACAACAAATCAGACTGATTGCAGGTGGAGTCTTCTTTTGCAACTTGGTAACTTCACTCCAGCCTCTGAATAGTTGCGGTCCACAACCAGTCAGACCGATTGCAGGCCAAGTCTTCGTTTGCACATAGAAGTATAACTTTGTAACTTCACCCTAGCCTCCGATTGGTTGCAAAATGCCTCTGATAGGTTTGCACAGGAGTGACCTTTGTAACTTCAGCCTCTGGTTGGCTGCTTTCTGCAACGAGACTGATTGTAGGCTACCAATTCATTTACATGAGATGAGCATGAAGTGGCCAATGGGAAACTTCTAGTGGGTATTTGGACCCAAGAAGATTCTGTATCCGGGCTCTTGAGCCGCAGCTCGGGTTCGCTCCCACCCTACGGAGTGTACTTTCGTTTTCAATAAATCCCTGCTTTCATTCTTTTGTTGCTTCTTTGCTTTGGTGGGCGTTTTGTCCAATTCTTTGTTCAAAATGCCAAGAACTTGGACACCTTGCAGTCACAACCCCACTACCAGTGACACTACTGCCTCTCAGACAAGAACACCCAGAGGCTGGGCACGGTGGCTCACGCCTGTAATCCCAGCACTTTGGGAGGCCAAGGAGGGCGGATCACAAGGTCAAGAGATCGAGACCATCCTGGCTAACACGGTGAAACCCCGTCTCTACTAAAAATACAAAAAATTAGCCGGGCACGGTGGCAGGTGCCTGTAGTCCTAGCTACTCGGGAGGCTGAGGCAGGAGAATGGCGTGAACCCGGGAGGCGGAGCTTGCAATGAGCCGAGATTGCGCCACTGCACTCCAGCCTGGGCGACAGAGCGAGACTCCGTCTCAAAAAAAAAAAAAAGAACACCCAGAGAAGAGCAAGGAGGGTGTGTGGCCCAAAGGTGAGGTTTCCTTTCTATCCCCTCAAACTTTTACTTTAAGGGCCACTCAGGTTTTTACAAGAACAGATTTGTGGGTACCACCCACACCCCAAAGCATCACACCTTGAGAATCCTGAGACCCATTTACTGTTGACACCTGAGTAGTGGAGGTGTGTGAGTTGAAGGGATCCAAACTTTCCAGGTAATTATTACATTGGCGAACCATACAAGGCCCAGAACACAGGCTCTAACCTATGAGGGACACAGGTTTGAATTCAATAGATGATCCCACTTTTGCAAGAAAACTTCCTGTGACTAGGAAATAAGATGTCCCTTTAAACTCTACCCTAGAGGGCCAGACTTCAGTTTCCATAAACCACAAACAGTTCATCTTTGAAACAGGTACCTGGGAGGCCAAGGCAGGCAGATCACTTGAGGTCAGGAGTTTGAGACTAGCCTGGCCAACATGACGAAACTCCGTCTCTACTAAAAATACAAAAAGTTAGCCGGGTGTGGTGGCACATGCCTGTGATCCCAGCTACTTGGGAGGCTGAGGCATGAGAACCGCTTGAACCCGGGAGGCAGAGGTAAGCCAAGGTCGTGCCACTGCACTGCAGCCTGAGTGACACAGACTAATCTCAAAAAAAAAAAAGAAACAGGTACCTGGGAAACCTTGCTTGTCCCAGGGTTTGGGGAATATCCTGCATATAACATTAGATAACTGCAGTTTTCCCCTTTTGGGTAAATAAACAACATACAAAACTCAGACCTTGTGAGCACAGCTCCCAAGAAAAAGCACTACCATCCTTTCACATTCCTTCCCCCACCAAAAAAAATTCCCTTCTTCCAGCCCCAAACAAGCCTCTTAACTAAAAGGAAGTCCTCTGGGGAAAGCTGATGACCCCATGTCTAACACTGCCTCTGGCAAGTCAGAGGCCTCAGAAACTAAAATTAAACTCCCAAGAGCAATTAACCCAGTTCAGAAGACACATGAGAATTTGGCTGTTTTTAATTTTTTGAGATAATGCAGTCCCTGTATAGAAAAAAAATCCATGAAATCCACAATCTTCAACATTTGCAATTTTTTTTTTCTTTTTGAGACAGGGTCTTGCTCTGTCACCCAGGCTAGAGTGCAGTGGCACAATCATGGCTCACTGCCGCCTTGTTCTCGGACCAAACTGAGGGTCGGGCTGCTATTTCTTATGGCCTAATAACAAGATGCAGATGAACTGAGGAAGAAGATTTTTATTTCTGCAACCGGTTACAAGGAGAAGGCCTGGAAATTATCACCAGACTAACTCAAAATTACAAAGTTTTCCAGAGCTTATATACCTTTTAAGCTATAAGTCTACATGTAAGTGTGCATTCATCAAAAGACATAAGTGATTAACTTCTTTTAATCTAAAATTAAGGTGTGAGTCCTGAAGACCTTCCTCTGGAGCCTCAGTAAATTTACTCAATCTAAATGGGTCCAGTTGCTGGAGTGATTAACCTTATTTTGTCTCCTGCTAAATCATGAAGGTTTGAGGAGTTTGTGAAGGCCTGGGGAGTTTCTTCAGACCCCCAATAAAACTTGTTTAATCCTAAACAGGTCCTGTTAAGAATTCCTTCATTATTTTGCTTTAAGGCCCAGGAAAGACCTAGGCAAAGCTCTTGGTGGGCTTTTGTTACATCCCAGCCTTTGTGTAAGGACACTGGCTCTTTCAGCTTTTAATATTTAAGTTAACTACACAGTCAGTGCTGAAACAGTTGTTATGGAGGCCTGCGTTAGTGAGACCTGGCCTGCCACAGCCTTGACTTCCTGGACTCAGGTGATCCTCCCACCTCAGCCTCTGGAATAGCTGGGACTACAGGTGCATGCCACCATGCCTGACTAATCTGGGGGGTTTTTTGTAGAGATGGAGTTTCACCATGTTGGCCAGGCTGATCTTGAACTCCTGGGGTCAAGCGATCTGCCTGCCTCAGCCTCCCAAAGTGCTGGGATTACAGTTGTGAGCCACCGCACCAGGCCCCAAATCTTTCATATTAATCAATACTCTCCATCAATCCAAATCCTGGCTGGAAGGAAAATAAGGATGAAGACCAAACTAAAGAAACCTTTCTGCCTTAATCTTTCCAAGATTTTGTTTTAGTTCAGAAGTTCTGTTCTTGAATCCTTCCAGTTCAATTTCTTGTAGAAGACTAGGCTAGTAAGAAGCCCTTCTGTTACCAGTTAAGGGTGTCCAGGTTCTTGGTGTTTTGAACTAAGATTTAGACGAAATGCACAAACAAAGCAAGGAAAGAATGAAGCAACAAAAGCAGAGATTTGTTGAAAATGAAAGTACACTCCACAGGGTGGGAGCAGGTATGAGCATAGGGGCTCAAGGGCCCTGTTACAGAATTTTCTGGGTTTTAAATACCCTCTAGAGGTTTCCATTGGTTACTTGGTGTTAAGCCTTATGTAAATGAAGAGACTAAAGTGAAGTTACAAAGTTATTTTCTTGGTATACACTCTATGTAAATGAAGAGGATGAAATAAAGTTACAAAGTCATTTACTTGGTGTACGCCCTATGTAAATGAAGATGATATTTCCTGTGGTAGCTGAAGTGTTTCCACTTGATTTAGTTCTAGGAAGTCCTGAGGTTCCCTGCCTCCAGACCCTATTCTCCTGCCTCACTTCTAGGCCAACCTGACCAAGAGCCCAGAAGGATTCTTCTGGTGGTTTTTCCCAACAACCTTTCCTATCATGAACACCAATGGGAAGTTGTCCCAGATTACTCCAAATCCGGTATTTAAAATAAAAGTGGCCCTAGTAATCTGGGCTCCCATCAATAGACACTATGTTACCATCATATAATCAAAGTGGAATTGTTTCTAAGCTACTTTAAGGCGTTTCAGTCATTTACTCATTGGCTCAATAAGTATGTATATGCCAGGCTCTGAAGAGACACCAGAGAGTGGGCAGACCTCTGCCCCCAACTTCACAGCCAGTGGAGGAATCTAGACAAATACATGGGAAATCATTGATGGGACCTCAGAGCTGCCTTCACTGTGTGAGGGCCTCTGGGGCTGTATGCAGGATTTATGACTCCTCCCAGCTCCAAGGTCCACAGATAGCATCTGGGGTCAGTCTTTAAAATTTCTTCGCAGCCTAAGGGCATGTAAGAGCCATTGTGGGCAGGCTTGAGACTCTTCAAACCATTTAAGGCCCATAAAGTCTCCTCACTGAAACTTTTTTCTGATACTTTTCTATTAGGTTGGTGCAAAGGTAATTGTGGTTTTTGCCATTAAAAGTAATGACAGGCCAGGCGCGGTGGCTCACACCTGTAATCCCAGCAGTTTGGGAGGTCGAGGTGGGCGGATCACCTGAGGTCAGGAGTTCAAGACCAGCCTAGCCAACATGGCAAAACCCCAACTCTACTAAAAAATACAAAAATTAGCCAGGCGTGGTGGCATGTGCCTGTAATCCCAGCTACTGAGGAGGCTGAGGTGAGAGAATTGCTTGAATCTGGGAGGCAGAGGTTGCAGTGAGCTGATATCGTGCCATTGCACTCCAGCCTGGGTGACACAGTGAGACTCCATCTCAAGAAATAAAAAGTAATGACAAAAATTGCAGTTACTTTTGCACCAACTTAATAGTTATAACTTGCATAACTTAATAGTTATGCCCCATTCCTTCAGGCAGAGCCTGAGCTGTGTGGTCCTCCAGCAGCAGGGCGGTGAGACAGGGAGATCATCCTCAGGATCCAGCTGAGTCCTCAGGGAACATGCCCTTACCTTTCTCTAGTGGACTAGCATAGGAAGCCCCTAAGTGTTCCCCGGAAGGATCTGGCCTGCTACACCGCATCTCACCTGATTAATTAAGTCTGCCTAATTGACAGGATTAATAAATCAGAGAATATAGAATCACAAAACTTTAGTCCCAAAAGTAATTGAGTGCATTTTTCCCAGCCCCTCAGGAGATTTGGAATCTCTCTCCCATGC
This sequence comes from Homo sapiens, assembly GCF_000001405.40. Classification (NCBI taxonomy): domain Eukaryota; kingdom Metazoa; phylum Chordata; class Mammalia; order Primates; family Hominidae; genus Homo; species Homo sapiens. The sequence goes on from NC_000014.9 coordinate 34,337,586, forward strand.
TTCAGAAATCCTAGAAAGTGGCAGAATTAGGAAATAAATGCAAGCGTCCCAATCACCAACCCAGCCTCCCACATCACCTGTTTACTACAGATACAACTTTGGGAAAAATCATTTCTCCAGGTCTAAGATTTCTGGACTTTTTCTTATCCTGCTTTCTGGCAGAGTAATTGTGATAAAGAAAACATGATCTATCATGTTATCATATAACAAAAGTAGAATTGCTTCTAAGCTACTTTTGGGTTTTTCGGTCATTCATTCATTTATTCGTTGTTTTAACAAATATGTATGCCAGGCTCTCTTTCAGGCTCTGAAGAGACACCAGAGAGTGGGCAGACCTCCACCCCCAACTTCATGTCTAATGGAGGAATCTAGACAAATGGACAATGATAAATCAAAAAAAAAAAAAGTACTAATGAGGGAAGCCCAGAAAGTTCATGGAACACACAGTAAGGGGTCCTTCCTCAGGCCAGTGGGTCAGGGACCCAAAGGCTTAAGGATGAAGAGGGGTCAGCTGAGGAAAAAATATTCCAGAAATGGAGAACAGCATGTGGCAGAGAACCAGAGAAGAGGGTATGGTTAGATGAGTATCGGATATGGTTCCAAGGAGGTGGGACGAGCACTGTAGGAGAGTCCAGAGAGACAAACAAGGGTCAGATTGTGCTGTGGCAGAAGATAAGACTTAATCCTAAAAGCCCTTTGACAGCTTCAGGATTAGGGATTAATCCTTGATCCTTAATCCTGAAGCTGTCAAGGGCTTTAAACATACACTCATTGTTCATTATAGACATCTAACAGACAAAAAACAAATAATTTCAGAGAGTGATGAGCCCCATCAAGAAAGCAAGCAAGGCAGCCTGTAGTTCCAGCTACTCCAGAGGCTGAGGTGGGAGGATTGGTTGAGCCCAGAAGCTCAAGTCCAGCCTGGGCAACAAAGTGAGACTCATACATTTTTATTTTATTTTTATTTTTTTAAAGAAAGCAAGGCAAAGTGAAAAGAAGTGGGTGGGTGTGTATGGCTATCACAAGACACTAACACAACTCGTATCTGGCTGCTATGAGAAAAACTGACTGAAAGGAAACCAGTCAGAAGTCTTTTGCTTAGTTCAAAGAGAAAAATCTGGGTTGAAAAAATTATTTACTAAAGGGTCATTTCTCCAGATACAAGCAATGGACAAAAGTAGGATAAACATGATCCAGACACATTTTTTTTATCAAAATCAAATCTTAAATAGCAGCATTTATAGAAAGTATGCTGTGAGTGAATTTCATGTATATCTTTAACAAGGAGGTTGGTATTTTTATTATTTAAAAATCAACTTTGTTACTTACATTACTGAAATTGATCTTTTGGACTGAATTGAGAGCTATCCTTTATCCCATACTTTTTTTTTTTTTTTTTTTTTTTTGAGACGGAGTCTCGCTCTGTCGCCCAGGCTGGAGTGCAGTGGCACGATCTCGGCTGATTGCAAGCTCCGCCTCCCGGGTTCACGCCATTCTCCTGCCTCAGCCTCCTGAGCAGCTGGGACCACAGGGGCCCACCACCACGCCCGGCTAATTTTTTTGTATTTTTAGTAGAGACGGGGTTTCACGGTGCTAGCCAGGATGGTCCCGATCTCCTGACCCCGTGATCCACCCACCTCAGCCTCCCAAAGTGCTGGGATTACAGGCGTGAGCCACCACACCCAGCCTAATTTTATTTTTTCTAGAGATGGTGGTCTCACTATGTTGCTCAGGCTGGTCTTAACCTCCTAGCCTCAAGCATTCCTCATACCTCAGCCTCACTGGGATTACAGGCATGCGCCACCACACCCGGCTATCCCATACATTTATTTGTAAGTCTGACAATAAGATTAGGATTAAACAAAGGTCTTATTTCTACAAGAAATATTTTGAAAATTAAAAGAATTTAAATTTCCTTTCTGGAAACTTTTCCCTCTTTTTTTTCTTTTTTTTTTTTTTTTTTTTTTTTTTTTTTTGAGACGGAGTCTCGCTCTGTCGCCCAGGCCGGACTGCGGACTGCAGTGGCGCAATCTCGGCTCACTGCAAGCTCCGCTTCCCGGGTTCACCCCATTCTCCTGCCTCAGCCTCCCGAGTAGCTGGGACTACAGGCGCCCGCCACTACGCCCGGCTAATTTTTTGTATTTTTAGTAGAGACGGGGTTTCACCTTGTTAGCCAGGATGGTCTCGATCTCCTGACCTCATGATCCACCCGCCTCGGCCTCCCAAAGTGCTGGGATTACAGGCGTGAGCCACCGCGCCCGGCCTACTTTTCCCTCTTAACTGGCTATCAACAGAGTATAGAGACACTGAAACTGGCATTGACTTTTCTACATCCAGACAATCTCATATTGATGACCATCTGCCTCCTGCTTTGATAACTGCTGCCAAGAAAAAGAAAACCCTATAAAGGTAGTGAGATCGCAGTGTTACTGGAAGGGTGTCCCTGATCCAGACCCCTTGAGAGGGTTCTTGTATCTCCACAAGGAAGAATTTGGGGTGAATCCACAGAGTAAAGTGAAAGCAAGTTTATTAGAGAAGAAAAGAAACCAAAGAATGGCTACTCCATACACACAGCAGCAGCATGGGCTGCTTGACTGAGTATACTTATGGTTATTTCTTGATTATATGCTAAACAAGGGGTGAATTATTCATGAGTTTTCTGGTCCTCACCCTTTTACCAGAAACTGAGGGTTTCTCCCCTTTTTAGACCAATAGGATAACTTCTGGACATTGCCATGGCATTTGTAAACTGTCATGGTAAATTCGTCATGGTGCTGACGAATTATAATTAGTGTATAATGAGCAGTGAGGTCCCTTTCATCATCATCTTGACTTTGGTGGGTTTTGGCCAGCTTCTTTACCACATCCTGTTTTATCAGTGGGGTCTTTGTGACCTGTGTCTTGGGAAACCAGTCCTGCTAACGTCCTGTCTTATCATGTGACTACAAATGCCTAACCTCCTGGGAATGCAGCCTGGCAGGCCTCACCCTCATTTTACCCCGGCCCTGTTCAAGATGGAGTTACTCTGGCTCCAACACCTCTGACAACAGTTGTAAGGAAGGAACACCATTAGGCCATCCAGCCACTTCATTCATTTCTGAGATTTGAGGGCAATTAAATTTTTTCTTTTGTTGACAGTGTAGGGAAATTCAAACTTTCCCTCTGAAAGTTCAAGTCTAAGTCTATTGAAATGAATCAACAATAGACAGATTTACAGGAAACAAAGCATACAAATTTATTAACATGCCTATGGACATGGGAGTCCTGCAAAAGACTCAAAGGAGAGCCAGATGACTGAAGTTTTGTTTTTTTTTTTTTTTTTTTTTTTTACCATCCTGAGGCTACGGAAAGAATAGGGGCTTGGGTTTCTTGTTGGGGGAATTAATCGGCACAGGGAGAATGAAGAGAGGAAAGTATGACAAGCAATGGCTTCTTGTTTTGTAGATAAAAACCTCTCAGGGAATCTTGGAGCTCCCCTCAGAAAGAATAGGTGGTAGCCTATGGTGAGAGCTCTCTGTCAAACTTTAAAAGTGTCAGAATTGTAAACTAAAAATAAAACCCTAAGCCCAACAATTGTCAAAGAAAAGAGTCAAACTTGGTAAAATATTTAAAGAGATGTATTCTGAGCCAAATATGAGTGACAAATGGCTCATGACATGGCCCTCAGGAGATCCCAAGAACATGTGCCCAAGGTGGTTGGGATACAGCTTAGTTTTTCTGCATTTTAAGGAAACATGAAACATCAATCAAGATGTACATTGGTTGGTTCAGTCCAGAAAGGTGGAGCAACTGGAAATGGGGGCTTCCAGATCATAGGTAAATTCAAAGATGTTCTGATTGTCAATTGGTTAAAAGAGTTAAGTTACTGTCTAAAAACTTAGGAGTGCCTGGGTTAAGATAAGGCATTGTGGAGACCAAGACCTGATCATGCAGGTGAAGCCTCCGGGTAGCAGGCTTCAGAGAGAATAGATTGTAAGGGTTTTTTTTTTTTTTGAGATGGAGTCTCACTCCGTCGCCCAGGCTGGAGTGCAGTGGCACGATCTCAGCTCACTGCAAGCTCTGCCTCCCGGGTTCACACCATTCTCCTGCCTCAGCCTCCCAAGTAGCTGGGACTACAGGCGCCCACCACCACGCCTGATTACTTTTTTCGTATTTTTAGTAGAGACGGAGTTTCACCGTATTAGCCAGGATGGTCTTGATCTCCTGACCTCGTGATCTGCCCACCTCGGCCTCCCAAAGTGCTGGGATTACAGGCGTGAGCCACCGTGCCCAGCCAATTGTAAGGGTTTCTTATCAGACTTAAAGAGTCTGTTCTATCAGTAATTCCAAAAGGGAGGAGGGTATAATGAAGCATATCTGATGCCCCCTTTCCACTTCCCATCATGGCTTGAACTAGTTTTTCAGGTAAACTTTGGAATGTCCTTGCTGAAAGGAGGGGTCCATTTAGATGGTCAAGGGCTTAGAATTTTACTTTTGGTTTACACAACCAACTGAACAGACTCCCTCTTGGCCAAGGGGTTCCCAAAGAAACCTGAAAAACTGAATTTCCAGCCATCATGGGAAGGAAAGTTGGACACACCTCATTATACCCCCTCCTTTTTGGAGTTTAGGAACAACTGACCAGCATTAATATTAAAATAGAGATCGTAAGACTGACAAAACAGACTCTTTGTGGCAGTAAGATACCAAATTCCAACCTGACTGTGGTATAGCATCACATGACAACAGACCCTGGAGGAAATCAAAATATTTTGCCCCCAAATATATTTCTTTGACATATTTTGAAATGGCCCTGCAAAACCATCTTTTCTGAGGAAAATCTGCATCCCTAGAGAATCTCCGTTAATGCAACCAGGCCTTTCCTTTCTAGGCCACTCCTGGATCTAGGAGAGATTAAATGAGAATCTGACACATTTAAGGTCTGAAAAGAGACATCTGGCATCTATTTTAAGAGTTAAAGAAAAAGGAAAGAAATATGTGGCTGGGTGCGGTGGCTCACACCTGTAATCCCAGCACTTTGGGAGGTCAAGCAGGTGGATCACCTGAGGTCAGGAGTTCGAGACCAACCTGGCCAACATAGTGAAACCCCATCTTTACTAAAAATACAAAAATTAGCTGGGCATGGTGGCAGGCACCTGTAGTCCCAGCTACTTGGGAGGCTGAGGCAGGAGAATTTCTTGAACCCAGGAGGCAGAGGTTGCAGTAAGCCGAGATCATGTCACTGCACTCCAGCCTGGGTGACAGAGCAGGACTCTGTCTCAAAAAAAAAAGAAAAAGAAACATGTAAAGCAGCTCAATAGTCAAAGACAGGTTTATTTTGGAGAATAAACCTGAGAGGGGCTTCTGGCCAATTTCGGTCAGGAGCACTCTCTCTTACAGACTAAGAGTATTTATTGCTTTTAGGGTGAGTGGGCTTATCACAGGCTTAGAATGTTTCTGTGTGGGGAAGAAGTTTATGGTGGGGTTGGAATATCTCTGGTCAGAGGGGAGATTATATTGGGGCTGACATCTCTACGGCCAGAGGGGAGGTTATCTCGGGGCTGGCATATCTCTGGTCAGGAAGGGGTTTATCTTATGGTTGGAATGTTTCTGGTGGGAGATGTCATTTGTGGTTTATGGTCATGCTGACCTTAGCCATTAGGCTGATGCCCTTTGGATTTAGGTGGTTTTTATCAAGGGGAACTTTAGAATGGCTGTGCTTGTCCAAGATGGCGATCCAAGATGGTCCTGTACTGTCATCTATTCCCTCCGAAGGTGGCTATCTATGAGGCTTCATCTACAAAACAAGAACTTTGTCCTCCACAATCCCCCTTATCTTAACTCAAGTATTCCTTTCTACTAACTTCAAGTCTTTAAACAAATCTTAATTCTTTCAAACCATTGCCAATCAGAAAATCTTTGAATCTACCTATGACCTATAAGCCCCCACTTCAAGATATTCCACCTCTTTAGGTTGAACAAATGTACACCTTCCTTGTATTGATTTATGATTTTACCTACAATTCTTGTCTCCCTAAAATGTATAAAACCAAACTGTAACCCAACCACCTAGGGCACACTTTCTTAGGACCTCTTGAGACTGTTCCCTGGGCCACAGTCACTCATATTGGCTCAGAATAAACCTCTTAAATATTTTTGCAGAGTTTGGTTTTTCCATTAACAAACTTTTAGTCTCCTTTTCCTGTGAGTTAATATTTCCTAGATCTCAATAAGGCAGATGGGGGTAGGGGGGCCTCAGAGAAAGCCTGTTTACTGTTTACCTCACTAATGTAAATTTCCTCTACAGACGTAAATCTCCCCCACAAAAGGACAGCTTTTCAGAACTATTCCTGTGTTGTAGCCCCTCTGAATAGCCATATCAAAATATACCAAAGAAGTATACTTTGGGGTAGCATATTTAGGTTTCTTTCCACAGCTAGGAAGACCGGAATGGTAAAAAATCATTTTCATCAGCTGGACACCGCAGCTCACGCCTGTAATCCCAGCACTTTGGGAGGCCCAGCTGGGCGAATCATGAGGTCAGGAGTTCGACACTAGCCTGGCCAACATGGTGAAACCCCGTCTCTACTAAAAATACAAAAATTAGCTGGGCATGGTGATGCATGCCTGTAATCCCAGCTACTCAGGAGGCAGAGGCAGGAGAATCACTTGAACCCAGGAGGCAGAGGTTGCAGTGAGCTGAGATCATACCACTGCACTCCAGCCTGGGTGACAGAGTGAGACTGTCTCAAAAAAAAAGAAAGAAAAAGAAAAACTCTTAGCCAAATTAAATTTAACAGAGTTTAATTGAGCAAAAAAAGATTCACAAATCGGGCAGCCTCCTGAGCCAGAGTTGAGAGAGACTCCAACACAATGATGTGGTAAAAGAAGACTGACAGAAAAAGGAAAGTGATGTACAGAAAACAGAAGTGAGATACAGAAACAGCTCTATCGGTTACAGCTCACCATTTGCATTATTTGAACATGATTTGAACAATTGGCCACCGTTAATTGGCCAAAATTCGGTGATTGGCACAAGAGTAGGTTACAGTCTGTTTACACATCCATTTCGGTTATGGTTCACTATGTACAGTGAAATCTTTAGGCCAAACTTAAAATATGTAAGGAAACAGCTGTAGGCTAAAATTGATTGAACAATTTTCCCCTTTTGGTCATCCTCTCAAATTTGACCAAAACTTTAGTCATTGATGTGACTATCATCACCATAAATGTACTTATTTTGTCTCAAAATCCACTGGGAAATAGCAGAGCAGTGAGTTTTGTAAAGTGGGAACAAGGACTTCAAGTTACATTTTGTTTTGTTTTGTTTTTGTTTTGAGACAGGTTCTCCCTCTGTTGCCCAGGCTAGAGTGCAGTGGCACAATCTCAGCTCACTGCAACCTTCACCTCCCAGGCTCAAGCAATCCTCCCACCTCAGTCTCCCAAGTAGCTGGACTATGGGTATGTGCCAATGTGTCCGGAATTGGTGGGTTCTTGGTCTCACTGACTTCAAGAATGAAGCCGCAGACCCTCGCGGTGAGTGTTACAGTTCTTAAAGGCGGCGTGTCCGGAGTTTGTTCCTTCTGATGTTTGGATGTGTTCAGAGTTTCTTCCTTCTGGTGGGTTTGTGGTCTCGCTGGCTCAGGAGTGAAGCTGCAGACCTTCGCGGTGTTACAGCTCACAAAGGCAGTGCAGACCCAAAGACTGAGCAGCAGCAAGATTTATTGCAAAGAGCGAAAGAACAAAGCTTCCACAGCGTGGAAGGGAACCGGAGCATGTTGCCACTGCTGGCTGGGGCAGCCTGCTTTTATTCCCTTATCTGGCCCCACCCACATCCTGCTGATCGGTCCATTTTACAGAGAGCTGATTGGTCTGTTTTACAGAGAGCTGATTGGTCCGTTTTGACAAGGTGCTGATTGGTGTGTTTACAATCCCTGAGCTGGACACAAAATTTCTCCAAGTCCCCAGAGAGCACTGATTGGTGCATTTACACACCTTGAGCTAGACACAGGGTGCTGATTGGTGTATTTACAAACCTTGAGCTAGACACAGAGTGCTGATTGGTGTATTTACAAACCTTGAGCTAGACACAGAGTGCTGATTGGTGTATTTACAATCCCTTAGCTAGACATAAAGGTTCTCCAAGTCCCCTCTAGACTCAGGAGCCCAGCTGGCTTCACCTAGTGGATCCCGCACCAGGGCCACAGGCAGAGCTGCCCACCAGTCCCGTGCCGTGCGCTTGCACTCCTCAGCCCTTGGGCAGTCGATGGGACCAGGCGCCACGGAGCAGGGGGCGGCACTCGTCGTGGAGTCTCAGGCTGTGCAGGAGCCCACGGCAGGGGCAGGGAGGCTCGGGCATGGTGGGCTGCAGGTCCCAAGCTCTGCCCTGTGGGGAAGCAGCTGAGGCCTGGTGAGAATTCGAGCACAGTGCCGGCGCTGCTAGGGGACCCGGCGCAACCTCTGCAGCTGCTGGCCCAGGTGCTAAGCCCCTCACTGCCCGGGGCTGGCAGCATCGGCTGGCTGCTCTGAGTGCAGGGCCCATGGAGCCCACGCCTACCCAGAACTCACACTGGCCCACTAGCGCCATGCACAGCCCCAGTTCCTGCCCGCACCTCTCCCTCCACACCTCCGTGCAAGCAGAGGGAGCCAGCTCTGGCCTTGGCCAGCCCAGAGAGGGGCTCCCACAGTGCAACGGTGGGCTGATGAGCTCCTCAAGTGTGCCAAGGCTGAGGAGGCACCAAGAGCAAGCGAGGGCTGCTAGCACGTTGTCACCTCTCACCAACACACCTGGCTAATTTTTGAATTTTTTGTAGAGACAGGGTTTTGCCATGTTGCCCAGGCTGGTCTCAAAGTTCTGAGTTCAAGCAATCTGCCCACCTCAGCCTCCCAAAATGCTGAAATTACAGGCATGAGGCACTATGCCCCACCTCAAGTTATTTTTCATAAAAGTTGGAATAGAGGGTACCACCTTATGCTGTAATATCTTATTTACAGGAGAAAAACAAAACCTGGTCTGTTCTAGGATCTGTTTCCTTAAAGTCTTAGTTTATGTCACTTTTAGCATAAGTGACTACATTTTTGTTTGGTCTTGTCTGTTGGGACCTAGTGTATGAGCTCTGTCTAAAACAATGGCCTCCCATAATTTTGTTTAAAAATTCCCCCTTTTTGGTCAGGTTCTCACTTAGGTGAAAATATGACCAAAACTTAGGGCCTTAGTGCCACTCTCATTACCATCATTTTGGGCATCTGGTCTCAGTACATCATTCATAGCTTATGATGTCCTTGTGATCAGACATTTCTTCAAGTTTTTGTCATCCCAGTTGAAGAGAAACCATTTGATATTCTAGAAATGGCTGCATGCAAACATTTAAAACTTTTGAGAGAATACAGCATGCCAGTGACACTACTATTATGACTATCAGGAGGATGATACCAAGAGTTTGGGGTATGCTCCCTAGCCAGGATCTCCATGAACCAAACCAACTAAACTAAAATGGATCAAAGAAAGAACTAGATAAAGGGTCTACTCGCCTTAACCAAACAGTCATTAATCTCCCTACAACTGAATCTCTATACTACTCAGTGTATTTCTCCATGGACAACAAGAAGTGCCAGCAACTACACATATACTTCTCTATTTAGCCAGTAAGTAGTCTAGAGTAATACTGTTATTTAGCATAACTTTCACAAGAGAATTTAAAGTCTACTGTGTAACCATAGCCTTTACAGTAGAATCTACTATAGAGCCTATCATGAGGGATACATTTCTAATCATTGCCTCATTTACTCCAAACTATGGAAAAAAGAGACCTAACAAATGATGCCCATAAAGAAGAGTGAAGATCTCCTAGCAATGTTATCTTTAACCCATGACGTAGGTTAAGAGGAGTGGACCAATGTTCTGTTTCTAATTATGTGATAACAAATATATCATTAAAATTTCTCACCCATGTTGGCCCTTCATCTTCCATCTATCAACTAGTCCATATATAAGGCTGGTTGCAAAATCCTTCAAAAATAAAAGTATGCCCCATGAGTACACAACAAACCACCTTTTTTATTTCTAGACATAGGCAAGGAAGAAAACTGAAAGATAGGAATCTCATGATAGCAGAGAAATCTTGATCTGTGATCTTGATAAAAAGCTGTCCATGTCAAAAATGCTATCTTCTTCTGGGGAGAAACTTCCCTGGTTAACTTTACCTTAAGGTTTCCAATGGGTATACAGATCCAAGAGTGTGAAGGGGCCCTTCTGAGTTGTGTTATGAACTCAAGGTTCAAGGTCTCAAAGTGTTGCTGCAGTGTGGATGGCAAGGATAGTCATTCTCTGGTGTTCTCAGAAGATCAAATCTTCAGGTCCTAGGCTGTGAAGGGGTTGATTGTCCTCAGTCAGTGGACCATGAAGAGCTTTTTTTTTTTTTTCAGACAGAGTTTCACTCTTGTTGCCCAGGCTGGAGTGCAATGGTGCAATCTTGGCTCACCACAACCTCCGCCTCCCGGGTTCAAGTGATTCTCCTGCCTCAGGCTCCCGAGTAGCTGCTATTACAGGCATCCACCACCACACTTGGCTAATTTTGTATTTTTAGTAGAGACAGGGTTTCTTCATGTTGGTCAGGCTGGTAATTATATATAATATATATATTTCCTACCTTTGACATATATAAAATATATATAATTATATCTATTATTATATATTATATATTATATATTATATATAACATCTATATACTATATACTATATATTTATATTTAATATAATAATGTATTATATATTAAATATATTATTATATTTTATATATAATATATAATTACATATTTAATATATAACATATATAAAATGTTATATATTTTATATATAATATATAATATATACAATATATTATAATATATAATTATATATTATAATATATAATATACATAATTATATTATATATTATATAATATAGTATATATATTTATATATATTTATATATAAATATATATACTTATAATTACATAAAATTATCTATATAATTTATATAGTACATATAATTATATGTAATTATAAATATAATTATATATACTATGATACATATATACTATATATAATATAGTATATATATACATTCAACGTGTGTCCGTGTTTTTCTTAAAAAAGGAAAACGACAAAGGAAAAACAAATAATGGATGGCTGTTGTCAATGGAAACTGTAAGGAGACTGTGTCCTCACTGCTCACGGATTGTTTATTGGTCAAAGGCCTCAGGAGGCCCAGGACACTTCACGGCCATCACGGTACCAACTGCAGCTATCACCTTTTTTTTTCTTTTTTTCATTTTCTACCTTTTGACATATATAAACACATATATTATATATACTATATACTATATAATATATATAATTATATTATATAGTATATAGTATATAGTATATAGTATATAGTATATAGTATATGTTATATATTATATATTATATGTTATATATTATAATTATAATATATAATTATATATTATATAAATTAAATATATTATATTTAGTATATTATATATAATATATAATATATATTATATATGTTATTATATTTATTATATATAATATATATTATATATATTATTATATTTATTATATATAATATATATTATATATATTATTATATTTATTATATATAATATATATTAAATAATATATATTATATATATTATTATATTTATTATATATAATATATATTAAATAATATATATTATATATTATAATTTATATAGTATATATAAGTATATAATTATAAATATATATTTTATATAATTATATATAAAAATAAATATATATAATTATATAATATATAACATATATATTATATAATATATATTTAATATATATTATCTTAAATATATACAATTATATATTATAATTTATATGGTATATACAATTATATATTATAATTTGCATGGTATATACAATTATATATTATAATTTACATGGTATATATGATTATATATAATTTATATGGTATATACGATTATATATAATTTATATGGTATATACGATTATATATATTATAATTTATATGGTATATACGATTATATATATTATAATTTATATGGTATATACGATTATATATATTATAATTTATATGGTATATACGATTATATATATTATAATTTATATGGTATATACGATTATATATATTATAATTTATATGGTATATACAATTATATATTATAATTTATATGGTATATAGTTATATATTATAATTTATATAGTATATACAATTATATATATTATAATTTATATACTATATACAATTATATATATTATAATTTCTATAGTATATACAATTATATATAATTACAAATATATATTTTTATATAATTATATATAAATAATAAATATATATAATTATATAATATATAATTATATAATATATTTAATATTATATTATATTAAATATATAATTATATAATATATATTTAATATATTATATTAAATATATACAATTATATATATTATAATTTATATACTATATAAATTATATATTATAATTTATATACTATATAAATTATATATTATAATTGATATACTATATAAATTATATATTATAATTGATATACTATATAAATTATATATTATAATTGATATACTATATAAATTATATATTATAATTTATATACTATATAAATTATATATAGTATATATATGGTATATGGTATATACAATTATATATTATAATTTATATGGTATATACAATTATATATATTATAATTTATATAGTATATACAATTATATATTATAATTTGTATAGTATATATAATTATAAATGTATATATTATATATAACATATAGTAATATATTTTATAGAATTATAAATTATATATAATATATAACATATATTATATATAATTATAAATTATATTATTATATATAACATATAATAACATATTTTATATAATTATAAATTATATTATATATACCATATATTTTATATAATTATAAATTATATATTATATATAACATATATTTCATATAATTATAAATTATATATAATATATAACATATAATATATTTCATATACTTATAAATTATATATTACATATAACATATAATATATATTATATAATTATAAATTATATATTATATATTATATATAACATATACATATACATTATATTATATATTATATAGTATGTTATATATACTATATATTGTATATAGTATATATACAATATATATTTTATATGACATACTATATATTATATATAATATATAGTATATAGTATATATAATATATGTATTTATATATGTCAAAAGGTAGGAAATGAAAAAAAGAAAAAAAAAAGGTGATAGCTGCAGTTGGTACTGTGATGGCCGTGAAGTGTCCTGGGCCTCCCGAGGCCTTTGACCAATAAACAATCCGTGAGCAGTGAGGACACAGTCTCCTTACAGTTTCCATTGCCAACAGCCATCCATTATCTCTTTTTCCTTTGTCTTTTTCCTTTTTTAAAAAAAACACAGACACACCTTGAATCGAGTTTCTTTGTATATGGAGGCTCCGTGTCTCTCTTTAAGCAGAGACCAGGCAAGACTTCAGAAAAACCCTCATGAGCACACTGCATTTCAAACATGTTAGACATGTAATTTTAAATGAAGTTTGTACAGCAGTGTCATTTTTTTGTCCCCCTAACCGATGTGAACTTTACTTTGTTTTAAAACTGATCAGTTTTGCCATGGGGCCAGAATTATTCCTTGTTAGAATTGCTCAATTCAAGTCTGCTGCTTTCCTACAATTTTTCAAATTTTATAATGGATTAAATACAATAAACTCTGCTTAACAAATAAGGTCTGTGTGAAACACAAAAAAAATAAATAAATAAAGGAAAGAGGTTTAATTGACTCACAGTTCAGCATGGCTAGGGAGGCCTCAGGAAACTTACAATCATGGCAGATGGCAAAGGTCAAGCAAGGCACCTTCTTAATAGTTTACCTAGAATATTCATGAAAACTGTGATAGTCACCATTTAAAGTTATTGCCCTGTTAACCATTTTTATAGTCTATGAATTTAGGTGTTTACCTGAGTAGGAAACATAAGGTTAAATCATAGGTATTTTACCAGTAACTTAGGATTTAGCTGTTTTCATTAAGTGAACAATATTGAATGTCTTATTTATCAAAAATTACACAAGCAAAGATGATTCTGTTTTGGGCTGGGTTTATGATTTTATATCCCTTATGGTAAATTCTGACACCTTATAGTATTCTGCAGGGATAAATATGAAGCTGCTTGCTCAATAAAAGAAAAATACTGATAATTCTTAAGACATTTCTAACATTATTTTACCAATAATTTTAAAGCCATCCTATTTATTAAAGATTTTACTAAAGTCACATGAACTTGAAAAGCATTTGGGTTTATTGTTTAATTCTACGAGCACACTTTAACTTCAGCCAAAATTTTGTACCTTATGGCCAAAAACACATAACAAAATATGTGTACATACACATAAACACACACACACAGACACACACATGCTCATACAAAGATCCTACAGCTTTTACTTCAGAACTCTAGCCATGAGATAGTAATACAAACTCCCTGTTTGCAAAAACAATAATGAAAAAAAAAACAATTGGATGCAAACAGTGAATTATATATCAGTAGGAAAGTAACAGCTGACTTAAAAAAGGCAGAAAAGAGAACAGAGAGGTGACAGAGAACTTAGGAACTTTATAGTTGCAGGTCGACCTTGGGGCCCTGAATTTTTTCTTCATGTAAATGTGCACAAAAAGACCACAATATGTCAATTTTGAAACACTTTCAAGTACAAGTGCCATAAAACCAATGGGGCACCCAAAAGGGGGTCATTCTCCTTGTTTTTCCCAACTCTTAGATTATGTTTCCTACTTTGTTTTTCCTCAAAATGACAAACTGAGTTGTGGCCTAGGGTTTAGTGTAGTGGATTGAAGTGTGCTGATTGTGGGTGGGACCCCACAGTGTATCACCACTGAGTTATTTCTGCCTTATTATGTGTCTCAGTTTCTCGCTAGAGGTCTAGCACCTTTGAGAAGGCTCAAAACAGAGTAACTGAGCTCCTGTATGCATTTCCTGGATGAGCCTTTTAAACGAATTTTGTTGGGGATTCCCTGTAGGGCTGCTGCACATTGCAGGGGATCAACCCCCAGACACTCCCACTCGGGCCCCAGTCACCTAGGAGCACCTTTCAGCTGGGAGGAGCAAAACACCCTTTCTCTTTGGAGCTGAGAAAACTCAGTCTCTCATTTTTCTAGTAAAACAACAGTTCAGTTCCTCATGCAAATGCACATACAGCCAACTGAGATGAATTTTGGGAGGAAAACCAATGGGAAAGACCCTTTAGAATGTACCTTCAAACTAGAAATGAAATGGGGTACCCAAAAGGGGATTGTTCTCCTTGTCTTTAGAAAAAGGCAATGAAGAATACCCTTTAGCATACTCCTCCAAACTAGAATTGGGATCCTAAACAACCACTTCCTAGGAGGAGGAAAAAAAAACCCACCAGCTCAGAATAAATCCAGGAGTATCAACCAAAGGAGGTTCAGGGCTCCCAAGTAGCTGGGACTACATGTGTGTGCCACCACACCCAGCTAATTTTTGTATTTTTAGTAGAGACAGGGTTTTACCATGTTGGCCAGGCTAGTCTCAAACTCCTGACCTCAGGTGATCCACCTGCCTCAGCCTCCCAAAGCGTTGGAATTACAGGCATGAGCCACGGCACCCAGCCCAGAAAAGTGTATTTTTGATTGACAGGTGTTCTTTTTAACTTAGCTATTGTTTCTTAGCTAAAATCGCCGAGTTCAGAGTAGAGTCTGTTAAGGAACAGGACAAAGAAAGTGCTCTCTATGCCTGGACTCAGCATGAACAGATCTGAAAGGGAGGCAAGCCTATTTTACCTGAGGGCCTACCTTTTATAAACACTTTATCTCCAATAGCTTTTTCACCTTCAGGGCAGGATAGTAACTAAGCCAAAAAGTTGACAGATTTAATTTTTCTTATCAATTAGTCACTTAAGCTTTTTCTTTGCCTTTGCTCAGGGATTTACTAAGGCAAAGGCAAAGAAAAATCTTAAGGGCAAATTAGATTAAATAAAAATACTGAAATCTTTGTACAAGTTTCTGCACATCAATAGGCAATAGATGAGACTAATTTGGGAGCCCTCACTTTCAAGTACACTTCTTCAAGTGCAGTCTTGTTTATCTGGAATGTTCCACTGCACCTTTAAATTATCCATAGTGAGATTTCACCATTTCTGTAAGCCTTCACTGCTTCCAGGGCCTAATACGTATGTATGTATAAGCTGGAAGGTATTCGGTTCTTCAGAAATTTAGGATCCCATTTTACCTCAAATATTGGCTTTGGCTCTCAGATCCCCTTGATCAACTTAGCCAATGATTTTTTTTCCTACCTAAGCCCCCAAGAAAAAGACACAAAAGGAGTAGAACACAAAAATCCCTGCAAATTTCCAAAAGTTTATACCCCCTGCAGTATTGCCATTTACTACAGGTTTCTTTCTGACTCAGATATAAGAAGCGTCACCAGGCGTGGTGGCTCACGCCGATAATCCCAGCACTTTGGGAGGCTGAGGTGGGCGGATCATCTGAGGTCAGGAGTTTGAGACCAGCCTGACCAACATGGTAAAACCCCATCTCTAGTAAAAATACAAAATTAGCAGGACATGGTGGCGCATGCCTGTAATCCCAGCTACTCAGGAGGCTGAGGCAAGAGAATCACTTGAACCCGGGAGGTGGAGTCTGCAGTGAGCCAAGATCACACCATTGCACTCCAGTTTGGGCAACAGAGCAAAACTGCATCTCAAAAAAAAAAAAAAAAAAAGCCTCTAACTAGATCCAAACCAATTAATTATTAGAGCCAATCTAATCCTGGATCCAGTCCAGTTTCTGTCATGACTTCCAAACCCAGTTTGGATCAGAAAATTGCTCAGAGAACTCAGAGAGCTCAAAACACAAATCCATGGAGCTTTGGAATCCAAGAGAGAAGTTATGATGATCCCCAGTTGCTGCAAGAGAGCAATGGACACAATGGGCCCGGTGGGTACCTCGATTAGTCACGCAGCATTCCTGGGGGTCACTGGAAGCTCTACTTCAGATCCCACTTCTGATGTCATCTGTTAAAAGAAAATTCTTAGCCAAATTAAATTTAACAGAGTTTAATTGAGTAAAGAATGATTCACAAATCAAGCAGCCTCCTGAGCCAGAGTAGATTCAGAGACTCCAGCACAGCCACATGGTGGAAGAAGATTTATGGACAGGAAAAGGAAAAATGTACAGAAAGTGGAAGTGAGGTACAGAAATAGCCAGATTGGTCACAGCTCAGGGTCTGCCTTATTTGAACACCATTTGAACAGTTGGACCCTTTTGATTGGCCAAAACTTGGTGACTGGCTCAAGAGTAGGTTATAGTCTGTTTACACACCCATTTAGGTTAGAGTTCACTGTATATGGAGAAACTTTTAGGCCAAACTTAAAATATGGAAGGAGGCAGCTTTAGGCTAAACTTGATTGAACAATATCTAAATGTGAAAGGCAGCAATTCTCAACAGAGTGAAGCGCAACCCTGTCTGTGCTCTATGTGTGCTACAGCATAAGTGTTACAAACGCTGGGTAAAAGTGGTTGGAAAACACTCATTTAAAGGACATATCAATTATCCCTCTCCCCAGGTTCACCTAGCTCCATCTCAACATTAATTCAGACTATCAGAAAGCAACAAGCCTGACCCAAATTACTGTTGCTGCATTTAAACAATTGCTGTATTAAATCCCCATACTGGATCTTTTAAGATTTCATATAATAGCCTTGGCTTTTGTACAGAAAAGAGGAAAAGGAGGCTCAGCAAAGGAAACTGCTAGTGACAGAGGTGAATAATGGTCAAAGAGAACAGGGAAAATAATCCTAAAAAATAAAAAAATAAAAAAACTAGGTTCAGGGTTTAGGTATAAGAAGCCATTTCAGACCATAGAAAAAACAGAAAGGCCAAAATTAGACTTTTAGCTCAGAATCAACTCTCTTTTCTGTCATCCTTCTTGTCTGCACTGAGTCGAGGAAGGAGAGATCAATTGTATGGAACTGAGGGCTAAAGGCCTCTCATTTTACCTCCCAGGTTGCTTGGTTGTCATATCTGCCTGTTGCTGTAAGCAGGACCCAAATGAACAATGGGCCTGTTCACACTGGAGCCTTTTCCAGAATGATACCATCTGCTTGTGTGATTCATCCATCTGGAGGGATATGAAGCGCAAAAGCCATAGCTGTTTCTCAGCCACAGCCTGGCTACAGGAAGAAACCAAACAAGTCTGGAAGCTACCCTCAAGGCAGAAGAACTAGTAGAGTTGAGATCTCATGGGGAAAACATAGGGGATAAAGTCATGGAAGAAGTTATAAAAGCTGTTTCTCATATTATTTCTCTTCACTAAAATAAAACAGTAAAGAAGACACTGGATAATGAGAATTACTAAATGCAGTTCACTATCTTAAATTAATAATGACAGTTATTGTGCAATTATTTTTCCATTTGACATCTAAGTTTTGCTAAAAAACATTTCAAACTTTTTTCTTCCTCAAAGTTTGTACAAGATGAAACTTCTAGATCTGGTAACAGGACAAAAAAAAATCTGGAAATGTTAGATAAAATATAACAACAACAACAAAATTGTTTTATTAGATATGCCTATGGCTTAGATGTTTGTTCCTACCAAATCTTGTGTTGAAACTGAATCCCCAGTGTGGCGGTATTGGAAGGTGGGGCCCAATGGGAGGTATGTGAGTCGTGGGGGCAGACCCTTCATGAATATATTAGTGCCTTCCCTCAGGGATGAGTGAGTTCACACTCTATTAGTTCCCACAGAGCTGGTTTAGAAAGAGCCTGGCACCTCCCCTACCTCTCTCTAGCTTCCTCTCCTGCCATGTGGTCTCTACACATGCCAGCTCCCCTTCTGCCTTCTTGCGTAAGTGCAAGCAGCCTGAGGCCCTCACCAGATGCAGATGTCCAATCTTGAACCTTCTAGCCTCAGAATTGTAAGCAAAATAAACCTTTTTCCTTATAAATTGCCCAGCCTCGGGTAATCCTTTATAGCAACACAAAACAGACTAGCATAGATACTCAACTGAGTTCGCAAGAACAAAAGTGTGAAAGCTGAGGGCCTATATTATGTAGGGGCAAGGGAAGAAAGATAAAGAGAAGAAATAAACATCAAACTAGGAGACCAAAGTCTTGGGCCACAATGAGGAGGAGTTGAAGCTAAGCCATGTGTAGATTTGAAATCTAAATACCTAAATGTATATACACATGGGACACAGGAATCCTCAAGCCAAGAAATAAACATAAATATTGTTCCTGGGCTGGTGATTTCCTCAGAGTACCTAAAAATAACAAACAGAAATCCACAATTGACAGAATCTTTCTCAATCCAGAGTGCTTGAAATTCACAGACACAAAAAATCCCTACAAAGAAGAACTTACAGTTAATAATAAAGTAATAATAAAACATACATAGAACTAATACACCATGAACAAGAGTCAGCCTAGACAACAAACTAGGTAATAGAATCTGAAACACTATGATAAGTAGATTCTTTAATGTTTTAGATATATAATTATATTTATTTATTTTACATATTTGTTTATTTATTTATGTATAGAAAGGCTCTGTCTCTGTCACCCAGGATGGAGTGCAGTGGTATAACTGCCGGATGGGTTCACCTTGACCGCTGCCTAGACAGAACCAATTTATCAAGACAGGGGAATTGCAATGGAGAAAGAGTAATTCACACAGAGCCGGCTGTGTGGAAGACTGCAATTTTATTATCACTCAAATCAGTCTCCCAGCGCATTCGGGGATCAGAGTTTTGATTTTTTGTTATTTTGGTTTTTTTGAGACGGAGTCTCACTCTGCCACCCAGGCTGGATGGAGTACAGTGGCGCGATCTCGGCTCACTGCAAGTTCCGCCTCCCGGGTTCACGCCATTCTCCTGCCTCAGCCTCCTGAGTAGCTGGGATTACAGGCGCCCAACACCACGCCCGGCTAATTTTTTGTGTTTTTAGTAGAGACGGGATTTCACCGTGTTAACCAGGATGGTCTCGTTCTCCTGACCTCGTGATCCGCCCGCCTCAGCCTCCCAAAGTGCTGGGATTACAGGCGTGAGCCACCAAGCCCAGCTGGGGATCAGAGTTTTTAAAGATAATTTGGCGGGTAGGGGCTTGGGAGTTGGGGATTGGTCAGGTTGGAGATGGAACCACAGGGGGTCTAAGTGAGGTTTTCTTAATGTCTCCTGTTCCTGGGTGCGATGGAAGAACTGGTTGAGCCAGATTATTGATCTGGGTGGTGTCTGCTGATCCATCGAGTGCAGGGTCTGCAAAATATCTCAAGCACTGATCTTGGGTTTTACAATAGTGATGTTTTCCCCAAGAGCAATTTGGAGAGGTTCAGACTCTTGGAGCCGGAGGCTACATGACCCCTAAATTGTAATTTCTAATCTTGTAGCTAATTTGTTAGTCCTGCAAAGGCAGACTGGACCCCAGGCAAAAAGGGGGACTTTTCAGGAAAGGGCTGTTACCAATTTTGTTTCAGAGTCGAACCATGAACTGAATTCCTTCCCAAAGTTAGTTTGGCCTATGCCCAGGAATGAACAAGGACAGCTTAAGGGTTAGAAGCAAGATAGAGTCAGTTAGGTCTGATTTCTTTCACTGTCATAATTTCCTCAGTTATATTTTGGAAAGGCTGTTTCAATGGTGTGATCCTAGCTTACTGCAACCTCAAACTTGCGGGCTCAAGCAATCCTCCCACCTCAGCCTCCCAAGTAGCTGAGACTATAGGCATGTGCCACCACACACGGCTACTTTTTAAAAAATGTTTTGTCAGAGACAGGATTGATATAGTTTGGATGTTTGTCCCCTCCAAATCTCATGTTGAAAGGCAATCCCCAGTGGTGGAAGTGGGGCCTAGCAGGAGGTATTTAGTCATGGGAGTGGATATCTCACGAATGGCTCGGTGCCCTCCCTGTAGTAATGAGTTCACTTGAGATCTCCTTGTTCAAGGGTCTGGAGTCTCCCTGCTCTCTCACCGTGTGACTTGTCAGCTCCCCTTCCTTTCTGAAGATGGAGTTTCACTCTGTCACCCAGGCTGAAGTGCAGTGGTGCAACCTCTGCCTCCTGGGTTCAAACGATTCTACTGTCTCAGCCTCCTGAGTAGCTGGGATTACAGGCATACTCCACACACCCAGCTGATTTTTGTACTTTTAGTAAAGATGGGGTTTCACCATGTTGGCCAGGCTGGTCTCAAACTCCTGACCTCAAGTGGTTTGCCCACCTCGGCCTCCCATAGTGCTAGGATTACAGGTGTGAGCCACCGCACCTGGCCTTTTCTTCATAAATTACCCAGCCTCAGGTATTCCTTTACAGAAACACAAAAGGGACAAACACAGAGGTCTTGCTATGTTGCCCAGGCTGGTCGCTAACTGTCCTCCCATCTCAGCCTCCCAAAGTGTTGGGATTACAGGCATGAGCCACCATATCCAGCCCTTTTTAATTTTTTAATTGACAAATAAAATTTTATATATTTATTGCATACAACATGTTGTTTTGAAATATATATACGTTGTGGAATGGCTAAATTGAGCTAATTAACATATGCATTATTTCACAAACATCATTTTTTGCAAGAACACTTGAAATCTACTCTCTTAGCAATTTAAGAATTCAATACATACATTAACTGCAGTCACCATGCTGTATGATGAATATTCTTAAATATTAAAGAAATTAAGAATAAACACCAAGGATAAAAAAGAAAACACCATGAGGAAAAAAAAATAGAAACATCTGGAAAATAATCAAATAGACTGACAAGGAAAAATAGTCAATGAAATTAAAAACTCTTCTGACACATGCTACAATATGAATGAACCTTGAGGACATTATGCTAAATATGAGTCAGCCACAAAAGACTATACGATTCCACTTATATGAGCAACCTGGAGTAGTCAAATTCATAAAGACAGAAAGTGGAACGGTGGCTGCCAGGGGCTGGGGCTGGGAGCAAGGGGAGTGGTTGTTTAATGGGGACAGAGTTTCACTTTTGAAAGATGAAAAGAGTTCTGGAGACTAGCTGTACAGCAATGTGAATGGGCTTGGCACTACTGAACTGTACACTCAAAAATGATTAGGATGGTACATTTTATGTTATGTTTACTTTAGCACAATTAAAAGAAAATTTTAAACTCATTTGAATGGATTAAAACATGAGTTAGGCCTGGCTAAAGCAAGAAGTCAATTGTGTTTGAATCCCAGCTGAGCCACTTACCACTTACATGACCTCAGGCAAGTTACTTAACCTCTCAACGTCCAGATCTCTCAGAGGAGGGCAATAGCAGCACAGTTCTCACAGAGCAGTTGTACAGAATAATGAGATATCACAAGGAAAAGTCAAACGGACACGGTTCCCAGTGTTCCATTGCTAGTAACTATTATATTCTACTCTGCCATGTGCTTTACCTTCCTTTCCTATTCCCAGCTCATAGGTCCCGCTTTCTGATTCTTCCCAACAAGAATGATTTACTTTCCTATGCCAGAAATGAAGTTCTGGGACAAAAAAAATATAAGGAGGTAAATCTGTGTATACTGGAAATTTCTCTAAGAGAAATAGATTGGTATATGGTAATTTTCCAGAAAAGTCAGGCATTCTTAGGCATTGTTCTCTGTCCTTGTGCAAGAACACTTCTTTTTGCCTATCATTGGTAAAGGTTTTTTGTTTTGTTCTGTTTTGTTTTTTTGTTTTTGGACAAGGAAAGTAACTTAAAAGCAGGGATAGACACCATTGTTCTGAGAGATGGTATACCTTATTTCATCTAATCTAAGATATTTATAGATATGTCTATATTTCATTTTAACGTATTAGAAGTTGGGATTGTCTTATAATTGCTAGTATGTTATAATTTAATTGGAAATAACCTTTTCTTTCTTAGTGGACCACAAAATAATGGTGTACCTTGAAAGTCCTAGGCAGGAGGATTGCTTGAAGCCAGGAGTTCAAGACCAACCTTGGCGAACATAGAGAGACTCCCATCTGTATAAAAATTAAAAAATAATAAAAAGTAATGGTGTATTTACAACCAATGGCTTCTTTGCTTTGATGAAACAGGAGTATTTTGTAAACCAAAGGAATATGTTCATCATCAGCTGGAGCTGCCATGATACCAGGAAAGAAAATGTAGAAAAGGAAAGGAGGTGCCCTCATAGCCATGAGAGCTTCCCCAAAATTTGTGTTGTCCTCAGTGTTTCTCTCTGGGTTAGCCACAGTGGTGCTGCTTTATAGATACTCTAACATCTCAAAGGAGGGCTGATATTCAGCTGGTAGGCACTGGTATGGACAATAGTTATTTCTGATGCACATCTATTCTGAGTGGCCAGAGCTCATGCCATACAAGTTGTTCATATTTATAATATTTCCCTGGGCTATAAGTTGTCTCAAATCTGTTTAGGCAGCAAGCAGGGTATAAATCATAAATATACAGTCTTTCTGAACATGTGCACTTTCAATAAAATGATATATTACATCACTGGATATGAATATTAATATTAAAGTTTTCATATTTAAAGCATTGTCAGTGATTTGAGTGCTGCAAGGAAGCATCATCGAGAAATCTGGAAATAAGACCAAGCTGTCTTCTCAGAATTAAAAGATAAATCAAAACATAATGAATCAGAACAGGAATATGTCGTCCTACAAAAATGTCAGAATGGCCCAGGCCTTCAAAACAAAGCTATAATCTGGTTAAATACATTAATTTGCATGAGGAAAGAACAGGCCAACTGGAAACAGATTACATAGCCTGAAAAGCCTAAAAAGAAAGTCAGAGTCAATGCAGGCAGTGACCAACCCAGGATAGGCCTCGGGGAAAAGTACTGTGGCCCAATGCAGTTTTGTCACTGTTCTGAAGATAGATACATCTTTATCCGATGCTATTAAAGATTGGACTCATAACCAGCTATTCCTGTTCTAGCCTCTGGCTCACCAAACAACTTCCCAATTATAGTTCAGCTTTTCAAGCATGGCATACATACAGGGAAGGAAGGATCAGCAGGAGGATTCAGGCATCCAGTCCTTTTGGCATTTATAGTTCTTGTTGCTTCATAGGAAATTAACAAACTGGCCTTCTTGTTTCATTCATCACTGCTATGACCTCAGCTAAGAGGACATCACTACAACTACTCCCACCAGCTGCACAAGAGCCATGCAGAGGAGAGAAGAGACTACAAAAAAACTCACCCTTGAACTCAGAGAGGCAGTGAAGCATCCCAGCAGCAGCTAGTGTGATAGGAGCAGCACAATCACAGCCCTTCTCAGATGTGCTGTGTCCACAGGATGAGCAAGACCAGGGGCTGGTCCGGAAGGAGCTCACTGCCTAGTACTCAGTGTAGAGTCACCTTCCAATAAATAGTAGCTGGATCAGTAAATGAATAAACTGCAAAAACTTGCAGAATATAGCATTTTGTCTTAGTCAAGGAGGCCAGTCCTCCATAAGCCTTCCATTGCTGCACATTTCCTGACTTCTTGAATCCTATTGTGCCCATCTGTGCATTGCTCCCTGCTCACTGTTCTGCCCAAACTGCCCTTCTCAGCCTTTCCATCACAGTGAGCAGGGTGTAAACCACCACCACTCCAAGTTCCCAAACATCATTATTTGGGGACAGGAGGGAGTTCCTGTCTTCTTGCCAAAGTCCTGGCACACTTAACTGCCCTACATAGTTCCAGTTGTTTGTGTTGTTTTAACTTTTTTTTTTTTTTTCTAAGATGGAGTTTCACTCTTGTTGCCCAGGCTGGGGTGCAACGGTGCAATCTTGGCTCACCGCAACCTCCGCCTCCCAGGTTCAAGCGATTCTCCTGCCTCAGCCTCCCGAGTAGCTGAGATTACAGGCATGTGCCACCATGCCCAGCTAATTTTGTATTTTTAGTAGAGACGGGGTTTCTCCATGTTGGTCAGGCTGGTCTCAAACTCCTGACTTCAGATGATCTGCCCACCTTGGTCTCCCAAAGTGCTGGGATTACAGGCATGAGCCACCACACCCAGACTGTTTTAACTTTTTAGCTAAATCCTTAACTTCCCTTCTCACTTTCCTCTGAGATCTTTGTTGTGCTCTCAGATTCATGAATTTTTACCCTAATTCTCTCACCATCCATCACATCCTCATTCCCTTATTTCACAATGCCTTATCTAGCCAATCACTATGATTACCACAAATTTCTTTATTGCCAGTGCCTAATAACATAAACCACAACATCCCATTAATTCTGCAAGGACAAAATGACATTCATGATTACAACACATTTGTCTCTCTATCATGGCCTCTGGGCTGTAGCTGTAGAGCATGTCCTCTATGAGTTGGTGATGGCAGGGATTCAGAGTGCACATTACAATCATCTGAGGACCTAAACAATACCCTTGCTTGGGCCTCACCCGAGAGATGCCAATTTAATTTCACCGAGTTTCTAATGTGTAATGGTCTGGGAACCTGACCATCAGCTTCATGAGTAGATGCCGTGCTCCTCCTCTGTGCAACTCTGCCAAACCCAAACTAAACAGAGCAAACAAGCCTGATTTCAACCCCCTGCAAGACTGTGGCAGCTTTCCTCTAGACTGGTGATCTATGTCACCCCTTAGTTATGTCTGTAGGAGGTTATGTGGGTTCAGTCAATTACTGAGGGGAATCTTGCTAAAAGATGTTTACAGATGCATTTAGAAGGTTGTGTAAAACATTGCAGCTTTTTCCCATCCAGTCCCTTGATACCTGGGGTCACTTTGCATTCTGATCTCTCTTCTCTTCCTCCACCCTGGTCCTTTCCCCTCTCTTCTGTCTGCTTCCCAGGGTCCCAACTCCTCCCTGGAATGGCAGTAGCAGAACCTTCCTGGGAATCACTGGAGGAGGCTTTTGATCCCAGAATCGAGTGTCCTCAGAAATAAAGTTTTCCATTACTTATACTCACTGGCTCATAGCATAAGTTCAGTACATTATTATGTTCATTATGTCTATGTTTTCCACAATTTTACCAAAGTCTGCTCCTGGGGAGGAGTAATGTGAAAGAGAAATTAGGAAGGAAGAACTGGAGAAAATTCTATACACCCTCTTATAACAAACAGCTTGGTCTTTACTCATTAAGCAATGAAAGCAATTAGATTCTGCTCTGCCTTCTCCCACTGCCGAGGGGAAGCGCTTCCCAAAAGTGAGCCACACCAGGCGTGGTGTGCACAGCCTGTCCCACATGAGAGCGTTGACAGGAACTGTAAGTCAAGGGCCCCAGGAGGTGTGTGAGAGTCATAGAGAGCCTTTTCCTCTCATCAAAGCAGGGCACACTAAGCTGCTCCTAGCCCAGGAGGACACCCTGGTTCCAAATCAAACCAGCTGTTTGCTGGTAACCATGTTAGCCAAGTTCAGAGTGGGAGGGGAGATAGGTTCTTACACATCATTTCCTGCATCCACTCCCTTAACGGGGCCCTTTATCATCCCACTCTGTTCCTTTCCTTCCTGGATGACTACAGTCTGCTTCTCACCGTGATGCCACTACTGGGGCACATAGCAGAGATCCCCAAACATTTGTTATCAGGTTTGAGATAACCAGTGTCATCATCAGGGTTCTCCATAGGAACAGAACCAATAGGGTGGGGGAAGTAGGGAGACAGAGATTAATTTAAGAAATTGGCTCACACAATCATGAGAGCTGATAAGTCTGAAATCCACGAGTTAGGCTGGCGAGTCCAGCAATAAGTTGATGTATTAAGTCTGACGATCTGGAGGCAGAATTCCTTCCTCTTCAAGGGACCTGAGTCTTTTAATGACTTCCGCTGACTCAGTGAGACCCACCCATATTGTGGAGAGCAATCTGCTTTCCCCAAAGTCCGCTGATTTAAATGTTAGTCACCTATTCTTAAAATACCTGCACAGCAACATCTAGATTTGCAAATAGCTGAACACAATAATTCAGTCAACTTGATACATAAAATTAACCATCACGATCAGAGTGAAGGGAGGATGTCGACCAGAGAACCTCTAAGTGAGAGAAGGACATACTGCCCCCAGCTGTGCACCTCATCTCACTGGAAACCCTGAAAACCTTCAGAAAGGGAGTTAAAGAAAGGGAAAAAAGGCCGGGCACGGTGGCTCACGCCTGTAATCCCAGCACTTTGGGAGGCCAAGGTGGGTGGATCACTTGAGGTCAGGAGTTCGAGACCAGCGTGGCCAACATGGTGAAACCCCATTTCTACTAAAAATACAAAAAAAAAAAAGAAAATTAGCTGGGCGTGATGGCAGGTGCCTGTAATCCCAGCTACTCAGGAGGCTGAGGCAGGAGAATCACTGGAACCCGGGAGGCAGAGGTTGCAGTGAGCTGAGATTGTGCCATTGCACTCCCGCGTTGGGGGGCAGAGCAAGACTTTATCTCAAAAAAAAATAAAAGAGGGAAAAAAAGCCCACAGTGGGAGCTCAACAGCTGCAATCATCTAGAAGGCACACAGTCTACATTCTGAGCAGAACACCCTCACTTCTTGAACCGCTAGATAAATTCCTCATTCTCCACATTAGTTTAAGCCATTTAACTTAGTATCGAAGTTGCTCACAAGAGACAAAAAGAACTGCAAAGAAATCTGAAGCTTACGCATATTCATATATTACTTTACTCACATAATATTGTCAGTAGTATTAGTATTGTGACTTCAAAACTGTTTTATGAAAATGTAGAAGAAAGCAAATAAAATATATTGATGTTATTAGGAACAAAGATTTTCAACGTAAGAGAAATTAGATGATATATAACATAAAACAGAGTTAAGAAGGGAAAAAACAACTCTGTAAAGTTGAAATTGGAACTCTCAGTTCAAACACATGATTGTGTATTTCTGAGCTTTGTCCACTAGAAGGAACTAAGAGCAATGAGATCCCAGTAGTGCTAAGCACAAATAGTACCCACACCTCGGCTTTTAAATACAGTTCCCTATTCAAAAGGATGAGAAATCCTCAGAGAAATGGCTGGTTCCAGGGCTCGGGCAGAGAACACAAAAGATGAGCCAAGGACATCTTCTGCCAGAAAGTAAAAGAAGTACGTAAGGACCAAGGGGGTTATATCAAAAGAAAACAGGAGGAAAACTGTGTGGCGACCTCTACCAAAGTAAACATACCCTATGAGCAAGGAATTCCACTTCTACCCCTATTCTCCTTACCCAAAAAAATGTGTTGACCCCAAGTACCAGAATGTTCATAGGGGCACATAATAGTCAAAACCTGGAATCATCCTTAATGTCCACCTACACTAGAATGAATAAATAAATGGCAGGAGCAATGAAAAACAAAGAACTGCAGCTGCACACACAAGAGTGAATCTCATGAGCATACAGACGTGCAAAGGAACCAGACAGAAAAGCGTACATGTGGTATGATTCCATTGACACAAAATTCCAAAACAGCCAAACTGATCAATAGGTTTAGAAGTAAAGCTGGTGGTTACTGGTGTGGGGACAAAAGTGATAGGAAGAGGGTGTGATTGGGGCTTCAGGCTCCTGGTAATGTTTTGTTTCTTGATCTAGGAGCTAGCTATTCATGTGTTTGCTTTGTGAACATTCTTTGAACTATAGACTTGATTTTTTGTGCATTTATCTATATGTTATATTTCAATGTAAAAATCATTTACTTTTTAAAAAGCCAACTTGTAGGCTGGGCACAGTGGCTGATGCATGTAATCCCGGCACTTTGGGAGGCCAAGGTGGGCAGATCACCTGAGGTCAGGAGGTCGAGACCAGCCTGGCCAACATGGTGAAACACTGTCTCTACTAAAAATACAAAAATTAGCCAGGCACAGTGGCAGACACCTGTAATCCCAGCTACTCAGGAGGCTGAGGCAGAAGAATTGCTTGGACCCAGGAGGCAGAGGTTGCAGTGAGCCAAGATCGCACCACAGCACTCCAGCCTGGGCAACAAAGTGAGACTCCATCTCAATAAATAAATAGCCGACTTGAAGGGTTTCCCACGGGCCGAATTGGATACAATTTAACGTCAAAAAGGATAATGATGGTAGCTCTTTATTAATGAAGATACGTGAATCCCAGGGCAGGGAGTGGGGAGGATAAACAGGACAGCTCTTCTTTACAAAAGTAAGACACTCATAAATGTAAAAGAAATGACAAAATTCGAAGATCACCATTTTGTAACCCCTGATATAATCATTGATTCATGTAACAATCACCAGTGGAAGCCAAAACCTTTGGATGAAAACTTGTTAGCATACGGGCTATCCCTAGAGTACCAAAGTACCATCCCAGGGACCACTTACTTTTACAAAGAAGAGAAACTGGGCCAGGCACAGTGGCTCATGCCTGTAATCCCAGCACTTTGGGAGGCCAAGGTGGGCGGATCACAAGGTTAGGAGTTCGAGACCAGCCTGGCCAACATGGTGAAACCCCGTCTCTACTAAAAATTCAAAAATTAGCTGGGCATGGTGGCACACGCCTGTAGTCCCAGCTACTTGGGAGACTGAGGCAGAAGAATTTCTTGAACCCGGGAGGCAGAGGTTGCAGTGAGCTGAGATCGCGCCACTGCACTCCAGCCTGGGTGATAGAGCAAGACTCCATCTCAAAAAATATATAAAATAAACAAAGAAGAGCAACTGTACCTTTGAAATGGAGAGGTATGGTGGTGACCACCTTAATCCAGTGATTGAATTTCACATCACAAAAAATGGAACACTGTGGCATTACATGCTTCCTGATATGATGCAAATTCAACAACCTAATCTAAGGCAGTAGCGCTTCTTAATTGCATTAGAATCACCCGAGGAGCTTTTCAAACTCCTAATGCCAACTACGGCAGAATCTACTTGGGCAGGGGCGGGGGCCGGAGTTGCCAAGCATCAGTATTTTTTAAAGCTTCCCACATGATTGTAATGTACAGTTAAGATATTCTGAACAAAAACGTATACTCGAATCTAACTTCTAGTTTAAAGAATATACAGGAGATAGAGCAGTGGTTCTTACTTCTGACCTCATATTAGAGCCACCCGGAGATTTTTGAAAGTAGGGCCACCTGGGCTGCATCCCAAGGGCTTCTGATTTAACTGGATTAGAGCAGCACTCAGACATTTGTATGAAATTTCTAGGTTTTTAGTTTTGTATTTAAAACCCCCAGTGAGAACAGAGTGGACCAATTTATTACTTCTTCTTTGTAAGGCCAATTAATCAAAACAAGGAATTCTAATGTACAGCCCGGGTTAAAACTTACTGGGAAAGAGGAACAGGTTAACATCAAGAGAAAACACAATCTAGAATGTGGGACATTCTATAAGGCTGCGAGCCTGGATTCTTCAAAAAGTCAATGTCATGGAGGGAAAAAAAGAGGGATAAAACATTCTATGTTAAAATGAAGTTTTAAAATGTAATGTATGCATTAATTTGAGAGAAACAGCTACAAAGACATTTTGGAGGAATTAATGCAGTTTGTTTGTTTGTTTGTTTTTCTGAGACAGGGTCTCGTTCTGTCATCTAAGCTGGGGTGCCGTGAGTGGTGTCATCATAGCTCACTGCAGCTTCAACCTCCTGGACTCAAGTGATCCTCCCACCTCAGCCTCCTGAGTAGCTAGGCCTATAGACATGCACCACCACTCTTGCCTTTTTTTTTTTTTTTTTTAAGAGACGTCATTTTACTATATTGCCCAGACTGGCCTTGAACACCTAGGCTCAAGCAATCTTCCTAAAGTGCTGAGATTACAGGCGTGAGTCACCATGCCCGGCCAGAAATGTAAATATTTAGTTGATTTTAGATAGTTAATTTTCTTAGCAGGGATAATGACATTTTGTTTCTGTGGATAAATATCTGTATTCTTAAGGGATGAAATGCTGAATATCGAAAAGTGTTGTGTCATCATGTGTACATAATTTGCTTTCAAATGGCACACAAAAAAGAAAACCAAAGTACAGAGAAAAATAAAGCAAGTATTGCAAAATATTAACAATTGTGAAATTTATGTGGAGGGCATATGGGATTACACCATAATAATCTTTCAACTTTTCTGTGTGTTTGAAATATTTCATAACCGTAAGTTGAAGAAATGAGAAAGATTTTAAATAGAGATAAAAACTCACTTACAAGGCCATGGAATTTCCATCTGTTTTACTTCTCTGCAGGCAAGTCTACTCACAACTCCACCACACTCAATCAACCTTACACCACACCCAGCAATTAAAGGCTGCCTTTCTCAATCTTTGCCCACTAGATTTCGTGCATTCAAACAAGTGTAGAAAATGCTGGGTTATATTGGATTTATCCACAATCAGGCATGGCAAACACCACCAGGAAGCACTTCTCTCTTGAGCTGACCTGCCTCGCCTATGACATCCAAGAAGACTGGCAGTTATGGTATCCATGACAACTTTCCTATCTCATTTGGGCTTGAGAATCAGGCTTCCTCTAGTCTCTGACAGAGGCACTTCAAAGTAACAAGCCTGCAAATATTCTCATGGCACAATACAAGCCATATATGAAATACAAAACTATCTACCTCCCTGCCCTGGCTAGTCCCTTGCTGTGGGACAAAAATGCTTAAGCCATGATGGTAGGGCTCTCCTGGTAAGTATTTAGCAAAGGAAAGGAAGCTTTACAACATGACAAATGGCAAAAGGTGATTTCACTCTTTTCCCCCAGAATCATCAGAGGCTCTGCCCCACCTGTTAAGACTACAAAGCGGATAAAATACTGCCAGTCTGCCAGGAGCTCATGGTCAACCACAGTGGACAAATACCATGCTTCTAATTAGGCAGACTATAATAAACTGCATGATAGGGGTGTTTCCAGAGTGGTGTGGGTCTACAGAAGAGGGAAGTATTAATTCCATCTGTGGGTGTTGGAGAAAGCTACACAACGGAGTTCCTTGGCTTTTGACGGGGGAAGTGTTGAGAAATGAAGGGAAGGGCATCCAGGCCAGGCAGAACCATGCCAGCAAATGCACCAGTATGTGAAAGCACCCAGTGTGTTCAGGAAGTGGCACCAATTTGGTGAGGGGGAGAACAAGATAGGACCAAGATGCCCTGACTTCTTTGCAGGGCAAATTTTACTTAAGTGATTTACTGATTTGCTCTCCTCCTCCTCCTCTCCTTCTCCTCCTTCTTCCTTTTTCTTTCTTCCTCTTCTTCTTTTTCTTCTTATCATTATTATTATTATTATTCTCTCTTTAAGCATTCAAAAAAGATCTTGCATAAGAACTCAAGGGAGGGAGCACATTCCTTAAGTGGCATTCTAAATAGGGCTTTCCTAAGGCTCAGAAATGGTAGGTGCCAGGGTAATTGCTTGATAAGCAAACTGTACGTGTCAGGGCAGGAGATTCCAGGTCACCACAGTGCTTGCACTGAGGACAGTGCTCCCTAAAACTAGGCATCTGAGTTCTACAAGTAGGACAATGCAGCTACTACTTATTAAGAGCAGATATATTTATTCAGTTAATTTTTAAATTACATTATCCTTGTCAGCACTAGTGATGAAATAAAAATGGCTAAATTAATTGTGTCAAACACTGTTGGACATCATCTCTGTTGTTGTTGTTGTTGTCGTTGTTTTGTTTTTATTTGTTTTTTGTTATGGAGTCTCGCTCTGTTGCCCAGGCTGGAGTGCAATGGCTCAATCTACACTCACTGCAGCCTCCACCTCCCGGATTCAAGTGATTCTCCTGCCTCAGCCTCCCGAGTGGCTGGGATTACAAGCATGCGCCACCACACCCGGCTAATTTTTATATTCTACCAGATGGGGTTTCACCATGTTGGCCAGGCTGGTCTCGACCTCCTGACCTCAGGTATTCCACCTGCCTTGGCCTCCCAAAGTGCTGGGATTACAGGCATGAGCCACCGCACCCAGCCGACATCATCTCTTTAAAAACTCCCAAGGACTCCACAAAATAGGTACCATTATTATTGCCATTTCACAGATCAGAAAACGGATACCCAGACTTCAATAACTTACTTAAAATTACACTAATAAATGAAGCTGGAATATGAATTTCATAAGTCCAACTCCAAAGCCTATGCTTGATTACTTATGTTAAGTATGTAAGACATTTAAATAATTGTTCTGTAATAGTCTACTGTTAGGCACAAACAAAAGCCTTTATTTAGGTTTCTCTGTACTTTAGAGTTGCCAAATTCTTGCTAATATTTTATATTCCCCACAGCACAAAATAATACTGGACACCATTGTTCACATTCGTGTTGATTCGTAAGAAATATGTAAGGAAACATTATACTATACCCTTACTAGTGAAAGAAAATTGAGAAAGAGCAAGTGACTTGATGGGTGGATTGGCTGGTATGTCTGTTAGTCTGTGCATCTGTCTGTCTCTGTCTTTCCCTCAGGTTCTCTTACTGTATCTCCCTTTCTGTCTCATGTCTGTCTGTCTGTCTCTTTCTATCTAATTTTTATTTTTGCCTCTAAGTCTCTCTGTTTCTCTCACTCTCTCTCTCTCTCTCTCACACACACACACACACACACACACACTCTCTCTCTCTCTCTCTCTCTCTCTCTCTCTCTCTCTCTCTCTCTCTCTCAATTAAATTTCATAGCTACGACTGGGAGCAGTAGCTTATGCCTGTAATCCCAGCACTTTGGGAGGCTGAGGCGGGTGGATCACCTGAGGTCAGGAGTTCGAGACCAGCCTGCTCAACGTGGTGAAACCCCATCTCCACTAAAAATACAAAAATTAACCAGGTGTGGTGTTGCACACATGTAGTCCCAGCAACTTGGGAGGCAAGAGAATTGCTTGAACCTGGGAGACAGCAAGCCAACATCGTGCCACTGCACTCAGGCCTGGGTGACAGAGCAAGACTTGGTCTCAAAAAATAAATAAATAAATAAATAAATAAATTTCACAGCTGTACATTGCTTCCTAGACCTGGAACAAATTAATATTCTAGAATCAAATAGATATCATAAAACATTCCTATAGGAAGCCTCAAGTCCCTAGGAACTCAAGTTATCAGCTAAAGGGCACTAAAGGGCAACAGCAAAGAATATGGGTTCTGGCTGGGCGTGGTGGCTCACACCTGTCATCCCAGCACTGTGGGAGGCCGAGGCAGGCAGATCATCTGAGGTCGGGAGTTCAAGACCAGCCTGACCAACATGGAGAAACCCCATCTCTACTAAAAATACAAAATTAACCAGACATGGTGGCGCATGCCTGTAATCCCAGCTACTTGGGAGGCTGAGGCAGGAGAATTGCTTGAACCCAGGAGGCGGAGGTTGTGGTGAGCCGAGATTGCACCATTGCACTCCAGCCTGGGCAACAAGAGCAAAACTCCGTCTCAAAAACAAAAAAAAAAAGAATATGGGTTCCAGGGTCATACAGACCTAAGTCCTTGTAAGCTACATGAATTACAGCAAGTTATAAACTTAGATGAACTACAGTCTTCTTGTCTGTGAAATGGATAACGTTGTAACCATCACATGTAGCTGTTGTGAGGATTAAATGCAATAATGTGTACAAAGTTCTTAAATGCTAAGCAATAGCAACATTGCTAGTTACTGTTGTTACCACGATTATTGACAATGTGTCAATTGCTTTTAGACACTTAGCCTCTAGGTAGGACATGGCACACAGTAGGATCTCAGAGAAACAAGATACAAAGAGACAAACATACCAAGACACACATAGAAAGACATGAGACAGAGAGAGAAAGACAAATACAGCAAGAGAGAGAGACTGAAGAGTCAGACACACAAATACACACACACACACACACACACACACACACACACACGGAAAGAGACACAGAGAGAGGAAAGAGGAAGAGGGAAGAGACAGAAACAGACTAACAGACATATTAGTCAACCCACCAACCAATTTTTTGCTCTCTCTAAATATTTCACTACTATGGTTTCAAATATGTTTCCTTCCATGTTTCTCATGAATCAATGCGAATGATGAACAAGGAGGTCACGTTCTCCATTCCACCTCCAGGCTTCCCATGCTACAGAGAGGAGCTTACAAATGGGGAAGAGGGTGGCCTCATCCGACACAATATCACAGAAGCAGTGAATGGCCAGCTAAGGAGAGAGGTGTCCCAGGGGCAGGCTATGCTGGCACTCTCTGGACAACAGGGCAATGCTGGGTTTTGTCAAGTCCAGAATCTGCAGACCTCATTTGCAGAGGCCTCCTTAATTTAACGAGAAGGAAACCCTTTTTTATCCCTGGGAGAGCCACTAACCAACACCACAGCAACTTACCTCCACAAACACATAGAGCAAGCTTTCATACCCACATCAAAGGGAAAAACAACTCTGTCTTGCAAAAAAGACATTTAATCCAGCCAAGGGAATTCCTGGATCCTCTCTGTGTTGGCCTTTGGTACAGTATTTTCTGTTGTTGCAGCTGTAAATTGTGAAATTTCTAACACCTGTCATCAACATACTTTGATAAAATCAGGTGAGTATGGATGAGGCCACACTTAGAACAAGCAGGTCTTTCGGGAGCAGGGATTGAGCAAATCATTGTGGAGAAGATATTTTTCTTTCATATGATGCCAGAGAAAGACTGAATCACAGGGAAAGAGTTGAGGAGCACCAGAGTTCTAATACTCAAACTTAACCATCCCAACCCGAGCTAACTGCATTTCTTAGACTGTATGGGGAAAAAAGGAGATGTTACCAACAGGATGTTGAACTGATTTCAACTCCTTGAGTGTGATCTCTCTTCCCTCCTGTCAGCAGGCTGGGACAGCACCCTTCTTCTTCCCTGAGGACAGATCCTGTGCCACTTCATTCCCTCACAGCCACCTTCTTGCTTCCTCCTCCTGCTTCCCCAATGCTGAGGCCAGCTAATTTGAGCCTTAAGATATTGCTACCACCATTGTTACTAAGCTCTTCTGAGCCCTCTTCTGTAGAGCTTAGAAGTTACAGAAGCTGGAACTCTTGCAGAAGTTACAGAAAGCTGGAAACTCTCCTCTGCCCTCCAAATTAAAATCACTTAACCTTGTCCGCAAAGGACAGCTGTCTAAACCTGCAAGTTGAGCTGGAATAGGAATCCTAAACTACTGTGGACCCCGACAACATCAGTCATTAATGAGGACATCTTGTTCTTCACATCTTTGAATTTCATTTCGGAACCATTCCTCAAAAGTAAGAGGTTTCTAAGGAATGAGACCAGGCACAGAGGCTCATACCTGTAATCCCAGCACTTTGGGAGGCCAAGGCAGGTAGATCACCTGCGGTCAGGAGTTCGAGACCAACCTGGCCAACATGGCGAAACCCCATCTCCTCTAAAAATACAAAACTTAGTCAGGTATGGTGGCATACACCTGTAATCCCACCTACTTGGGAGGCTAAGGCAGGAGAATCTCTTGAACCTGGGAGGCGGAGGTTGCAGTGAGCTGAGATCACGCCACTGCACTCCAGCCTGGGTGGCAGAGGGAGACTCCATCTCGAAAAAAAAAAAAAAAGGGGAATAAGGAGTTACTCAGCCTACCACCTTTTTACAGATCCCCAGCAGATGAAGTCACTGAAGCCAACAAACAGATCATTTACTTTTATTTCTAAAGAAGTTCAGCTAATCATGGACATGGATGGTGGTGATAGTTGTGCAACAATGTGATACACTTAATGGCACTGAACTGTGTACTTTAAAATGGTAAGTTTCATGTTATGTAATTTTACCACAATTTTTTTAAATTAAAAAAACTTTAAAGAATAAATTGGCCAGGCATGGTGGCTCACGCCTGTAATCCCAGCACTTTGGGTGGCCCAGGTGGGTGGATCACTTGAGCCCAGAAGATCAAGACCAGCCTGGGCAACACAGCAATACCCAATTTCTACAAAAAAATACAAAAATTAGCTGGGCATGATGGCATGCACCTGTAGTCTCAGCTACACAGGAGGCTGACATGGGAGGTTTGCTTGAGCCCAAGGAGGTTGAGGCTGCAGTCAGCCATGATGGTGCCACTGCACTCCAGCCTGGGTGACAGGGTGAGATTCTATCTCAAAAAATAAAAAAGAATAAATTGAATGCAACATTTTTTAAAAGTACAGCTAAGTCCCAGGTAGCTTAATGATTGCTGATTTATTACTATTAAATTATTTTTAAAGGGAATCTTAGTAGTATAGAAAGGATACCAGCTTCAAGAATCTGTGAAAATCAAAAGCAGAAAGATACATGTCTTTAGGTCAAAAATGCCATTATGGGGCAGGTGTGGTGGCTCATGCCTGAAAGCCCAGCACTTTGGGAGGCCAAGGCAGGAAGATCACTTTAGCCCAAGAGTTCAAGACCAACCTAGGCAACACAGTGAGTCCTTGTCTCTACTAAAAATGAAAAAAAAATTAGCCTGGTATGATGACAAGTGAGTGAGGAGGCTGAGGCAGAAGGATGGCTTAAGCCCAGGAGGTCAAGGCTGCAGTAAGCCATGATCATGTCACTGAACTCTAGCCTGGGTGACAGAGTGAGACCCTATCTCCAAAAAAAAAAAAAGTCTTTAAATTAAAAAGAAGTGCACTCTTTCTGGCATATGAGTACTGTCCCATGAGTAAGATTTCCTAAAGAATGTCACTAAGCTTTTCTTTCAGAAACCGGTTCTTCCACAATGGCAGCTAGAACATTCAGATCAGAGGAGTGGCTTATAAGGGTTTCCAGCTTTTTCTTTAACAATAATACGTTGAACAGTTTGTTCTCATGATACCTCTCAGAAATGTCAAGAGACATAGTACTCCATTAACATAAGTGGAAAATGTTATTTGATTTTGCAGATGGTGAAATTAAGGCATGAAAAACCTAAATGACTGAGCTGAGATCATTCCATGAGAAGAGAAGTTCAGATTTTATATCCAGAGGCCACACTTTCCTACCTTCTGGATCAAGATCATTTAAGAAACAAAGGTCACTCACTGTGAATCAATTAACTCCAATGAACATCCACCCACACAAGCACCTACTCTCTTGAATCATGCCTACTGACTCACAATCCCCCAGGAGAGTCCAATACAGGAAGCCCCAAACTGGGGGAAATCCCTGCATGCAGCTTCCCTTTAGGGAAAGGGAAAAGGTGCAATTAATTGTTAATACCGTCAGCTTCACAGACAAGGAGTAGTGAGGGAACTGTAGAAGGTCTTCCAGGATAAGGTAGAAGGAGAGCTCAGCATAGCTCAGGTTCTAACTCACCATGGATGTCAGGCTCAAGAGACAAGGCACATCAGTCAAGAATGATCATGGAGACAGAAAACCCAATGATAAGCCTAAGTAAAAAAACAGATTATGACCATCTCTTGACCAACTATCTGTAGGAAGAGCTATTCTAGCCTGCTGCAAGGCCAAGCTGGACCAAAAACAAAAGAGAAAGCAATGAAATCTATCAGGAATGAATCTCACAGTTCCCTACCACCCTACCTACAAACGCATCTGCACCTGCCCTGAATTTCATATCCTCCCCGCCAGCCCCCACACCCCTCAGAAGAAGAAATAAACCAACCATCCTCTTCCCAACAAAGGTCATCCTTCTTGTGTTCTGGCTCCTACTCTGGCCCCCTCCTCAAGGTATCTATCACCTCTCCCATTTCCTTCACTTCTCCCTTTCTATTGCCACCATTCCTTTAGCACGGTGGTTCTTAGTATTTGTGGATCACAGATCTCTTTGAGAAGCAGGTAAATTTACATGCTATTTCCAAAGGCTTGAGAGATTCCCAGAGCCCTGGAGCCCAGGTGAAGAATCCCAGCTTTAGCAAAAGTCTCTTCCACCTTAAACCTTAGCTGCTAGTGGACATCTCTCTTTCCTTTCAAAGCAAGCTTCTAGGACACAGATCTTTGTGCCCCTTTCTTCTCACTCTCTCCTGAATCCCCTGCCCTCACTCCACTAAAAGCAATCCTGCTAAAGTTACCATTGACAGTCCAAATGCCAAACCCAAGGAGTATTTTTCCCCTCTCATTTGACCTCCTGCTGTATATCACAGCAACCCATCCCATATCCTGAAACTCTTTTCCTCAGTGTCTTGACATCACTGTGATAAATCCCTCTTAGAGCCTGGCCAACAATGTCTTCTTTTCTAGGAAATGCCCTTAACACCCAGTTTGGCCCCCAACCACCCTGTTTTTGTACTTGCAGCCCTCCCGCTTCCTGCCAGGGCTGACCACCCAGGGCTGGGCCTCACCAAGCAAGACCAACCAGTGACTTCCCAAGTATTTTGGAATAGAGAAGAAAAATGAAGTTATTGCATTTCCCAAAATGTTCTAGCCACAAATTCCAGTTACATGCCTATATCTGCATATCTGACTACTCCCGTATCTGTGTAAGACTCTCCTTTCTTTCCTTCAGTCGGTTTGCACTGGCTTCTGTTATTTGCCACCAATGAGTCCTGACTGATATAGACATTCCCTTGCTCCCAATTCACCTTTTCTCTCTCTGGCTGCTGCTTCTCAGTCTTCTCAGTAGGCAACTCCTCTCTGTCTGCCCCTTAAACACTGGTTTATCTATCAGAATTGTAGGGGATAATGGTTAGGCAGACAGAAAATTACTCATGTCAGTGAACCAGATTGACTGAAGCCTTTGGATTTAACTGAACCAGGCCAGGCCTCACTCAGAACAACCTATTTGCTATACAGGTTTCCATGGGAACATAAAACCAAGAAAAAACAATCTGAATAAATAGCTCCAAAGTTGGCTTTCATTAAGCCATACTTTAAAGATGAAATACTCAGAACATGTATCATTTTTTACAAAAGACCAGGACCACCAAAAAAAAAATATATATATATATACTCATATATGTCTGATTTGTAAGATCCAATAATCTGGACAATTTCTGATATGATAGTCAAAAGTCTCACTATAAAAGGGATGGGCTCCTAACATTAGATTCTCTTTGATGTGACACAGTGGGAGGTACAAACATCACTTACTGGTAAACTACTGAAAATAGCAGGTTTAAATCTAACTATGATCCAGGGTATAGGCTGTCGTGTGGGACAACTGATCTGGACTCTCAAAGTTCAGGTCATGGAGAACCAAGGAAGGTTGGGGGACTTCCTAGACTGAGACCACAGAGGGATCCTTCCTCTTCCCAACCCCTGCCACAAAAATCCTATTCCTCTGTCTTCTCTATCTTGAGAAATGTCAAGCTGACCAAGCCAGAAATGTCTCTCTTTCTTGCTCCATAAGTAATCAATCACCAAATCCTATGTATCTTATAAACTTTTCTTCTCTATCTCTACCCCACTGCCCTGTTCTTGTCTTCATTGTCTCTCTTAAACTAAATATTAAACAAGCATCCTCCCACTGGTCTTTCTTGCCTCCAGTCTTGCTGCCCTCCAATCTATCTTCCACCCTTCTTTCTCTACAGAGGATGTTTCCAACACAAAAGTCTGATCACACCACTACCCTGCTCAGAATCTTTCAGTGGCTTCCTAGTGTCTTGAAGATAAAACCTAACAAACTCCTTTTCCATGGTAGGCAAGGCCTTCTGTGATCTTCATCCCTGCATTCCTTCCTAGTCTCAGTCTCCTTCTGCACCCATTCACAGCCAGTTCTCCAGACATACTCGATTGCTGTGGTGACTCTGAGTACGTGCTGTCCTCCAGAGCCACTGGGCCTGCACACATGCCATTCTCTGAGCTACATACTATCCCCTCCACCTCTGTAACAACCCCTCCCCACACACTCCTCCTAGAGAAGATATGTCTGTTGGAAAGCTTTGTCTGCATTGCCCAGATCTACTAAGAAGCTCCATTTCTCCGATTTTCTCATTGGTCCAGATATATAACCTCATGAAAGCAATTTATTTCTTTGTATTAAATTATTTGTTTATGCAACTGCCTTCCCTGCTGACTATGAGATTCTTAATGACATGGACCTTGTTTTTAATTTGGCTTTTTTTAAGTGCCTAGTCCATTCTGAGTTTATAGTAGGCACTCAACAATTGCTTATTTTAAAATTGACAGTCATCCCAGTGAAATTGTTTATTTCTTTGTTTTTAAGGACTTTAATTTCCAAATTATAAAGAGCTATGACCAGCTAAAAATAGGAACAAGAAAAGAGACTGGGAATGTGAGCGACTGCAGGAAATGAATTATTTGAAAGTCAAGCCTTTGGCCTTTTCCTTCTCAACGATGAGATAAACCCCAG
The DNA here is from genome assembly GCF_000001405.40 of Homo sapiens. NCBI lineage: Eukaryota > Metazoa > Chordata > Mammalia > Primates > Hominidae > Homo > Homo sapiens. The sequence goes on from NC_000014.9 coordinate 34,378,697, forward strand.
CCTTCAAAGAATGTTGGGTAAAGTGGGGATGGGTGGGTTAGGGGGTTGAAATGCAAAGCAGGAAACAAGCTCATTTTGGATATCAAATTAATTGTATTGGACTAAGGAAAATTTACCCACACCCCTATGTTCTAACTCTATGATTTTAAAAATACAATATTCTATGCACACAGGAGGTGGTAACCAATGGGAAAAGGAGGAGACTGGTGCCTTCTCAATCTCTGACAAACAATCCAAAGATTGTAGAGATCCAAACAAAAGGATCTCTACATGAAGCACTATTGATACCAAAGAATCTGGCCTCGAGGAGGGATTCTCCACATTTTGCATACCACCAATCACTCTCAAAAAGCCGAGGTCCCATCCACTGCATAGCAAAAGCCCATTTCTGTTTTGTTTTGTTTCTGAGACAGAGTCTCGCTCTGTCGCCCAGGCTGGAGTGCAGTGGCGCGATCTCGGCTCTCTGCAACCTCTGCCTCCCAGGTTCAAGTGATTCTCCTTCCCCAGCCTCTGAGTAGCTGGGATTACAGGCACGTGTCACTTCACCCGGGTAATTTTTGCATTTTTCGTGGAGACGGGGGTTTCACCATGTTGGCCAGGCTGGTCTCGAACTCCCAACCTCAGGTGATCCACCCACCTCGGCCTCCCAAAGTGCTGGGATTACAGGCGTTAGCCACTGCGCCCTGCCACAAAAGCCCATTTCTTTAGAACACATTTATATGTTTAACTTCTTCTTATAATTATGTTTATGATACAGAGTAAGCTTCAAGAACAGAACAACAACAAGGCAGTGGGATTGTTGGAGCGAATTCCATTATGACTTCTTGCTAGCTGTATGAGAACACTGTGGCCAGAGCTCAGGAGGCCTCCAGGGAATACCTTGCTCTGGGAAACACAGGCTTTGATTCAGGCGGCATTGAGAAATCCTTTGAGGGAGACCTCCCATCTGCTGATGAGAAGAATGCTTCCCTCTCATTCTTGGCACCCTCACTTGGCTGGCAAGGTCAGGTGTGTTTTTCCAGTGACTAGCTCACAGCAGGGATAGAGGAGAGAAGCCCTTGGGGGCTGAGAGACAAAGGGAACCAGACTGCCCAGCGTCTGGTCAAGGTTTCCAAGGTCTTTTTCAAGGTTTCGTTTCCCAGCACTCTGTCTTCAGTTTACCAAGAAAAAGTTCGTAAAAAGAACCTCTTTAGTGGCCTTTGAAGAAGGATAGAGAGAGGGAGGCAGAGTCCAAGGGCCCTGTGAGCAGAGTGGGAAGGACATGGAGAACAAAGAGGCTCACATGATGGGGTAACTAGGGATTGAAGATATCAATCACCTTTGAGAAATAAAGTAGAAAAAGAGAGAGAGGGGAGGAAACACACAAATACCAGAATGGACTAGTGTATACCAGCTATTCAGCTAAAAAATGAAGAAAGAAAATGGACAGCCAGAGACAGCCTTTGAGAAGTTTGTTGAAAAACTATTTTAGATGAACTACCATAAAAGTACTGTTAACAAGTAGGAGAATTTTAAGGGGAACATTAGAAATTCAGCCTCCTGCATTCGTTTGTAAGGGACAAGGAACTAGTCACGCAGTGGAGATGAGAGATAAGCCAGGAATGAAATGAAAACTTTGAAAGTTCCATGCATAGGGATAGCAGGATAATGATTTAAAGCATGAAGGCAGTAATTTAGGTCTAAAATGTCACCACCATTAATTGTAAGTTTTATTGTAGTCTGTTAGGGAAGAGTTCTCTGGGGATTATGAATAACTGCTTCTTGAAATGGAAACTGCAAAAACAATTGACATTTCTACAATCCTTAAGGAATAGAACTTTGAGAAAAATGACTTCTCAGGTGGCTATCTGAACATCAGTGTCTGAATAACTAACATTCATCCTTGCTTTATGTCACCCTCATTAATCAGTTCATATTAAAGATAACGCCATACATGTAATTATAGGCATAGCATTACGTTAAGCATTTAAGACTATCATATTGCACCATATCTTGGCCGTGGTGATGTATGGCCCCAATTTGAGAACACGTGTCAATTTTCCATAGATTTTCATCTGTATTCATGACTCAAGGGCCTTTAGCAAATTAATAATCAAAAGAATTTACAGTAGGCTGCTTTGTAAGTCCACACTTCATTACTTAGCATACTTCTCACTTGTTTTAGCTCTTAAAAACTTGTTCAGCTTCCTAAAAATATGCTTAACCTATTTTCCAATTGCCTTTGTTCCCGTGCTAGATGTTTGTTTGTTTGTCTGTCTGTCTGTCTGTCTTTAGAGATTTGGTAAGGGGGCGGGGGTCTCTCTATGTTACCCATGCTGGACTTGAACTCCTGGACTCAAAGAATTCTCCTGCCTCAGCCTCCCAAGTAGGTGGGACTACAGGTGAACACCACTATGCCTGGCTTGTTAGATTTTTAAAATCTAAGCACATGTGGTTTCATTTATTTTATTTTATTTTATTATGATTTTTTTGAACTTGTATTTTAGGTTCAGGGATACATGTGCAGGTTTGTTATATAGGTCAACTGCATGTCACCAGGGTTTGGTGTACAGATAATTTCGTCACCCAGGTAATAAGCATAGTCGCTGATAGGTATTTTGTCTAGTCCTCTCCCGACTTCTACCCTCCACCCTCAAGTCAGCTGCAGTGTCTGTTGTTCCCCTCCTAGTGTCTATGCATTTTTCTTGTTATAAGCTCCCACTTATAAGTGAGAATATGTGGTGTTTGGTTTTCTGTTCCTGTGTTAGGTTGCCTAGGATAATGGCCTCCAGCTCCACCCATGTTGCTGCAAAGGACATGATCTCATCCTTTTTTATGGCTGCATAGTATTCCATGGCGTATATGCACCACATTTTCTTTATCCAGCCTACAGTTGATGGGAATTTAGGTTGATTCCATGTCTTTGCTATTGTGAATAGTGCCATAATGAACATATGTGTGCATGTGTCTTTATGGTAGAACAATTTGTATTCCTTTGGGTATATACCCAATAATGGGATTTTTGGGTTAAACAGTAAGTCTAGGTTTTGTTTTGTTTTGATTTGTTTGAGACGGAGTCTCGCACTGTCGCCCAGGCTGGAGTGCAGTGGTGCAATCTCAGCTCACTGCAAGCTCCGCCTCCCAGATTCAGGCCATTCTCCTGCCTCAGCCTCCCAAGTAGCTGGGACTACAGGCGCCCACCACCACGCCCGGCTAATTTTTTGTATTTTTAGTAGAGACGGGGTTTCACTGTGTTAGCCAGGATGGTCTCAATCTCCTGACCTCGTGATCTGCCCGCCTCAGCCTCCCTAAGTGCTGGGATTACAGGCATGAGCCACTGCGCCCGGCCTTGTTTTGTTTTTTTGGGACAGAGTCTCACTCTGTCACCCAGGCTGGAGAGCAGTGGCGTACTCTCGGCTCACTGGGACCTCCACTTCCTAGGTTCAAGCAATTCTCATGCCTCAGCCTCCCAAGTAGCTGGGATTACAGGCATGTGCCACCACACCCACCTAAGTTTTTTGTATTTTTAGTAGAGGTTTGCCCATGTTGGCCAGGCTGGTCTTGAACTCCTGACCTCAAGTGATCCACCCAGCTTAGCCTTGCAAAGTCCTGGGATCACAGGCCTGAGCTACTGCACCTGGACTGGGTAAGGCTGTTTTAAGTTCTTTGAGGAATTGCCAAACTGCTTTCCACATTGGCTGAACTAATTTACACTCTCACCAGCAGTGTATAAGCATTCCCTTTTCTTCACAACCTCACCAGCATCTGTTACTTTTTGACTTTTTAGCAATAGCCAGCTGACTGGTGTGAAATGGTCTCTTACCATGATTTTGATTTGCATTTCTCTAATGATTAGGTTAAACATTTTTTCATATGCTTGTTGGCTGCATGTATGCCTTCTTTTTAAAAGGGTCTGTTCACGTCCTTTGCCCACTTTTTAATGGGATTGTTATTTGCTTATAAATTTAAGTTCTTTTAGATTCTAGATAGTCGACCTTTGTGGGATGCATAGTTTGCAAATATTTTCTCCCATTCCGTAGGTTGTCTGTTGACTTGATTGATAGTTTCTTTTGCTGTAAGCATATGTTATTTTAAAATTACATCACATCTGTACACTGAGTCATCTAAACAATGAACGAAATGAAATGATCAATATACTAAAAAGTAATGCTGGATTAAACTAAGTTCAAGGTCTTGCAATAAAATTTAGCTTGTCCCACTTATTCTACATTTTTAACTACAACGAAACTCATCTTTTAAAAAAACTCATCTTTATAAAATTTTCAAGTGCTTAACAGAGGCTTTTATTCACTATTCCTTACAACAACCTTATGGAAAAAAGTCAGCATGCTCCTAATGATGTAACCAGAGAAACAAACAGAGAAGGCAAGATCATTGTCCAGACTTCCCAAACAAATAGGAAAATGGGGATTAAAACTGTCTGTCTAGGCCAGACCTGGTGGCTCATACCTGTAATCCCAGCATTCTGGGAGCCTGGGGTGGGTAGATCACTTGAGGCCAGGAGTTCAAGACCAGCCTGGGCATCATGGCGAAACCCTGTCTCTACAAAAAATACAAAAATTAGCAGGTATGGTGGCATGCACCTGTAATCCCAGCTACTCAGGAGGCTGAGGCAGGAGAATTGCTTGAACCTGGGAGGCAGAGATTACGGTGAGCTGAGATCACACCATGGCACTCCAGCCTGGGACTCTGTCTCAAAACAAGAAAAAACTCTCTGTTTACATATTTATGGTCCATTTTCTCCAGCATATGTTTTTGTGAAGATGCTGTTATCAGGTCCCTGGCCTCCCCTGGGCTGCTCACATCAATCACTAACCCAGCATTACATCAATAAACTCCTGCTGCTCCCACCCTCAGCCTAGATTGCTTGTGGGGGAAGTGGCATTGTCAGAAATCAGCATTTGATATGGCTCTGGAAGATAGCTGCCCGTCTCTTCAAAGGACACCCCTCTTCGGGAACCCCTAAAATAAATTTCCTTTACCTCTTAAGTCAGACAAGCCCAAATATCCTCTTCTAATTTGGTGAAAATCTATCCAGCTGTTTTCATTTGATGTAACAAAGAACAAGCAGAAACTTTGTTTTATCCAAATGGATAATAGTGTCCTGGATTCTGGGACAAACTCTGTGAGAATCAATAATACATGACCCAATACAGTAAAAGTTGCTTCTGTATGTGGTGCTATTTGGAGAGCTAGATTATTATTTCTCCACTGACGACCTGTAGAACAAGGTGTTTGTTAAAATGCAGATCCCTAGGTCCCAACCCAGACCTACTGAATCAGACTTAAAAGTAGAGATGCATTCAAACCAGTGCCACAACCAACACCACTGTGATTCTTATGCAACCTGAAGAAATCTCCAGGCTAGACCGGGACTTCTCAGACTAGATTGCATGCTTCTTGAGAGCATAAATCAGTTCCTAGTTATCCTCACAGGCCCCAATACCCAGCTGAGGTGCTTCATAAGTGTTCATTGATTGAATGCATATTCATTGGTTGTTTATTGTGTATGCATTATAAGTGTCCACAGTCTTTCATGTTAGAATTAGTTCATGTGTAATTAATTTCTTAGGAAGCAGTGTAAACACCTGTTATAAAGTGTAAACACGTATAAACTCTTTAAACTGATTTTTAGTTTTGTCCTATTCCCACTGCATGGAGGCAGAATTAAATAAACCAGAAGCATGACTACTCCCTGCACAACTCACTGTGTGCACCTGCTCCATCCCAGCCCTAGGCTCACAGATCCTCCAGGCTCTCAGATAATAAAAGCCCTTCGGTCAGTTTTAGACAAAAATTCTAGTATGGTCAAATAGCCAACCTCCAAACTCTTGATCCAATTAAAGCTTCTCTATTCCCCCAGGAGGGACCTACCAGCTGGGAAACCTGCTGTTTGGATGGGGGTTGTAGGGGGCATAGTCAATGCTTTCTATGCCTCTTCCCCATGCCCCGTGCTGCCCCTGGCTCCTCCCCAGGCTGAGGGTGTGGTAGGAGGGGGAAAAGGCAGCGACATGGAGCTATGTCCTGGTGGGACTATCATTTCAGAGTAGCCTTCAGTGCAGCAGATACACAATTACTGGCTCTTCCTCCTCCCAGGGGACCCTACTTTCCTGCCATAGTTGCTAGTATAGGCAGGACCTCCTCCAGCTGGCCACCAGTGCCTTCCTTTCTGTTCTAGTTTCCTATTGTCTGGTTCAAGCAACTATTTTAATTAGACATGGGGTCTTGCTCTGTTGCCCAGGGTGGTGTGCAGTGGTGCAATCATAGTTCACTGCTGCCTTGGACTCCTGGGCTCAAGCAATCTTCCTGCCTCAGCTACCCAAGTAGCTGGGACTACAGGCATGCACCGCTGCACCCAGCCCAGCTCTGGCCACTTGATGCTGCTTTCACTTTGCCCCTCCAGAAGGTCCTCTTTTTAAAGATAACCTGACTGTGCTGGGCACAGTGGCTCACGCCTGTAATCCCAGCACTTTGGGAGGCCAAGGTGGGCGGATCACCTGAGGTCAGGAGTTCAAGACCAGCCTGGCCAACATGGAGAAACCCCATCTCTACTAAAAATAAAAAATTAGCCGGCCTTGGTGGCGCATGCCTGTAATCCCAGCTACGTGGGAGGATGAGGTAGGAGAATTGCTTGAACCCGGGAGCCAGAGGTTGCAGTGAGCCGAGATTGTGCCACTGCACTCCAGCCTCGGTAACTAGAGTGAAACTCCATCTCAAAAATAAATAAATAGGGAAAACTGGCTAGCCATATGTAGAAAGCTGAAACTGGATCCCTTCCTTACACCTTATACAAAAATTAATTCAAGATGGATTAAAGACTTAAACGTTAGACCTAAAACCATAAAAACCCTAGAAGAAAACCTAGGCATTACCATTCAGGACATAGGCATGGGCAAGGACTTCATGTCTAAAACACCAAAAGCAATGGCAACAAAAGCCAAAATTGACAAATGGGATCTAATTAAACTAAAGAGCTTCTGCACAGCAAAAGAAACTACCATCAGAGTGAACAGGCAACCTACAAAACTACCATCAGAGTGAACAGACAACCTACAAAATTTTCACAACCTACTCATCTGACAAAGGGCTAATATCCAGAATCTACAATGAACTCAAACAAATTTGCAAGAAAATAAACGAACAACCCCATCAAAAAGTGGGCAAAGGATATGAACAGACACTTCTCAAAAGAAGACATTTATGCAGCCAAAAGACACATGAAAAAATGCTCATCATCACTAGCCATCAGAGAAATGCAAATCAAAACCACAATGAGATACCATCTCACACCAGTTAGAATGGCAGTCATTAAAAAGTCAGGAAACAACAGGTGCTGGAGAGGATGTGGAGAAATAGGAACACTCTTACACTGTTGGTGGGACTGTAAACTTGTTCAACCATTGTGGAAGTCAGTGTGGCAATTCCTCATTACTGGGTATATACCCAAAGGACTATAAATCATGCTGCTATAAAGACACATGCACACATATGTTTATTGCAGCACTATTCACAATAGCAAAGACTTGGAACCAACCCAAATGTCCAACAATGATAGACTGGATTAAGAAAATGTGGCACATATACACCATGGAATACTATGCAGCCATAAAAAATGATGAGTTCATGTCCTTTGTAGGGACATGGATGAAATTGGAAATCATCATTCTCAGTAAACTATCTCAAGGACAAAAAACCAAACACCACATATTCTCACTCATAGGTGGGAATTGAACAATGAGAACACATGGACACAGGAAGGGGAACATCACACTCTGGGGACTGTTGTAGGGTGGGGGGAGGGGGGAGGGATAGCATTAGGAGATATACCTAATGCTAAACGACGAGTTAATGGGTGCAGCACACCAGCATGGCACGTGTATACATATGTAACTAACTGGCACATTGTGCACATGTACCCTAAAACTTAAAGTATAATAATAATAATAATAAATAAAATAAATAAATAAATAAATAAATAAAAATAAAGATAACCTGAGTGCTACTTCCTTCCATGGGTACTCACTGTTCACACCTTACCCCTCCACAAGTGGGAGTACAATTCCTCCCCAATTACCTTTTCACCTCACTCTGGCAGCTCAAGTCAGAAGGAAACAGGTCACAGTCCCTACATCCCTGACACTGAAGGCTCCCTCACTTGCCTTATGACCCTAGGGGCACACTCTGTCCCCTCCCCCAGGAAGGCACTCTGATAACTCTCCTGTCAAAAGATTCTCACTGCCCTTTCCCATAACGGATTCTTTACCTCTTCTCCCTCACCTGCAGCACATGAGGAGAATGCTGGCAATGCCATTTCCATAATCCCTTAGCAAGTGCTGTGTAGGTGATCCAACATCTCATGAGACAGTAGGGACATTTGTCACCTGGGGAGACAACTGGAAAGTCACATGTGACATCCTGTTACATTAATCAGACTCTCAGTTACAAGAGAAAAGCCTCACTCTTAATTAGTGACTTCATCTTAATTAGTGGAGGTTTAAGATAAGAATACTCACTGAAATCGGAACACTAAAATATTACGGCAGCTCTAAAATACTAGAGCAGCTGTGCCTAGACCACACAATGACTAGAAGGCGGTTCAGAGTGTAAAACAGATCTAATGACCAGAAATTTATCACTGCCTCAGCAAAGGAGTTTCTGGACTTCCCTGACATGGGACTGAACTGTCTGTTTCTGGAGCAATTCTTTTTTTGCTTCCACCCACAGATGCCAACCCCTACTCTAAACTCTGTTCCACGGAACACCTGTGTTGTAAAAGATGTTAATAGGTGAGAGTCCTTTGTCCAACAAGACTGGGAAACACTGAGTCAATGTTAGACGATCTTCTTACTGTAGGATTCTCAGTCTTTAATAAGCTAAGGCATTGTATGACTCTGCAGAAGGGAATATAGATGTGGTGTTTCCCAAATGTGATTACCTAGAAATCTGCATTTCAGGGACACCTGTTTGTTAACCACTGGTGAGACAGCCCAGGCTACACTGCTGAGAAATATACGTGCACTTTTTCTACCTCTTGACTTAAGCATACTTGTGGTATGGCATCCGCAGACTGCCCCCTCTCTGTATGTATTTTCAGCTCCTGCTCCCACAACCAACTAACTCTCTCTATATCTTGATTCTCTTAAAACAAAGAAATTGCTTGTTCCAGTATGGTCACCATCATAATAATTTGGGCAGGTTCTTGGTATCAGGCCATCTTATAAGCCACCAACCAACCTATAGCCTGACTAACTTAAGACTGGATGCCCTCCCCTGACCAAGAGGGGGGAACAAAGTATGACCCTTCCATCACTAGCAGGAGACTATGAAGTAAACGTAGTCTCTTAGCCCTTTGTGATGGCCAGCACACAGAATGAAAACAAGAAACAAAATGAAACAGGTACCAATCTCTATACCCCTGAAACTCTGAAAGCTCTCTCATGTGACTTACAATCCTGGGGGAGTAATTATACTCCCCGAGGAGTATAGTTACAATTACAAATGATTACATGTGTAACTGCATGACAAATTACATAAATGTTTTTTCAAGTGATTTGACAGTCCCCCAAGCTAGTGAAATACACTGTGATCAAAATGAGACTAGGATCCAGATTAATCCTCTTCTCTGAGTTTCTTCACTGAATAGGTGAGTCACAATTTAAGTATGAATAGCAGACACGTCGACTTCTTCCCTTAACCCACTGTGTATAATAATTCACATATCAAGGCTACATTATATTTCACTGCTTTTGATTGCTATTTATCCATATGCTTCAACCTGGTTTACTAAAATGATAAACCAATAGTAAATGTTTTTTAACTTAAACAATCCGAGGTAAAAGAATAAAGCCTAAAATATTTTATGGACATCTGTTTTTAAAAGTGCTTATTTGCAACACTGAATTACAAACAGGCGTAGGTGTGCTTTGGTCTTCCTAGGAGGTGCTTATGCAGCCTTATTCCTGTGACCCAGTTCAGCACTCCCCATCTTCACCTCAGCAATGACATTCGGCCTCATGTGTGGGAAGGTACTGTTTCATTAACCTAATTCCACAATTGAATCAGAAAAACGCACCTTCAACATTATGAAAACGTACGTCAGCCAATGTGACTGAAGGTCAATTTAAAAAGCCATGCTCTTCTAGACTGTAGCTGTTAGGGCCATTTCATGAAAAATGGCAAGAGAGGAGGAGACTCTGCTAGGAGGAAAACCTTGGCATAATGTAAAGACGTTTTTAATGTAAATGAGTAATTGGCTTTTATCCCCACACATTTTATAAGATTGATGAGTCATTGTTGCCTGGGGAGCCCCAGCTCCCGAATGTCTGGCAACCCTTAACGTGATTGTGCAGCCCAGCACCTAAATGTCAGCCCGCTCTTCGTGTAATTAGTTGGCCAAGGCCACCCGCATAAATTATTTCCTGAGTTTGGGCCCTACTGGCTGGCCTCACTTGAAGGAGTGCCCAATGGAACAGCCCCATGCAACAGGACATGAACCTGGCTGTTGCTCCAGTTTTGATCTGCTGTGACCTTTCAGACAGAGAAGGCAAAATAACTGTTTGGAGGAAACTCAATGAAATTAAAGATAACACTGACAAGTAAGTTAGAATTCTGGCCGGTCATGGTGGCTCATGCCTGTAATCCCAGCACTTTGGGAGGCCGAGGCAGGTGGATCACGAGGTCAGGAGATCGAGACCATCCTGGCCAACATGGTTAAATCCCATCTCTACTAAAAATACAAAAATTAGCTGGGCATGGTGGCACGCACCTGTAGTCCCAGCTACTTGGGAGGCTGAGGCAGGAGAATCACTTGAACCCGGGAGGCAGAGGTTGCGGTGAGCCGAGATCGCACCACTGCACTCCAGCCTGGTGACAAAACGAAACCTAGTAAAAAAATAATAATCATCATCATCATCATCAAACTTCCAAAGGTCAAGGATAAATAAAGGATCCTAAAAGCAGCAAAAGAAAGAAATAACATACAATGGAGCTCCAATACATCTGACAGCAGATTTCTCAGTGGAAATCTTACAGGCCAGGAGAGAGTACCATGACTTATTTAAAGTGCTGAAGGAAAAAATTTTTTTATCCTAGAATAGTATATCCAGTGAAAATATCCTTCAAACATGAAGGAGAAAGTAAGACTTTCCCAAATAAACAAAAGCTGAGAGATTTTATCAATACCAGTCCTGTCCTACAAGAAATGCTAAAGAGATTTCTTCAATCTGACAGAAAATAATGTTAATGAGCAATAAGAAATCATCTGAAGGTAGCAAGCCCACTGGTAACAGTAAGTATACAGAAAAACACAGAATATTATAACACTGTAATTGTTGTATATAAACTACTCAAATCTTGAGTAGAAAGACTAAAAGATGACTGCATGTAGGGGGTCACACCTGTAATCCCAGCACTATGGGAGGCAGGAAGATCACTTGAGCTCAGGAGTTCAAGGCCAGCCTGAGCAGCATAGCAAGACCTCATCTCTACTAATAATTTAATAAAAGAAAGACTAAAAGATGACCCGATCAAAAATAATAACTACAACATTTCAAGTCATAGACAGTGCAATAAGATATAAATAGAAGCAACAAAGTGTTTAAAAGCAGGAGGATAAAGTGTAGAGTTTTTATTAATTTTCTCTTTCTTATGCAATCAGTGATATGTTGTTATAATATCTTACAATCTTTTAAAATAATAGGTTATAAGATATTATTTCCAAGCCTCTAGATAACCTCAAATCAACAAACATACAATAGATACACAAAAATAAAAAGCAAGAAATTAAAACATACCACCAGAGAAAATCACCTTCATTAAAAGGAAGACAGGAAGGCAAGAAAGAAGGAAAAGAAAACCACAAAACAGGGCTGGGCGCGGTAGCTCATGCCTGTAATCCCAGCACTTTGGGAGGCTGAGGCGGATCACAAGGTCAGGAGATCGAGATCATCCTGGCTAACACAGTGAAACCCCATCTCTACTAAAAATACAAAAAATTAGCCAGGCATAGTGGTGGGTGCCTGTAATCCCAGCTACTCAGGAGTCTGAGGCAGGAAAATGGCGTGAATCCAGGAGGCGAAGCTTGCAGTGAGCCAAGATCACACCACTCCACTCCAGCCTGGGATACAGAGCGAGACTCTGTCTCAAAAAAAAAAAAAAAAAAAAAAGAAAATCACAAAACAACCAGAAAACAAATAATAAAATAGCAGAAGTAAATCCTTACTTATCAGCAATCACACTGAATGTAAATGGACTAAACTCTCCAATCAAAAGACATAGAGGGGCTGAATGAATTAAAAAAAAAAAAAAAGGACCCAATGATCTGTTGCCTACAAGAAACACACTTTCCCTATAAATATACACATAAGCTGGGCACGGTGGCTCACACCTGTAATCCCAGCACTTTGGGAGGCTGAGGTGGGTGGATCACTTGAGGTCAGGAGTTCAAGACCAGCCTGACCAACATGGCAAAATCCCCTCTCTTCTAAAAATACAAAAATCAAACAACAGTGGGGTTTCGGGTAAGATGGCCAAATAGGAAAAGCTCCAGTCTGCAGCTCCCAGCAAGATCAACACAGAAAGTGGGTGACTTCTGCATTTCCAACTGAGGTACCTGGCTCATCTCATTGGGACTGGTTAGACAGTGAATTCAGCCCATGGAGGGTGAGCCAAAGCAGGGTGGGGCATCGCCTCACCAGGGAAGTGCAAGGGGTCAGGGAACTCCCTCCCCTAGTCAAGGGAAGCCTGGAAAGACTGTGCTGTGAAGGACTGTGCCATGAGGAATGGTGCATTCTGGCCAAGATACTATGCTTTTCCCATGGTCTTTGCAACTCACACACCAGGAGGTTCCCTCAGGTGCCTGCAACACCTGGGTTTCAAGCACAAAACTGGGCGGCCATTTGGGCAGACACTGACTTAGCTGCAGGAGTTTTTTTTATCATACCAAAGTGGCACCTGGAATGCCAGCAAGACAGAACCATTCACTCCCCTGGAAAGGGGGCTGGAGCCAGGGAGCCAAGTGGTCTAGCTCAATGGATCCCACCCCCATGGAGCCCAGCAAGCTAAGATCCGCTGGCTTGAAATTCTCGCTGCTAGCACAGAAGTCTGAAGTCGACCTGGGATGCTTGAGCTTGGTGGGGGTAGGGGCATCCATCACTACTGAGGCTTGAGTAGGCGATTTTACCCTCACAGTAGAAACAAAGCCTCCAGGAAGTTCAAACTGGGCAGAGCCCACTGCACCTTGGTAAAGCCGCTGTAGCCAGACTTCCTCTCTAGATTCCTCCTCTCTGGGCAGAGCATCTCTGAAAGAAAGGCAGCAACCCCAGTCAGGGGCTTATAGATAAAACTCCCATGTCCCTGGGACAGAGCACCTGGGGGAAGGGGCGGCTGTGCACACAGCTTCAGCAGACTTAAACCTTCCTGCCTGCCAGCTCTGAAGAGAACAGTGGATCTTCCAGCACAGCGCGTGAGCTCTGCTAAGGGGCAGACTGCCTCCTCAAGTGGGTACCCGACCTCTGTGCCTCCTGACTGGGAGACACCTCCCAGCGGGGGTCGATACACCTCATCTGGCAGGCATCTGGAGGGTACCCCTCTAGGACAAAGCTTCCAGAGGAAAGAATAGGCACCAATCTTTGCTGTTCTGCAGCCTCCGCTGGTGATACCCAGGCAAAAAGGATCTGGGGTGGACCTCCAGCAAACTCCAGTAGACCTGCAGCAGAGGGCCCTGACTGTTAGAAGGAAAACTAACAAACAGAAAGGAATAGCATCAATGTCAACAGAAAGGAAGTCCACACAAAAATCCCATCCGAAGGCCACCAACATCAAAGACCAACGGTAGATAAATCCATGAAGATGAGGAAAAACCAGTGCAAAAAGGCTGAAAATTCCAAAAACCAGAATGCCTCTTCTGTGATCCTCCAAAGGATCACAACTCCTCGCCAGCAAGGGAACAAAACTGGACGGAGAATGAGTTTGATGAACTGACAGAAGTAGGCTTCAAAAGGTGGGTAATAACAAACTCCTCTGAGCTAAAGGAGTATGTTCTAACCCAATGCAAGGAAGCTAAGAACCCTGAAAAAATGTTAGAGGAATTGCTAACTAGAATACCAGTTTAGAGAAGAAAATAAATGACCTGATGGAGCTGAAAAATACAGCACGAGAACTTCGTGAAGCATACACAAGTATCAATAGCTGAAATGATCAAGAGGAAGAAAGGATATCAGAGATTGAAGATCAACTTAATGAAATAAACATGAAGACAAGATTAGAGAAAAAAGAATGAAAAGGAATGAACAAAGCCTCTAAGAAATATGGGACTATGTGAAAAGACCAAACCTACATTTGATTGGTGTACCTGAAAGTGACGGGGAGAATGGAACCACGTTGGAAAACACTCTTCAGGATATTATCCAGGAGAACTTCCCCAACCTAGCAAGACAGACCAACATTCAAATTCAGGAAATACAGAGAACATCACAAAGATATCCCTCGAGAAGAGCTACCCCAAGACACATAATCATCAGATTCACCAAGGTTGAAATAAAGGAAAAAATGTTAAGGGCAGCCCAAGAGAAAGGTTGGGTTACCCACAAAGGGAAGTCAATCAGACTAACAGTGGATCTCTCTGCAGAAACTCTACAAGCCAGAAGATAGTAGGAGCCAATATTCAACACTCTTAAAGAAAAGAAGTTTCAATCCAGAATTTAATATCCAGCCAAACTAAGCTTCATAAGTGAAGGAGAAATAAAATCCTTTATAGACAAGCAAATGCTGAGAGATTTTGTCACCACTAGGCCTGCCTTATGAGAGCTCCTGGAGGAAACACTAAGTATGTAAAGGAAAAACCAGTACCAGCCACTGCAAAAACATACCAAATTATAAAGACCAATGACACGATGAAGAAACTGCATCAACTAACTGGCAAAATAACCAGCTAGCATCATAACGACAGGATCAAATTCACACATAACAATATTAACCTTAAATGCAAATGGGCTAAATGCCCCCAATTAAAAGACACACACTGGCAAATTGGATAAAGAATCAAGACTCATTGGTTTGCCATATTCAGGAGACCCATCTCACATGCAGAGACACACATAGGCTCAAAATAAAGGGATGGAGGAAGATCTACTAATCAAATGGAAAAAAAAACAGGGGTTGCAATCCTAGTCTCTGATGAAACAGATTTTAAACCAACAAAGATCAAAAAAGACAAAGAAGGGCATTACATAATGGTAAAGGGATCAATGCAACAAGAAGAGCTAACTATCCTAAATATATATGCACCCAATACAGGAGCACCCAGATTCATAGAGCAAGCTCTTAGAGATCTACAAAGAGACATAGACCCTCACACAATAATAGTGGCAGACTTTAACACCCCACTGTCAATATTAGACAGATCAATGAGACAGAAAATTAACTAGGATATTCAGGACTTGAACTCAGCTCTGGACCAAGAAGACCTAATAGACATCTACAGAACTCTCCACCCCAAATCAACAGAATATACATTCTTCTCAGCACCACGTCGCACTTATTCTAAAATTGACCACATAATTGGAACTCCTCAGCAAAAGCAAAAGAACAGAAATCATAACAAACAGTCTCTCAGACCACAATGCAATCAAATTAGAACTCGGGATTAAGAAACTCACTCAAAACCGCACAAACCCATGGAAACTGAAAAACCTGCTCCTGAATGACTACTGGGTAAATAATGAAATAAGGGTAGAAATAAATAAGTTCTCTGAAAGCAATGAGAACAAAGACACAATGTACCAGAATCTCTGGGACACAGCTAAAGCAATGTTTAGAGGGAAACTTATAGCACTAAATGCCCACGGGAGAAGTGGGAAAGACCTAAAATCAACACCTTAACATCAAAATTAAAAGAAGTAGAGAACCAAGAGCAAACAAATTCAAAAGCTAGCAGAAGACAAGAAATAACTAAGATCAGAGCAGAACTGATGGAGACAAAGACACAAAAATACCCTTCAAAAAATCAATGAATCCAGGAGCTGGTTTTTTGAAAAGATTAACAAAATAGATAGACCACTAGCCAGACTAATAAAGGAGAAAAGACAGAAGAATCAAATAGATACAATAAAAAATGATACAGGGGATATCACCACTGATCCCACAGAAATACAAACTACCATCAGAGAATACTATAAACACTTTCACTCAAATAAACTA
The DNA here is from genome assembly GCF_000001405.40 of Homo sapiens. Lineage (NCBI taxonomy): Eukaryota > Metazoa > Chordata > Mammalia > Primates > Hominidae > Homo > Homo sapiens. The sequence continues at coordinate 34,394,894 of NC_000014.9, forward strand.
GAAAATCTAGGAGAAACAGATAAATTCCTAGACACATACACCCTCCCAAGACTAAACCAGGAAGAAGTCGAATCCCTGAATAGACCAATAACAAGTTTTGAAATTGAGGCAGTAATTAATAGCTTACCAACCAAAAAAAGCCCAGGACCAGATGGATTCACAGCCAAATTCTACCAGAGGTACAGAGAGGAGCAGGTACCATTCCTTCTGAAACTATTCCAAAAATTGAAAAAGAGGGAATCCTCCCTAACTCATTTTATGAGGCCAGCATCATCCTGATACCAAAACCTGGCAGAGACACAACAAAAAAAGAAAATGTTGGGCCAATATCCCTGATGAACATCGATGCAAAAATCCTCAATAAAATACTGGCAAACCGAATCCAGCAGCACATCAAAAAGCTTATCCACCATGATCAAGTGTGCTTCATCCCTCGGATGCAAGGCTGGTTCAACATATGCAAATCAATAAACGTAATCCATCATATAAACAGAACCAATGACAAAAAACACATGATTATCTCAATAAATGCAGAAAAGACCTTCAATAAAATTCAACACAGCTTCATGATAAAAACTGTCAATAAACTAAGTAATGATGGAACATATCTCAAAATATTAAGAGATATTTATGGCAAACACACAGCCAATATCATACTGAATGGGCAAAAACCGGAAGCATTCCCTTTGAAAACTGGCATAAGACAAGGATGCCCTCTCTCACCACTCCTATTCAACATAGTATTGGAAGTTCTGGCCAGGGCAATCAGGCAGGAGAAAGAAATAAAGGATATTCAAATAGGAAGAGAGGAAGTCAAATTGTCTCTGTTTGCAGATGACATGATTGTATATTTAGAAAACCCCATTGTCCCAGCCCAAAATCTCCTTAAGCTGATAAGCAACTTCAGCAAAGTCTCAGGATACAAAATCAATGTGCAAAAATCACAAGCATTCTTATACACCAACAGTAGACAGAGAGCCAAATCATGAGTGAACTCCCATTCACAATTGCTTCAAAGAGAATAAAATACCTAGGAATACAACTTACAAGGGATGTGAAGGACCTCTTTAAGGAGAACTACAAACCACTGCTCAAGGAAATAAGAGAGGACACAAACAAATGGAAAAACGTTCCATGCTCATGGATAGGAAGAATCAATATCATGAAAATGGCCATACTGCCCAAAGTAATTTATAGATTCATTGCTATCCCCATCAAACTACCATTGACTTTCTTCACAGAATTAGAAAAAAACTACTTTAAATTTTCATATGGAACCAAAAAAAGCCTGTATAGCCAAGAAAATCCTAAGTAAAAAGAACAAAGCTGGGGGCATCATGCTACCTGACTTCAAACTATACTGCAAGGCTACAGTAACCAAAACAACACGGTACTGGTACCAAAACAGATATATAGACCAACGGAACAGAACACAGGCCTCAGAAATAATGTCACACAGCTACAACCATCTGATCTTTGACAAACCTGACAAAAACAAGCAATGGGGAAAGGATTCCCTGTTTAACAAATGGTGTTGAGAAAACTGGCTAGCCATATGCAGAAGATTGAAACTGGACCCCTTCCTAACACCTTATACAAAAATTAACTCAAGATGGATTAAAGACTTAAACATAAGACCTAAAATCATAAAAACCCTAAAAGAAATCCTAGGCAATACCATTCAGGACGTAGACATGAGCAAAGACTTCATGACTAAAACACCAAAAGCAATGGCAACAAAGGCCAAAGTTGACAAATGGGATCTAATTAATCTAAAGAGCTTCTGCACAGCAAAAGAAACTATCATCAGACTGAACAGGCAACCTACAGAATGTGAGAAAATTTTTGCAATCTATCCATCTGACAAAGGGCTAATATCCAGAATCTACAAGGAACTTAAACAAATTTACAAGAAAAAAACAACCCCATCAAGAAGTGGGCAAAGGATATGAACAGACACTTCTCAAAAGAAGACATTTATGTGGCCAACAAACATACGAAAAAAGGCTCATCATCACTGGTCATTAGAGAAACGCAAACCAAAACCACAATGAGATAGCATCTCATGCCAGTTAGAATGGCGATCATTAAAAAGTCAGGAAATAACAGATGCTGGAAAGGATGTGAAGAAATAGGAATGTTTTACACTGTTGGTGGGAGTGTCAATTAGTTCAACCATTGTGGAAGACAGTGTGGCGATTCCTCAAGGAGCTAGAACCAGAAATAGCATTTGATCCAGCAATCCCATTACTGGGTATATGCCCAAAGGATTGTAAATCATTCTACTATAAAGACACACGCACATGTATGTTTATTGCAGCACTATTCACAATAGCAAAGACTTGGCACCAACCCAAATGCCTATCAATGATAGACTGAATAAAGAAAATGTGGCACATATACACCATAGAATACTATGCAGCCATAAAAAAGGATGAGTTCATGTCCTTTGCACGGACATGGATGAGACTGGAAACCATCATTCTCAGCAAACTAACACAGGAACAGAAAACCAAACACCACATGTTCTCATTCATAAGTGGGAGTTGAACAATGAGAACACATGGACACAGGGAGGGGGACATCACACACCAGGGCCTGTCGGGGGTGGGGGGCTAGAGGGAGGATAGCATTAGGAGAAATACTTAATGTAGATGATGGCTTGACAGGTGCAGGAAACCACCATGGCACATGTATACCTATGTAACAAACCTGCACGTTCTCCACATGTATCCCAGAACTTAAAGTATAATAATTAAAAAAAAAAAAGAATAACAACAACAACAAATACAAAAATTAGCTGGGCATGGTTGGTGCGCCTGTAGTCCCAGCTACTTGGGATGCTGAGGCAGGAGAATCACTTGAACTTGTAAGGCGGAGGTTGCATTAACCTGAGATCACACCACTGGAACTCCAGCCTGGGCAACAGAGCAAGACTTCGTCTCAAAAAATAAAAATAAAAAAATAAAATATACACATAGACTGAAAATGAAGGGATAGAAGAAGATGTTCCATGCCAATGAAAACCAAAAAAGAGAAGGAATAGCTATATGTATATCACATAAAATAGATTTCAAGAAAAAAAAAACTATAAAGAGGCCAAAAATGTCACTATGTAATTATAAAGTGGTCAATTTAGCACAGGATATAACAAATTTAAAATTTAAATTTTAAATATATGCACCCAACACTGGAGCATTCAAACATATAAAGCAAATATTTTTAGAGTTGAAAAGAGAGATAAATCCCAATAAAATAATAGCTAGAGACTTCAAAACCCCACTTTCAGCATTTGGACAGATCATCCAACTAGAAAATCAACAAAGAAACCTTGGACTTAACCTGCACTATAGACCGAACGCATGTAACATATCTACAGAACATTTCATCCAGTGGCTACAGAATACACGTTCTTCTCCTCAGCATATAGATCATTCTCAAGGGTAGACCAAATGTTAGTCCACAAATCAAGCCTTTAAAAATTCAAAAAAATTGACATTATATCAAGTATCTTTTCTGACCACAATGGAATAAAACTAGAAATCAGTAACCAGAGGAATTTTGGAAACTGCATGAACACATGGAATTTAAAGAATATGCCCCTGAATGACTAGCGGGCCAATAAAAAAATTAAGAAGGAAATTTAAAAATTTCTTGAAACAAATGATAATGGAAATACAACATACCAAAACCTATGGGATACAGTGAAAGCGGTACTAAGAGGAAAGTTTATAGCTACAAGCACCTACATCAAAAAAGTAGCAAAACTTCAAATAACCTAATGATGCGTCTTCAAGAACTAGAAGAGTAAGAGCAAACAAAACCCAAAATTAGTAGAAGAAAAGAAATAATATTCGCAAGGCACAGGGGCTCATGCCTGTAATCTCAGCATTTTGGGAGGCTGAGGCAGGAAGATCACTTAGGCCCAGGAGTTCAAGACCAACCTGGGCAACATGGAAAGACCACATCTCTACAAAAAAAAAAAAAAAAAAAATTAAATAGCCAGGCATGGTGGCACATGCCTGTGATCCCAGCTACTCAGGAGGCTGAGCTGGGAGAATCACTTGAGCCTGAGAGGTCAAGACTGCAGTAAGCCATGATTATGCCACTGCACTCCAAAAGAAATAACAAAGATCAGAGGAGAAATAAATAAAATTGAAACAAAGAAAATAATATAAAAGATCACTGAAATGAAAAGTTGTTTTTTTGAAAAGATAAACAAAATTGACAGGTTAACTAAGAAAAAGAGACAAGTGCCAAATAAATAAAATTAGAGATGAACAAGGAGACATTACAACAGATAGTGCAGAAATTCAAAGGATCACTAGAGGCTACTATGAGCAACTATATGCCAATAAATTGGGAAAAGTAGAAGAAATGTATAAATTCCTAGACACATACAACCTACCATGATTGAAAAATAAAGAAATCCAAAACCTTGAACAGACCAATAACAAGTAATGAGATCAACATAGTGAAACCCCATCTCTACTAAAAATACAAAAATTAGCCAGGTGTGGTGGCGGGCACCTGTAGTCCCAGCTACTCGGAAGGCTCAGGCATGAGAATCAATTGAACCTGGGAGATGAAGGTTACAGTGAGCTGAGATTGCACCACTGCACCCCAGCCTGGGCAACAGAGCAAGATTCTTGTCTCAAAAAAAAAAAAAATAGTAACATGTCTCCCAGCAAAGAAAAGTCCAGACCCAATGGCTTCAGTGCTGAATTTTACCAAACATTTAAAGAACTAATATAAATCCTACCTGAACTATTCCAAAAAAAAATAGCAGAGGAGGGAATACTTCCAAACTCACTTTGTGAGGCAAGTATTATGCTGATATCAAAACCAGACAAAGACATCAAAAAAAAAAGAAATTCTGGGGCCAGGCACAGTGGCTCATGCGTGTACTCCCAGCACTTTGGGAGGCCAAGGCCGGCAGATCACCTGAGGTCGGGATTTTGAGACCAGCCTGACCAACATGGTGAAACCCCATCTCAACCAAAAGTACAAAAAAAAAATTAGGTGGGTGTGGTGGTACATGCCTGTAATCCCAGCTACTCAGGAGGCTGAGGCAGGAGAATCGCTTGAATCCAGGAGGTGGGAGTTGAAATGAGCCAAGATCGTGCCACTGCATATCAGCCTGGGTGACACAGCAAGACTCTGTCAAAAAAAAAAAAAAAAAGGAAAAAAAACCACTAAAAAAGGAAACTATGGGGCCGGGCATGGTGGCTCATTCCTGTAATGTCAGCACTTTGGGAGGCTGAGGCGGGCAGATCACTTGAGGTCAGAAGTTCGTGACCAGCCTGGCCAACATGGTGAAACCCCATCTCTACTAAAAATACAAAAATTAGCTGGGGATGATGGTGGGTACCTGTAATCCCAGCTACCAAGAGGCTGAGGCAGGAGAATTTCTTGAACCTGGGAGGTGGATGTTGCAGTGAGCCAAGATCACACCACTGCACTCCAGCCTTGGCAACAGAGTAAGACTCTGCCCCAAAAAGAAAAAAAAAAAAGGATTAAAGACTTAAACCTAAGACCTCAAACTATAAAACTACTACAAGAAAACATTGGGGAAACTCTCCAGGACATGGACTGGGAAAATGTACCTTGAGTAATACCCCATAAGCACAAGCAACCAAGCCAAAAAATGGACAAATGGGATCACATCAAGTTAAAAAGCTTCTGCACAGCAAAGGAGACAATCCACAAAATGAAGAGACAGCCCACAAAATAGGAGAAAATATTTGCAAACTATCCATCTGCCCAGGGATTAATAACTAGAATATGTAAGGCACTCAACTCCATAGAAAACAATCTAATCATCCAATTTAAAAAATGGGCAAAAGATCTGAGTAGGTATTTCTCAAAAGAAGATATATAAATGGCAAACAGGCATATGAAAAGGTGCTCAACTTCACTGATCATCAGAGAAATGCAACTCAAAACTACAATGAAATATCATCTCACCCCAGTTAAAATGGCTTTTATCCAAAAAACAGGAAATAACCAAATGACAAGGATATGGAGAAAGAGGAACCCTCATATACTATTGGTGGGAATGTAAATTAGCCAACCACTATGGAGAATAGTTTAGAGGTTCCTCAAAAAACTAAAAATAGGGCCGGGCACGGTGGCTCATGGCTGTAATCCCAGCACTTTGGGAGGCCGAGGTGGGCAGATCACGAGGTCAGGAAATCGAGACCATCCTGGCTAACACGGTGAAACCCCATCTCTACTAAAAATACAAAAAATTAGCTAGGCGTGATGGCGGGCGCCTGTAGTCCCAGCTACTGGGGAGGCTGAGGAGGGAGAATGGCGCGAACACAGGAAGCGGAGCTTGCAGTGAGCCGAGATTGAGCCATTGCACTCCAGCCTGGGGGACAGAGTGAGACTCCATCTCAAAAAAAAAAAAAAAAAAACTAAAAATAGAATTGCCATAATGATCCAGAAATGCCACTGCTAGGTACATACCCAAATGAAAGGAAATCAGTATATCAAAGAGATATCTGCATCACCATGTTTATTCTAGCACTATTCGCAATGCCCCAGATTTGGAAGCAATCTAAGTTTCCATCAACAGATGAATGGATAAAGAAAATGTGGTACATATACACAGTGGAGTACTATTTGGCCATTAAAAAAGAATCAGATCCTGTCATTTGCAACAACATGTATGAAACCAGAGGTCATTATGTTAAGTGGAATAAGCTAGGCACAGAAAGACAAATTTTGCATGTTCTCACTTATTTGTGAGAGCTATTAGATTAGTGCAAAAGTTATCGCGGTTTTCACCATTACTTTTAATGGCAAAAAAGTAATGATTACTTCTGCACCAACCTAATAAAAATTAAAACAATTGAACTCATGAGAGATAGAATAGAATAATGGTTACCAGAGGCTGGGAAGGGTAGTCAGGGGCAGGGGGGGATGGTTATTGGGTGCAAAAATATAGTTAGATAGAATGAACAAGATACAATATTTGAGAGCACAACAGGGTGACTACAGTCAACAATAATTTATTGTACTTTTTTTTTTTAAGACGGAGTCTCGCTCTGTTGCCCAGGCTAGAGTGCAGCGTCACGATCTTGGCTCACTGCAATCTCTGCCTCCTGGGTTCAAACAATTCTCCTGTCTCAGCCTCCTGAGTAGCTGGGACTACAGGCACATGCCATCACATCTGGCTAATTTTTGTATTTTTAGTAGAGACAGAGTTTCACCATATTGGTCAGGCTGGTCTTGAACTCCTGACATCAGGTGATCCACCCACCTTGGCCTCTCAAAGTGCTGAGATTACAGGCATGAGCCACCGTGCCCAGCCTATTGTACATTTTTAAATAAGAGAGTATAATTGGATTGTTTGTAACACAAAGAAAAGGATAAATGCTTGAGGTGATGGATACACCATTTACCCTGAGGTGATGATTACATGTTGTTTACCTATACCAAATATTTTATGTACCCCATAAATATATCCACCTACCATGTGCCCACAAAAATTAACAATTAAAAAAAAAATCTTATGTTATTAGAAGCTGGAGTGATGCCAAGGAAAGTATTTAGATTTAGTGATTAAGATATTGGGCTTTGGTCAGGCGCAGTGGCTCACGCCTGTAATCCCAATACTTTGGGAGGCCAAGGTGGGTGGATCACCTGAGGTCAGGAGTTCGCAACCAGCCTGACCAACATGGATAAACCCCATCTCTACTGAAAATACAAAATTAGCCGGGCGTGGTGGTGCATGCCTGTTAGTCCCAGCTACTCGGGAGGCTGAGGCAGGAGAATCACTTGAACCCAGGAAGCGGAGGTTGCGGTGAGCTCAGATCGTGCCATTGAACTCCAGCCTGGGCAACGAGCAAAACTCCGTCTCAAAAAAAAAGAAAAAAAAAAAGATAGTGGGCTTTGAGGTCAGACTTGCAGTGTTTGCTGGGTAACACTGAGCAAATTACTCAACCTCTTGAAGCCTTAGTGTCCTCGTCTATAAAATAGAAATAATTACAGCATCTACTTTGTACAGATAAAATAATTTTGTTAGGCCGGGCGCGGTGGCTCATGCCTGTAATCCCAGCACTTTGGGAGGCCGAGATGGGCGGATCATGAGGTCAGGAGATCAAGACCATCCTGGCTAACACGGTGAAACCCCGTCTCTACTAAAAAATACAAAAAAATTAGCCGGGAGTGGTGGCGGGCACCTGTAGTCCCAGCTACTCTGGAGGCTGAGGCAGGAGAATGGCGTGAACCCGGGAGGCGGAGCTTGCAGTGACCGGAGATCGCGCCACTGCACTCCAGCCTGGGCGACAGAGCGAGACTCCATCTCAAAATAATAACAATAATAATAATTTTGTTAAAGGGCTTATAGAATAAGTCTTAATGAATAATTATAGGGCTTATCAAATTGCTAAGTACATAAGCAATAATTGTTGACTAACTGTGACAGTTAATGCTCTTCATATCTAGGTCCTATGAAAACAGGTACCATAAAAAGGAAAGAGCTCTCCTGGTATGCTTGCACACACAGTGCTTTGTGAACCCTCTAGCTGAGTCCAACACCAAGCTCCAAGGTGCAAGGACATTCTTCCTCACCTCACAGATGCCACACAGCTCTGGCTCTGTGAAAACTCTGGGACATCAGGGGCAATGTCAGGATGCAAGACTCAGACACATAGCACTGGGACCAAACGAGACAGCAGGACCCAAAGAGGACTCTATGGAGGTGGCAAAACAGTAGCAATGGCAGGCTGGAGAGTGTTAATTGATGAGCACATGGTGGATGCCTCCTGGGACTCCCAGAAATATTTTATATGGTGAAGTCCTGCTGGAGTGGGTGAGATAAGAGCCAGTGTCATTCCAGTCATTATGATTGCTGTGATTCCATTTCTACTAATAGTAAGATATCTTGGATCATATGTAAGACGTTGCCTAAGAACCAGTTATCATCATGTTGCAATCGACATCATCTTTGACAACAAGAGGCCACACGTTTCGTAAGACAACCAAAACGTGCTGCCTTGTTTAAATATAAGGAGTCTTCATTTTCCTGTACCCAAGAAATGTTTAATATAGTTTTATTTAGGCAATAAATCTATGCAAACTCAAATACAAATATGGGTTCAGATTGTAATATTTGAAGTACTCCCAAGCAAAAAAGCCAGTGGGAAAAACGTATAAATATGCATACTTGTGGCAGGGCTGAACATCAGGAAATAAGATCTTCTCTTCTTGCAGCAGCTGCTTTCACATGTTAATATTAAATCCAGTATTATTCATGATCCAATACTTTATATGCTAGTGGGCTCTCACTTCAGACAAGCCAGAAGCAAAAAGAGCTTGACTCTGAGGGTTCCATAAATTCATAAGTGATGATGCGTTTAAATGAGGGGGATCCAAACTATCCCATCCTCATTTCTACTACTGACTAAGGTATCCATCAACCCTGGGACATATAGAAAAATTAGTTTTGGTTTCTCCTAACATGGTTTGCCTAGAAGTTTGCTCAACTATGCTTGGAGAATGAGACAGTTTGAAGTATTCCAGAGGTCACCAATAACACACATTTATATTTCTCTCAAATTGATTAAAAGGGAGACCAAATGTCTTGGCTAAAGAAAGAGCTGACTCTCTACTAAATTTTTAGAAGAAAACTCCTTTTAGCCATTCCGGAGCTCTTTGAAATCAAAAGGGAAGTACAAGGCCACTGCTTTTGTAGATAACAAATTCGTTCAGTAAAAGAAAGACTGCACATCTGACAAGGAAAAAATGCCATGCTCAAGAGAAGATGAACTTTTACCATATTTCATTATAGAAGACCACAATGAAAGAAAAATGACCTCATCAATCCCACTCCAGGAGCTCTGGTGGGGCTAAGCAGAAAGGAGAAAGCCACTGGAACTGGCTCCTGTCATACAAGTTGCATCCATCAATCCAAGGCAGCTTCAGAGAGATGCATGCAGTCACAGCTGACAGAGGATAAGTCACAATTATCAAGAACTTATTAGCTATTGTTCTAGAATTTAAAACAGTCATTTGCCTCTATAGGGTAGCAATCAATTGCTTTGTATGGGCTACAACTTATAAGGCCAAGGTCAAAATATGGTGATGGAAAATTGGGTTACATATCATAAATCCCCCAGCACCAATTCTTCTGATCTGAATGAAAGTGCTGTAAACTATTAATCCTGAAGACACTATTAATCCAGAAGTTTGTGGGAAATATAACAGAATCCAAAATCATAGTGAACTTTCTGATGGATAATACATTATAGCAGAACAACCTCAAAAAGACTGAAGTTTTTTCACTTGATAAGAAGAAAATTGAATTCACCCTGCCTTGATGCACATGGTTAATTCTTCAGACCAGCAAGTACTCATCAAAAAGGAGGAAAAGATACTTTATAGAAGAAAGATTCTCTCATTTTTCCTCCTCTTCTCTTGCTATGATCCTTAAGAACCCATGCCCTAAATGAATGGGAAAGGGTCACAAGCAGCAGATATCATGAGTTTGGCACTGACTAATTCTGTCATAGTGTCTTTTTGTCTCTATAACTAATTTCTGAACAAAAACAAAAACAAAAAAAACTATGAAAAAAAGAGAAACGAATTATAATTCTAAACTTCCCAAATAAAAGATGTGTTGTAACTTTTTAGAATTGTAAGAAAACATTAACAATTAGTAAATCTAGGTAACAACTATATATGTGTTACTTGTACCATGTTTCAACTTTTCAGAATGACTGAAAATATTTCAATTAAAAGTTATTTTTTAAAATCTTCTCATGGCTAGTACTATAGTAGAAGTAGCTGTGATTTGATCCATGAATAATTTTGTGTACTCTGTGTATTTCCGGTTTTCTTACAGAATAGTTATGTGAATTTTTATTAGCATAATAAATGGTTTTTATTTTTATGTATACTGAAGTTTTTATACCTAGCATTGTACCAACAAGAATTCTTTTTCATTTTCTTTTTTTTTTTTTTTTTTCAGACTGAGTCTCACTGTGTCACCCAGGCTGGAGTGCAGTGGCATGATCTTAGCTCGTGCAACCTCTGCCTCCCAGGTTCAAGTGATTCTCCTGCCTCAGCCTCCCAAGCAGATGGGATTACCGGTGCATGCCACCACCATGCTGGCTAATTTTTTTGTATTTTCAGTAGAGACAGGGTTTCACCGTGTTGGCCAGGCTGGTCTTGAACTCCTGACCTCAAGTGATCCACCCACCTCAGCCTCCCAAAGTGCTGGGGTTACAGGCATAAACCTAGAAGCACATGGGCATGAAAACTTCCAAAGTTTCACATTTTACCACTTGGCAATCTCCCACTGCTTTTCCCCTCTATTGTTGGACGCTATTGTCTACTAAAGTGACCCATGGAAAATGCTAGGCTTATCATTTTTCACTACATCTCAAAGTCTTACTAGCCTACATATATTTCTAATTACTGAGTGACACTTTGTCTGCTCTGGTATTCTTTCAGTTGTTAAGTATAATTTTTTGCCAGAATATTGTGATGTATCACACCAACATGTCAAATTATAATATGGTGGATACTGGTGGTTTAGGGAGTAGGAGTGAGTGATGAGATGGTCAATGGATACAAAATTTCAATTCAATAGGAGAGATAAGTTCAAGAGATCTACTGTGCAACATGATGACTATAGTTAATAACAATTTATTGTATTTTGAAAAACATTATGAGAATAGATTTTAAGTGTTCTTATAAAATATGATAAGTGAGATAATGTATATGTTAATTAGCTTGATTGAGCCATTCCACAATGTATACATTTTCAAAATGCCATGTTGTACGCAACAAATATAAGCAATTTTGTCAATTAAAAATAAAATTAAAAACTCTGATTGCACTGCTATTTGTCATAAGTTTTTAAAAATCACAATACTTTTATGTATCCTAGGCTTAATTACTTTTTTATATTTATGCTGACAAAATAATAGTAAAAATAGAGAAGAATCTTAAGGGGAAAAATGTTCTGGAAATATGGTTTCTTCTGCCAGCTAAACTTTATAGTAAATAATATAAGTGGGCTTTTACTTTCCAGGCTCCTAACTAAAAGATTATTTCAGGAAACCCTTTTTAAAAATTAGGATGAGGACAAGCATGGTGGCTCACCCCTGTAACCCCAGGGAGGCCGAGGTGAGTTGATCATTTCAGGCCAGGAGTTCAAGACCAGCCTGGACAATATAACAAAACCCCATCTCTCTCTCTCTCTCTCTCTCTCTCTCTCTCTCTCTCTATATATATATATATATATATATACACACACACACACACACACACACACATTAGCCAGGCATGGTGGCACACACCTGTAATCTCAGCTACTCGGGAGGCTGAGGCAGGAAAATGGCTTGAACTCGGGAGGTGGAGGTTGCAATGAGCCAAGATCGCGCCACTGCACTCCAGCCTGGATGACAGAGTGAGACTCCATCTCAAAATAAATAAATAAAAATAAAAATCAGGATGAAATGGCAGGAATTAACAGCAAAAGAGAGTCCTCAGCAACCCAAAAGGTGGGCAGCTGGTCTGTAGATCAAGGAGAGATATTTAATAGCTCCACAAGTTGATGGTGACCTATGAAGCAAAAGAAGATTTATGGTAGCTCACCAGTACTAAGATACGGGTCCTGCTAAAGAAAAAATCCAGATCCAAACCACAAAACATTTAAGACCTGTAGTAAACTAAAACTTCAAAATTTTGCATATCCAGCTCAGCAACAGATCAAATTGACTCTCTCCCCACTCTAGGAGGGTGATATACAAAGGGTGTGCTGCTTTCTGAAGGTAAATATTATTTATTTCAATCTCTACTATCTTTTATATTAAGTGCCCAGAATGCAATTAAAAATCACAAGACATATAAAAACAAGAAAATATGATGTATGGTCATAAAAAAATCAATAAAAACAAACACAGAGATGTGGCAGATGTTGAAATTATCAGACTGAGATTTTAAGATAATTATAGTTAAAATATCTATTGGGAAAAATAGACAAAATGTTTGAAGAAATGGAGAATTTCAAGAGAGATATAGAAACTATAAAAAGAAAACCCAAATGGAAATGCTAGAAAGGAAAGTTACGGCATCATAAGTGAGGAGTTCATTAGATGTGTGTAAGAGCAGATAAAACAAAGCAGAGGATGGGATCATGGAGCCAGAAAACAGGTCAATATAAGCACCCAACTGAAGCACAAAGAGGAAAGAAAAGTGAGGGAAAAAAAAAAAAGAAGAACAGATTTGTGGAACAATATCAAATGGTTCAACATACATGTAATTGGAGTTCCAGTGGCAGAGACAGGAGAACATGAGGCATAAGAAATATTTAAAGAGATATTAGCAAAGAACTTTTCTAACTTGATAAAAGACAGCAATCCAAAGGTTCAAAATTTTTCATACATTCCAAGCAGAATAAATGTAAAGAACTCATGCAGACATATCAAAATGAAACTTCTGAAAATCCAAAGTATAAAGCAGATCTTTAAAAGTGCAGCCTGCTGGGCACAGTGGCTCACACCTGTAATCCCAGCACTTTGGGAGGCTGAGGCATGAGGAGCTGTTGAGCACAGGATTTCAAGACTTGATGTGGGCAACACAGCAAGACCCCTTTTCTACAAAAATTAAAAAACAAATTAGTTGGGCATGGTGGCATGCACCTATAGTCCTAGCTACTTTGGAGGTTGAAGTGAAAGAATGGCTTGAGCCCAGGGATTCAAGGCAGTAGCGAGCTATGAATGTACCACTGCACTCCAGCCTGGCTGACAGAATGAGAACCTGTCTTTAAAAAAAAAAAAAAAAGTGCAGCCAGAAAAGGGGGCTGGTAAATACATCAAAATCATATACAGGTGGGAAAAGATACAAGCAAAGGCTGACTTTCCCTCAGACGTAATGAAAGTCAGATGACACGGAGAAATATATTGAAAGTACTAAAAGAAAAAGAACTGTCAGTCTAGAATTCTCTATTCAGTGAAAATACACTTCAAAAATTAAGAAAAAATAAAGACATCCTTAGAAAGATAAAAGCTGAGAGAATTTGTCTCCATAGCTCTTCATTATAAGAAATGTGGAAGGCAGTTCTTCAGGCTGAATCTTCAGGCTGAAGGGAAATAAAATCTGGTAGAAATCCAGTACTGTAGAAAGAAATAAAGAGCAAGAGGGTAAATTATTTGAGTAAATTTTTTTAAATGGTACTTTATCTTATATATTTTCTCCTTAAATTTATTTAAAATGTCATCAATTTTTTTCCAATTTTTTCATGTGGTAAAACACATAACATAAAATTTACTATCTTGATTTCTAAGGGTGATATCAGCAAAACAATGGAATAGAAGTTTCCAGTGCTTTGAATGTGGCTTTAAAGATTAGAAAAAAAAGAAAAGACATTTCCAGTGCTCATTCCCTCACAGAAACATCAATTTAGACGACCATCAATGCACAAAAATAATTTCACAAGAGCTACAGAATCCAGGTGAGAGTTTACAGCACCTAAGTAAGATATATAAATAAGAAAAGATGCATTGAAGAGAGTCAGAAGGACAATTTCACATTACTCACTTCACTCCTACCTTAAGCCCACATAGCGCAGCATGGAGAGAGATAGCCTCTGTGTGGAGAAGGAGAGTAAACTGAGCACCTAATTTTAATTTTACTGCAGACCCCAACACCAGGGTTACCCCAGTGAACATAAGGACTAGGCTGGCCCTCATGCACCCAGGCTCCAGACTGGCCTCTGCAGCCCCAGGTACCAGGCCAGTACCTATGAAGCAAAGCTCTAGGCTGGCACCTGTGGGCCTAGGTTCTAGGGCCACACCAGTATCAAGCCAGCCTCCATGACCTCAGGCCCCAGGCTTTTCTCCTACAGACCCAGGATTCAGGCTTGCTCCTGCAAACTCAAGCTCCAAGTCAATTCCAGCACCAGGCCACCCTTGCAGACCCAGGCTCTAGACCTACACCAATAGACTCAAATTCCTGACCTACCCCAAGGCCCACCGCAGGCCAGCTCTTGTAGATCTGGGTACCAGGCCCATTTGCCCACTGACGTAGGCATTTGGCCAGCTCACCCAAGGACTCAATCAGCAAACCTGTTCATAGACTCTGCCAGCCCAGAACCTCTGGACAGTTTAACTGGTGAAGGGCTTTCTCTGACAAAGCCAGTCTGTTAAGACTGGAGGAGGTATCTACTTCAGACACAGAGACACCAACATAAGAACACAAAGATCATAAATAATCAAGGAAACATGACACCACCAAGGGAACAAAATAGAGCACCAGAAACAAACCCTAAAGAAATGGAGATCTACAACCTGCCTGATAAAGAATTCAAAACAATCATCTTTAATGAGTTCAGACCAGGCTCAGTGGCTCAAACCTGTAATCCCAGCACTTTGGGAGGCCAAGGCGAGTGGATCACTTGAGGCCAGGAGTTCGAGACAAGCCTGGCTAATGTGCCAAAACATTTCTACTAAAAATACAAAAATTAGCTGGGTATGGTGGCATGCACCTGTAATCCTAGCTACTTGGGAAGCTGAGGCACAAGGATCACTTGAACCCTGGAGGTGGAGGTTGCAGTGAGCTGAGATCATGCCACTGGACTCCAGCCTGAGCAACAGAGCAAGACTCCGCCTCAAAAAAACAAAAATAAAGAAGTTCAGTGAGCTACAAGAGAACACAGATAGGCAACTAAACAAAATTAGGAGGCCAGTTGTGGTGGCTCATGCCTGTAATCCCAACATGTTGGGAGGCCAAGACAGGCAGATTGCTGAGTCCAGAAGTTTGAGACCAGCCTGGGCAACATGGTAAAATCCTGTCTCTACAAAAAATACAAAAACTTAGCCAGGCACGATGGCACATGCCTGTATTCTCAGCTACTCAGGAGGCTGAGGCGGAAGAATCACCTGAGCCCAGGACGTCAAGACTGCAGTGAGCTGTGACCCTGCCACTGCACTCCAGCCTGGGTGACAGAGTGAGACTCTGTTAAAAAAAAAAAAAAGGAAAACAATACATGAACAAAATTAGAAGTTCAAGAAAGATATAGAAACCATAAAAAAGAGCCAAACAGATGGTCTGGAGCTAAAGAATGTAACAATTAACTGAAAAATTCCATTGAGAGCTTCAATAGCAGTCTCAATAAAGGAGAACAAAGAATAAGTGAGCATATAAACAGGTCATTTAAAATTACCCAGAGGAACAAAAAGAAAAAATTATTTAAATAGAGTGAAGAAGGTCTACAGGACTTACTGGATACCATCAAGTAAACAAATATACAATTGTGGTAGGCCAAGAGGAGCAGAGAAAGGGGCAGAAAGCTTATTTAAAGAAACAATGGGTCTCTACAAAAGATTTTTAAAGCCCTCTCCCCTCTCCCCTCTTCCCTCTCCCCTCTCCCCTCTCCCCTCTCCCTCTCCGTCTCCCCACGGTCTCCCTCTCCCTCTCTTGCCACGGTCTCCCTCTGATGCTGAGCCGAAGCTGGACTGTGCTGCTGCCATCTCGGCTCACTGCAACCTCCCTGCCTGATTCTCCTGCCTCAGCCTGCCGAGTGCCTGCGATTGCAGGCGCGCGCCGCCACGCCTGACTGGTTTTTGTATTTTTTTGGTGGAGACGGGGTTTCGCTGTGTTGGCTGGGCTGGTCTCCAGCTCCTAACCACGAGTGATCCGCCAGCCTCGGCCTCCCGAGTTGCCGGGATGGCAGACGGAGTTGCGTTCACTCAGTGCTCTATGGTGCCCAGGCTGGAGTGCAGTGGCGTGATCTCGGCTCGCTACAACCTCCACCTCCCAGCTGCCTGCCTTGGCCCCCCAAAGTGCCGAGATTGCAGCCTCTGCCCGGCCGCCACCCCGTCTGGGAAGTGAGGAGCGTCTCTGCCTGGCCGCCCATCGTCTGGGATGTGAGGAGCCTCTCTGCCTGGCTGCCCAGTCTGGAAAGTGAGGAGCGTCTCTGCCCGGCCGCCATCCCATCTAGGAAGTGAGGAGCATCTCTGCCCAGCCGCCCATCATCTGAGATGTGGGGAGCACCTCTGCCCCGACGCCCCATCCGGGAGGTGAGGGGCGCCTCTGCCCGGCTGCCCCTACTGGGATGTGAGGAGCCCCTCTGCCCGGCCACCACCCCATCTGGGAGGTGTACTCAACAGCTCATTGAGAACAGGCCATGATGACAATGGCGGTTTTGTGGAATAGAAAGGGGGGAAAGGTGGGGAAAAGATTGAGAAATCGGATGGTTGCCGTGTCTGTGTAGAAAGAGGTAGACATCTCACGCCTGTAATCCCAGCACTTTGGGAGGCCGAGGCGGGCGGATCACGAGGTCAGGAGATCGAGACCATCCCGGCTGAAACGGTGAAACCCCGTCTCTACTAAAAATACAAAAAATTAGCCGGGCGTAGTGGCGGGCGCCTGTAGTCCCAGCTACTTGGGAGGCTGAGGCGGGAGAATGGCGTGAACCCGGGAGGCGGAGCTTGCAGTGAGCCGAGATCCCGCCACTGCACTCCAGCCTGGGCGACAGAGCGAGACTCCGTCTCAAAAAAAAAAAAAAAAAAAAAAAAAAAGAAAGAGGTAGACATGGGAGACTTTTCATTTTGTTCTGTACTAAGAAAAATTCTTCTGCCTTGGGATCCTGTTGATCTGTGGCCTTACCCCCAACCCTGTGCTCTCTGAAACAAGTGCTGTGTCC
The DNA here is from genome assembly GCF_000001405.40 of Homo sapiens. Classification (NCBI taxonomy): domain Eukaryota; kingdom Metazoa; phylum Chordata; class Mammalia; order Primates; family Hominidae; genus Homo; species Homo sapiens. The sequence goes on from NC_000014.9 coordinate 34,412,556, forward strand.
ACTCAGGGTTGAATGGATTAAGGGTGGTGCAAGATGTGCTTTGTTAAACAGATGCTTGAAGGCAGCATGCTCGTTAAGAGTCATCGCCACTCCCTAATCTCAAGTACCCAGGGACACAAACACTGCGGAAGGCCGCAGGGTCCTCTGCCTAGGAAAACCAGAGACCTTTGTTCACTTGTTTATCTGCTGACCTTCCCTCCACTATTGTCCTATGACCCTGCCAAATCCCCCTCTGCGAGAAACACCCAAGAATGATCAATAAAAAAAATAAAATAAAAAATAAATAAATAAATAAATAATAAAAAAAATAAAAAAAGAAAAAAAAGAAAAAAAGAAAAAAAAAAAAGAAACAATGGCAGAAACCTTCCCAAATCTGGAGAGGAAAATGAATATCCAGATCCATATAATAATAATATGAGGCTAGGCTTAGTGGCTCACGCCTGTAATCCCAGCACTTTTTGGGAGGCCAAGGCCAGGGGATTAACTGAGATCAGAAGTTTCAGACCAGCTGGCCAACATGGAGAAACCCCGTCTCTACTAAAAATACAAAAATTAGCTGGGCATGGTGGCAGACTCCTGTAATCCCAGCAACTTGGGAGGCTAAGGCAGGAGAATCACTTGAACCCAGGGGCAGAGGTTGCAGTGAGCCAAGATCACATCATTGTACTCCAGCCTGGACGATAAGAGCAAAATTCTGTCTCAAAAAAAGAAAAAAGGAATACCAAGAACACCCAAGTAGATTAAATATAAAAAGTTATTCACTGGCCGGGCGTAGTGGCTCATGCCTGTAATCCCAGCACTTTGGGAGGCCGAGGCGGGCGGATCACGAGGTCAGGAGATCGAGACCATCCTGGCTAACACGGTGAAATCCCGTCTCTACTAAAAATACAAAAAATTAGCCAGGCTTGGTGGTGGGCACCTGTAGTCCCAGCTACTCAGGAGGCTGAGGCAGGAGAATGGCATAAACCCAGGAGGCAGAGCTTGCAGTGAGCTGAGATCTGGCCACTGCACTCCAGCCTGGGCGACAGAGCGAGACTCCATCTCAAAAAAAAAAAAAAAAAAAGTTATTCACCTACACAAATTTATAATCAAATTTCCAAAAAGTCAAAGACAAAAAGAACTTTGAAAGCAATGAGAGAAAAGCAACTCATCACATACAAAAGAACCTGTATAAAACTATCAGGAGGTTTATCAGCAGAGACCTTAAAGGCCAGGAAAGAGTGAGATAATATATTCAAAGTGCTAAAAGAAAAAAAATGCCAACCAAGAATACTACACCTGGCAAAGCTGTCCTTCAGATATGAAGGAACGATAAAGACTCCCAGAAAAAGAAAAGCTAAAGGAGCTCACCACCCTGTATCTGTCTTTTTTTTTTTTTCGAGAGGGAGTCTCACTCTGTCGCCCAGGCTGGAGTGCAGTGGCGCGATCTCGGCTCACTGCAAGCTCTGCCTCCCAGGTTCACGCCATTCTCCTGCCTCAGCCTCCCAAGTAGCTGGGACTACAGGTGTCCGCCACCACGACTGGCTAATTTTTTGCATTTTTAGTAGAGATGGGGTTTCACCATGTTAGCCAGGATGGTCTCGATCTCTTGACCTCGTGATCCACACACCTCAGCCTCCCAAAGTGCTAGGATTACAGGCATGAGCCACCGCTCCCGGCCCACCCTACATCTGTCTTACAAAAAAAACGCTAAAAGGATTCCTTCAAGTTGAAACAAAAGGATACTAACAAACAACACGAAAACTATGAAAGTATAAAACTCACTGTTAAGGTAAGAGTATAATCAAATTCACAATACTCTAATACTGTAATGGGAGTGTATAAATAGCTTTTAACTCAAATATAAGTTAAAAGACAAAACTATTAAAAATAAATATGTAATAATTTGTTAATGGATACATAATTTTAAAATGTAAGTTGTGACACCAATAACATAAAATACAGGGGAAGGAGTCTGGGCGTTGTGGCTCATGCCTGTAATCCCAGAACTTCGGGAGGCCCAGGCAGGCAGATCACTTGAGGTCAGGAGTTCAAGACCAGCCTGGCCAACATGGTGAAACCCCATCTTTGCTAAAAATACAAAAATTTGCCAGGGGTGGTTGCACATGCCTGTAATCCCAGCTGCTTGGAAGGCTGAGGCAGGAGAATTGCTTAAACCCAGGAAGCAAAGGTTGCAGTGAGCCAAGATCACACCACTGCACTCCAGCATGGGCAACAGGGCGAGATTCCATCTCAAAAAAAAAGAAAAAAATGTAGGAAAAGAAGATGTTAAAGTGTAGAATTGTATGCAGTCAAAGTTAAGTTCTTTTCAGCTTAAAATAAACTGTTATAAGATGTTTAATGTAAGTCGCATAATAACCACAAAATAAAAAACTTGTAATATATGCACAAAAGATAAAGGAATCAAAGCATAACACTATATATATTTTGTAGTGGTATGCTTTGATTCCTTTATCATATATATATATATATATATATATATATATATATAATCACAAAGGAAGGGAACAAGCAAGAAAGAAAGGAACAAAAGAAATACAGTCAGAAAACAATTAACAAAATCACAATGGTAAGCCGTTACCTAGAAATAATTAAGTATAAATGGATTAAATTCACTAATCAAAAGACACAGAGGGGCTGAATGGATAAAAAATAAAAACAATATTCAACTATAAGCTGCCTACAAGAGACTCACTTTAGCTTTAAGGACCTACATGCGCTGAAAGTGAAGGAATGGAAAAAGATATTGTATTAAAATGGTAGACTGGGTAAAATGGCTCACACCTATAATCCCAGCACTTTGGAAGACTGAGGCGGAGGATCACTTGAGCACAGGAGTTTGAGACCAGCCCTGGCAACATAGTGAGATTCCATCTCTACAAAGTATTAAAAAATTAGCTGGGCATGGTGGCAGGCACCTGTAGTCCCAGCTACTCTGGAGGCTGAGGTGAGAGGATTGCTTGAGCCTGGGAGGTCAAGGCTCCAAGTAAGCCATGATCATGCCACTCTCACACATACAAAAAAGAAAATGGTAATCAAAAAAGAGTAGGAGTAGCAATTCTTATATCAGACAAAATAGAATTTAAGTGAAAAACTGTAAAAAGAGACAAAGAAGGTTGTTATGTAACAATAAAAGGGTCAATGCATCAAGAGGATATAACAACCGTAAATATATATGTACCCAGCATCAGAGCACCTAACTATATAAAGCCAATATTAACAGAATTGAAGGGAGAAATAGCAATACAATAATAGTAGACTTCAATATCCTACTTTTAACAATGTACAGATCATCTGGAAAGAAAATCAATAGTTAAACAGCAAACTTGAACAGCACCATAGACCTAATACACATATGCAAAACATCCCATCCAACAGCAGCAAAATACACACTTTTTTTCCTCTATGAGAGTTTATAAAATTATTTTAGAAATTTAAACATCATTGTCTTGATAGAAGAAGTGTTAAGTACATCCACAGAACAATGTATAGAGTCAACTCATGTACACACAATTCTTTAGAACATGATCATGTCTATTTTAAGCAGTGAGAAAATGATGTACTATTCAATAAATGATGTTGGGTCAATTTGTTATCTATCTGTAAAAGTAATTAAATAGCTTTCTCACAACATTAGAATAATATCCAAATAAAAAATATACAACATATATGAATATTGTGGGGTACCAACCCTCCAAAGTAAAATATAGACCCTAGAAGCTATGAAATGTGATTACATAAAAATAACGTTATTACATAAGTATTAAAATCTTGAATATGACGAACAGGTCATAAGCAGTTTGTAAAAATCGACAAGGTTTCTATTTCAAGACAGTGCATTGCTCACACATTAAAACTTCCCCTTTTGTTTAAGAACTTAGGAATTACTACAAATAAAATAAAAAATTATTCATAATGATATGCCAAAACAATATGGGGAATCTTCATTTGATCAGAAACTAAGGAATCTCTGGAAATTGAAAACTCTGCAGGTGGTAGATGACATATAAAGGTCACTATATTAATCCTCCTAATCACTGAGATTTTTCAATGTGATTCAACGATAGTCAAAGATTAAAGTGTAAAATTTAATGTATTTCCTTCCGAAAGTGCTCTCTTAGGATTCTGTGTGCTCAGCTTAGAATTCTATACTTCATTTGTATCACAGATGAATTTCATTTGTATCCCATATTCCACATCAGTGGAAAATCTTTCATCTGCCTTCAGAAAATCTTGTCAAACCTTTCATTCTGCTCAAAAGTCATGTAAATTTTTCAGTCTCCAATGGTGTTTTTGTGAAGGAAATGCCCTTCTTTACTTTTTCTCCTAATTCTAATGTTTAGTAGGTTTGCATAATTTGCTAGTGGGTCATCCTTCATGTTCTCAAATGTGGCCTCCATGTGGCATCCATGGCCTCCTCACTCAGTTATTTCCCCAGAAACTTGCAGAGTTTTAATACAGAACCTCTGAGATCCTTCTTCATCTCCTCATACATTATGAACTGAATGTTGAAGTGGCTTTTGTGCTCATACCAACATTTGATATGGCCAAATCAAAGGCTTCCTACCACTTTTCCTTCTAAAAATTGTTTCATAAAATCCTCAGTGGTAGCTGTAGGCTTACACATTGTCATCATCTTTGAAAAACGAAAATATGAGCACATAGCATCCTTCGGGTTTCTGTATAGATATATCATTTTGACTTTTTCGTTCTTTATCCCTCTTGGAACCAAATAGTATGGGAGGTGGGTTGCAAAGAGATGAGGAGATGGTCTTTCACAAAAATTCATGTTTTTGCCGCTGTACTCAAGAAAGGGAGCTTGATACAGTGTTTTCAGATGTTCAGTTCTCTTCCAATGTTCTTCAAAATAAATCAAGCTTAATATCTGCTGACACCAGATAGCTCCAGATTCGGGGTATGTGACTATGAAGACATCATCATCTCTAATTTCAAACTCATCTAAATTTTCTAAAAAGTCAACATCAATGGTATCATATTGAAGAGAATATCCTTTACATTTTACCAAAGACGTCTCTGACTCTTCCATAATTCAGTTGCAGTTCTACAGGCTGTACAGGAGGCATGGCTGGGGAGGCCTAAGGAAACTTAAAATCATGGTGGAAGGTGAAGGGGAGGCAGGCACAATCTTCATATGGCGGAGCAGGAGAGAGAGAATACACATGCTTCTTAAGTACATAGAACATTCTCCAGTATGGATCATATGTTAGTCCACAAAACAAGCCTTAACAAATTCAAGAGGATTGAAATCTGGCTGGACGTGGTGGCTCACGCCTGTAATCCAAGCACTTAAGAAGTAATCCCAGCACTTAAGGAGGCCGAGGCGGGTGGATCACCTGAGGTCAGGAGTTCGAGAGCAGCCTGGCCAACATGGTGAAACCCCATTTCTACTAAAAATAAAAAAATTCGCTGGGAGTGGTGGCACATGCCTGTAGTCCCAGCTAGTGGCGAGGCTGAGGCAGGAGAATCGCTTGAACCCAGGAGGTTGCAGTGAGCTGAGATCAATCCATTGCACTCCAGCCTGAAGAACAAGAGTGAGACTCTTTCTCAAAAACAAAAAAATAAGACTGAAATCACATCCAGTAACTTTTCCCACCACAATGGTATAAAACCAAAAGTCAATTACAGGAGGAAAATTGAAAAATTCACAAATATGTGGAAATTAAACAACACACTCCTGAAAAGCTCTCAAATAAGCAAACTATTAATAACTTTACACCTCAAGGAACTAGAAAAAGAACAAACTAAACCCATGGTCAGCAGCAGGAAGGAAATAATAAAGATCAGAGCAGAAATAAATAAAATAGAGACTAGAAAAACAATAGAAAAGAAAAACTAAGTAGGTTTTTGAAAAGAAAAGTAAAATGGACAAGCCTTTAGCTAGACTAAGAAAAAAGAGAGATGACTCAAATAAATAAAATCAGAAATAAGAGGAAACATTATAACTGATACCACAGAAATACAAGTGATCATAAGAAATTGCCATGAAGAATTATATGCCAACAAATTTTTAGAATTTTTCAATATATTATAAACATCTTTTCAAATTATTTCAGATAGCGTTATCTATTTTTTTTTTTTTTTTGAGGAGTTTCACTCTTGTTGCCCAGGCTGGAGCCCCTGTTGCCCAGGCTGGAGTGCAATGGCGCAATCTCAGCCCACCACAACCTCCACCTCCCGGATTCAAGTGATTCTCCTGCCTCAGCCTCCAGAGTAGCTGGGATTAAAGGCATACGCCACCACGCCTAGCTAATTTTGTATTTTTTAGTAGAGAAGGGGTTTCTCCATGTTGGTCAGGCTCGTCTTGAACTCCCGACCTCAGGTGATCTGCCTGCCTCGGCCTCCCAAAGTGCTGGAATTACAGGCGTGAGTCACCGTGCCCAGCCATCTAATTCTTTTAATAAATAATTTTATGGCATTTCATTGTATAGATGTACTATAATTTACCTATCAATCCCTATGATGGACATTTGAAATGTTTCCAATTTTTCACGATTAAAAGCAAGGCTGTAGACGCATACGTTACTGATAGGATTATAAATTAGCATAATGGAATGGATAAACAAATTGCTGTGCATAGCCATAAAATGGAATAGGATATACAACAATGAAAATGAATGAATTACACCTACATATAACAGCAGGATAAGTTATAAAAACATAAGCAAAAGAAGCAAGATGCAAAAGAATATGTGAAGCATTTTCTATTTATATAAATTTCAAAAATAGGCAAAACCAAAATATATTATTTTATGGGTACACACACGGGTGATAGAAATCTAAACAAATGGAAGAAAATCATTTTCACAAAGTCAAGATTGTGGTTACCTATAGAGCAGAGCTACCCAATGTGAAAATAATGTGAACTACAAAAGTAAGCTGTAAGTTTAATTTTAAGTTTTCTAGTAGCCACATTAAATGAAGTAAAAAGAAATAGTTGAAATTAAATACATTTTATTTAATCTAAGATATTCAAAATATCATCACTTAAACATATAACTCATATTTAAAAGTGGCCAGATGTGAAGAATCACAGCATTTTAATCCCAGCATTTTAGGAGGCAGAGACGAGTGGATCACTTGAGCTCAGGAGTTCAAAACCAGCCTTGGCAACATGGTGAAACTTCATTTCTAAAAAATACAAAAATTAGCCAGACATGGTAGTATGCGCCTATAGTCCCAGCTACTCCGGAGGCCGAGGTGGAAGACTGAGATGGAAGGATGGCTTGAACTTGGGAGGCAGAGGTTGCAGTGAGCCAAGATTGCACAACCACACTCCAGCTTGGGTGACAGAGCCAGACTCTGTCTCAAAAATAATAATAATAAATAACTAAAATAAAATAAAATGAAAGGTTTTTTAACATTCTTTTTTTTTCACACTAAGTCTTGAAAATCCAGGGTAAATTTTACACTTACAGAACATCTCAATTCAGACTAACCAAAATTCAAGTGCTAAGTAGTCACATGTGGCTAATGCCTACCATATTAGACAGCTGACAGTTCTAGCAGATATGAGACTCAGGAAAGAGGTTACTTCTAAAGGGAGAATTATAATTGGGAAGTATATGTGCAGACCTCTGGGCAACTGGCATTGTTATCTTTCTTGGCCTATGTGTTGGTTACGTGAGTATTCACTTCTTACATGAATATTCACTTCATAGTTATTCATTAAACCATACTTTAGAATTTAATAAACTTATTTGAATGTGTTTTATCTCACACACAAAAAAAGTTTTAAAAATACCAAATGTTCCTTTCTGTAGGAGAATAAATAAAACAAAAATGTATATATTTTCTTGTACATTTATCATTATAAACGAGGAAGGTGTAACTTCTAGATCAAATAATACAAACATTAAAACATTTAGTAATACTAAATTACCTTCCAAATGCTTGTACTAGTTCTCATTCCCACCAATAACAATGAATAAGAACTCTCATTTCTCTCTATTTGTACTAACACTGGGTTTGATCAGTTTTAGGACATTTTTGACAATTAAGTGTAAGAAGATATTTGGAGAGTAAGGATCATTCAATGAGTATTTCAAGAAATTACAAAATGGTTCATTTATTATGTATTGCCCTGTTAGAAATGGATGCTCAGTGCTGCAAAGAAGAACCAGCACTCAAGCAAAAAGTTTTCTCAACAAGGCAATTTACTTCTGCAGAAGGGTGCTGCCTGCATCTGAGGCAATCACAGAGCACACCGAACAAAAGAGGGAAGGGGTTTTTAACCCTAACACAGTTCCTGTTTCTGTATCCTTCCCCTGTTGGCTGGGGTTGGACCGCACAATCTAAGCTGACCCGATTGGCTACTGCTGTAAATTGAATAGGGCTAATTAGGCAGGAAGGGAGAGGCTGTCCAGTTTCCAATTAGGCAGGAAGGCATGTCTGGGTGGGAAGGCATGTCTGGGCGCGGCAAGGGCGGGAGAGGTTGTTTACAGAACAAGAAAGAACAAAGAGCTTGAAGGGGAACTTACTGCTCCTCACAGCCCTTTGGCATACATAGACATTAATAATCAGGTGGTTGGTCCTTCTTATGCCTCTGAAATAGATGGGGCACCTGCATTCTTGGGCTGCCATTGCTCTGCACCAGCAACTCCACTCTGCAGGTAGACAGTATGTGAACAGCCTTCCCTTGAAAATGCATACCCCAACCCTCATACTGACTAAACATTTTAGCCTGCAATCCCTCACCTCAGAGCTGTTCACACTGCCAAATCTTAGCTTAAGCAGTGGTCAGATGCAAAGACCTCAAAGCTAAAGGTGACCCTGGTACCACAGAATGTAAATCTTTCCATGTGAGTACTAGTCCAAACCTGTCTTCTCTAACATATCATTGGAGTTCTGTTTCCTTTTATCTGACATTTTAAAGTGTTTAAAATATATGTTTGGGATGCCACTAATAAAACAGCCTTTAGAAATGGATTATGACCCACACAAGAAAAAATGGGTTTCATTACTCTATTATTACAAAATATTCCTTCATTTGTCAAATTTTTTCTCTGTCTCTCTCTTTCCCCTGTCTCCCCTTCTTTCTTTCTTCCCTCTTTTATTTCCTAACATTGCTTAACTTAGTTTTGACCTCTTCCTCTTTTCTCTTCAACTTGAGCCCACAGCTTGAGTATCCACAGCCTCCGCAACCAAGATGCCCAGGACCTTTAGAAGGTGGGCCACAGAGGGGCAAGGGATGCTGGAGACATATTGAGACCTTAAGGACAGTCGGACTTGCCCAAAGCACTAGCAAGCAGATATGTGGAGGTAAGCTTACATGTTTAAGGCTGTTTGCTGGCAGAAGCAAAAACACGGGTACAAGCAACTTGGCACCCTAAGTGAAATCATCAAAAATTAAGTCAGGCCTGCTTGTACTGTTCTCTAAATTAAGAAAAGGAGGCTGATACTGTGGAACTACATACCTCACAGCGTAATCAACCTCTGAGGGATTCCCAGGCCCCATCATAGATCTCCTGAATCAGAATTACCAAGGATGATCATTTTGTTTGGGAACCATTTACCAGGGGCAAGCACAGAGTTTTCCAGCCTAACAGCTATACACATAAATCTGCACCACCTCATCACTTAGTATATGACCTTTGGAAAGTCTCAATGAGCCTTGCTTTCTTTATCTGTAAAGAAAGATGACACCTGGCCAGACGCGGTGGCTCATGCCTGTAATCCCATCACTTTGAGAGGCTGAGGCAGGCAGACCTTGAGGTCAGGAGGCCGAGGCAGGCAGACCTTGAGGTCAGGAGATCGAGATCATCCTGGCTAACACGGTGAAACCCTGTCTCTATTAAAAATACAAAAAATTAGCCGGACATGGTGGCGGGAGCCTGTAGTCCCAGCTACTTGGGAGGCTGAGGCGGGAGAATGGTGTGAACCGAGGAGGCGGAACTTGCAGTGAGCCGAGATCGCGCCACTGCACTCCAGCCTAGGCGACAGAGCAAGACTCTGTCTCAAAAAAAAAAAAAAAAGAAAGATGACACCTACCACACAGGGCTACATTCTGTGTGTAAACCACTTGCACATAATAGTTCTCAACAATAAGTAATTATTACAATATTAATATGATTTTAACAAAGTGTAATAGGTACCATCCAATTTTTCTGAAATTTACTTTACAATAAGCTCATATTATTTTAAAATTAAGAAAAATAAAGCTATTTCTATTTTTGTTATGGAATGACAGCAAATAATAAATTAGGTACTAGATACCAAAAACAAGATACGTAATTTTCTTTTTGAGACAGAGTCTGGCTGTGTTGCCCAGGCTGGAGTGCAGTGGCATGATCTCAGCTCACTGCAGCCTCTGCTTCATGGGCTGAAACCATCCTCCCACCTCAGAGTGGTTAATTTTGGTGGTTATTTTGTTTGTTTTTTTGGTAGAGATGAGTTTTCATCATTTTGCTCAGGTTGGTCTCGAACACCTGGGCTCAATCCATCTGCTCGCTTCAGCCTCCCAAAGTTCTGTAGCTAGAGCACTAGAATTTTCTTGTATGCTCCAAACCCCACAGTGTAGCACAAAGAGGACATCTACACATGCAATGGGTTTCATTGCAGGAGAGGACCCCAAGCTTAAAGAACCCTAATCTTTTTATACTAAACAATAAGTATGCCTGCCATTTGTTTCAGAGGTAGACATTATATCTGTCTTCTAAGTCTCTAAGCAAACCTGCTCCTTCTGCTGGAAGGGGACACTATCTGTCTTCCAAGGCTGTTTCCTATACAAGCTTCTTTGAGGAGATAGTATGGAACAAAGACAATCAGTGCCACTGTTCACAAGACATGCAGACATGCAAAAGACTCAGAGAGAATTTCTTCCCAACAATAGCCATAAGACTGTATAGTTTCCATACAGTGGTGGCTCCTGGAAATTTTTCCCATATTATGCCACTCCATCAGCCACTCTAAATAATTTAACAGAGGCTGGGACCAAATCCATTTGTCTCACACAGCACTTAATTAAGGCTCTTATCAACAGCACTTTGTACAGCAAGATGAGGCCATCCGGCAGTATTAACCCCAGCCATGGCTCCCGGGGTCCTGGTCCCAATCAGCTTAACAAATCCCATACACCATCATGGTTTACTTAGAAAGCCAAATGGCTTTCTCTTTGTTTCTATATTGACCTTTTCACTTGGCCTAAGGCATTAATCCTGGCACAGCAAGATAGAGCAGAGATTGCACAGACTTCACCTGAGAAGAAAGTCTGGGGCAATTATTTCATTCATAACAACCATGGCTAGTGAGCTGAGGCTGACCTGCTTTTCCTTTCAGGGTCCAGGCATGTCACTGAAAACTTCAGCGAAATTTTTACCACTTCACTTTTCTAATTGGATGACTACTGTTATAGGGATAACTGCCAGCAAAGTATACATAAATAACGAATCTGTTTGATTCTTTTTTTTTCTTTTTTTTTGAGACCGAGTCTCACTCTGTCACCCAGGCTGAAGTTCAGTGGAACCATCTCCGCACAATGCAACCTACACCTCCCAGGTTCAAGTAATTCTCCTGCCTCAGCCTCCCGAGTAGTTGGGATTACAGGCGCACGCCACCATGGCCAGCTGGTTTTTGTATTTTTAGTAGAGATGGGGTTTCACCATGTTGGCCAGTCTGGTCTCAAACTCCTGACCTCAAGTGATCTGCCCACCTCGGCCTCCCAAAGTGCTGAGATTACAGGCATGAGCCACCACGCCCAGCCTAAGAATCTGTTGTCTTACTGCAGAGATCTCTCCATTACCTAAGAAAAGTCTCATTTTGGAGAGATCTCTGTGGTCATCTGAGGGCCACATGATCTGTCAGTGATGCTTCCTTAAACACTTAAAGGGATCTTATGATTACCCCTAAGGTGTTTTTAGGGGAGACAAAATAACTCCTGGATTCCACACAGGAAATAAAGACCTGAGGGCACACAGAGTGCCCCTGGAAAGAAAGTGTTGTTGGTCTCCCTAAGTGGGACATACATCATTCAGAGGGCATAGTTTGACAGTTCCTCCAACTTGGCCTCCTGGCAAGCTGGTAAGCCTTAGGGTTCCTGGTTCAGTTTGAATAATTGAGGCTAGTCCCTGTTTTTGCAGAAATTGCCTGAGGGCTGTCAGTCCAAACTGCCCTAATTATCTATGCCATCAGACAGGTGTTGCTCATTCACCCCACGGAATGACTGACTAAGCAATAGCTATGGGAAGGGAGGTGAGGAAGACATCCAGCGGTGTTAACCAATGTCTTGCATGGGAGATATAGAAAATGGGGCAATCCTTTGCTTTATCTGATAGATTCTTGCTGAGGTGAAGGGGAATGACAATCAAAATCATGGTCAGCACCATCATGGGGGATGGCCGATTCAGCAGTTTCACCATTTATAGTGTTTGCAACAGTTTTGGAGAGCTGCATCTGGGCATTTTTTCTTCCTGAGGAAAGACCCAGGGGTGGCTCTGAAGGATATTATTAGAGATCCTTCTTCCCCCTCCTGGCATCTAAGGTATTCTCCCCTCATGTATTGGAGTTGCTTTCTCTCCATCACTATAAAATCAGCTTGTCCTATTCCAATAGTTATCATTCACCTTTTTCCAATCATCTCTACTCATACCCAGACCTTTCATCCAAAAGAGTCAGGTACAAAAGGGATAAGGCAATTTTATAAAACTTACAGAGACTCACGCCACCTACTTAGGCCTGCATGAGCCACTGGGTGACTTATGAAGCAAATGTACTCAACCAAGTGGTGATTAACCTCATGATATAGACTCACAGCAACTCAACTAGAGAATCCAGGGGACTGAGCCAGAATTAAGTTGAAATCCCTAGGCCTCTTTCTGGCTGGACTACCAACCCACTGTCCTGGGACTGCCATTAGTGAACAGAAAAGCAGCATGGTCAGGGAGTGTTGGATACAATGAGTTCCAAATTTCTCTTTTAAGAATCATTATGTCAGTATGTTCAGTTCTTTGTCCTCCGTTTTAAAGTTTAACTTCCTCATAGTTTCAGTAAAAAACCTTTCCCACCAGTTTTAATCAGTAGTTCACATCTGTTCCCCTGGTCACCTGCTCCGTCCTGACTCATCCCAGTCACCTGCTTTGACCTGAGTCACCCCTGGTCACCTGATCTGGCCTAAGTCACCTTTAGTTCCCTGTTCCTAACTGTCCTTCCTGCCAAACTACTCACCCCGCCACTCTGGCTCATACCCCTGCTCTCTTTAAAATAGCCGATCAGAATTAGCTTAGACTGTATAGTCCAACCCTAGCCAATAGGGGAATGACAGAGCAGTAGGGGCTACCTGCATCAAGAGTAAGAACCCCTTCCCCTCTCTTGTTCAGGTGTCCTCTCGCCATTACTCCATTCGTGAGTCACACCCTTCTATAGAAGTAAAAATTGTCTTGCTGAGAAAATTAAATTTATGTTCAAGTGCTATTTCTTTGTGGCACCAAGGAACAAGCATTTTATTTCTAACAGGGAGGAATCCAAATTTTAAAATAGCAATAGGTCATCCTGATCATTAACCAGGAAGTGGCTGAGAGGTGATCTCTTTCTGAGCATAGCCACATTCAGTGACCAAACTGCCTAGTTAAGGTACATGGCCCAGAAGGAGAAGAGAGAGCTAGAGTAAAATTCTATTTGAATTGATTTTTGAAGAGGCCATTCCAGTATTCAATATCAGATGCCTGTGAACGGTAGGGAGTATGGAAAGTCCATCAAATACCTTGACTGTCAGCACTTTGTTGAATAGCTTTTGTAAAAGAAAAAAAAAAAAACTCACTCCACTGTCAAGCTGCAAAGGCCCAGAAGGCCAAACACATGACACAGATTAGTTTCAAGGGCTACAATATTATAGCTGGAATCTGCTGATCGGGTTAAAACAGCAATATTGTGTTGAAAGGAAGGTGAAAGGCACGTTTCACCTGGCGGCAGACAAGAGAAGAGAGCTTGTGCAGTGAAATTCCCCCTTGTGTAATCGTCACTGAAAAAGTATCAACAGCATTGCAGCACAATGGGTAGCCCTGAGAAGAGATCGGAAGTCTAATGTAGTCAATCTGCCAAGAACAAGGTGTGGGGAGATGGAGGTGATGGCTCATGCTATGTGACCCCCCTCACTGCAACACTTTCACAAGTCTGCCTTTTAGGTAGCTTCTGCATTAGAAACAGTCTTTTCTTTATTTTATGCCAAACCTACGGTGGTAGATAGGTCACCATGTCCAGTACAGTGACGGATCTAGTCATAAATGGGAGCAATCTGGACAGTGCAGTCTTGATCAGCAGCTCGATACCAGAGAACTGGCCCTTACTATAGACATCTACATGAGTGACCCAACAGCTTAACTGATTTATTACCAAATTTTGCAGCCCCAGAGAGGGTGTCTTTAATCTACCAATCTGTAGTTTTCCAAGTGACGGACTAAACTCCCAGGCCTTTGGCTATAGCCCAGAGGTCAGTAAAAATATAACAAGCTTTATCAAAAGGAACACTGGCCAGAGATATGAGAATAGCCTTGAGTTCTGCAAAGGGAATGGAGCAACCCCACCCATGTTTGGCTTGGCAGAGCTGGCACTGAGGCTGAACAGTGGCAGCAACTCAATGAATACCATCAGTTTGAAGCTTAACCAAGTCTGGGGATTTGGTACGCTGCATCCCAGCCACACTAGCCATGGCTAAAAGGGACAAACGTAGAGCTCAGGCCATGGCTTCAGAGGGTGCAAGCCCCAAGTCTTAGCAGCTTCCACATGGTGTTGAGCCTGTGAGTGCACAGAAGCCAAGAATTAGGGTTTGGGAACCTCCACCTAGATTTCAGAGGCTGTATGGAAACTCCTGATGCCCAGGCAGGTTTGCTTCTGGGTCGGGGCCCTCATGGAGAACCTCTCCTAGGGCAGTGCAGAAGGGAAATGTGGGGTCGGAGCTCCCACACGGAGTCCCTACTGGGGCACTGCCTAGTGGAGCTGTGAGAAGAGGGCCACCATCCTTCAGATGCCAGAATGGTAGATCCACCAACAGCTTGCACCGTGTGCCTGGAAAAGCTGCAGACACTCAATGCCAGCCCATGAAAGCAGCCAAGAGGGAGGTTGTACCCTGCAAAGCCACAGGGATGGAGCTGCCCAAGACCATGGGAGTGCCCATCTCTTGCATCAGCATGACCTGGATGTGAGACATGGAGTCAAAGGAGATCATTTTGAAGCTTTAAGATTTGACTGCCCTGCTGGATTTCAGACTTGCATGGGGCCTGTAGCCCTTTTGTTTTGGCCAATTTCTCCCATTTGAAATGACTGTATTTACCCAATGTCTTTACCTCCGTTGTATCTAGGAACTAACTAACTTGCTTTTCATTTTACAGGCTCATAGGCAGAAGGGACTTGCCTTGTCTCAGATGAGACTTTGGACTGTGGACTTTTGAGTTAATGCCGAAATGAGTTAAATCTTTGGGGGACTGTTGGGAAGGCATGACTGGTTTTGAAATGTGAGGACATGAGATTTGGGAGAGGCCAGGGGCAGAATGATATGGTTTGGCTCTGTCCCCACCAAAATGTCATCTTGAATTCCCACGTGTAGTGGGAGGGACCCAGTGGGAGGTAATTGAATCATGGGGGCAGGTCTTTCCTGTGCTGTTCTTGTGATAGTGAATAAGTCTCATGAGATCCGATGATTATATTAGGGGGATTTTTGCTGCGCAAGCTTTCTTCTCTTGTCTGCCGCCATGTGAAACGTGCCTTTCACCTTCTGCCATGATTGTGAGGCCTCCCCAGCCATGTGGAACTCTAAGTCCAATTAAATCTCTTTTTTTTTGTAAATTTCTCAGCCTCAGGTATGTCTTTATCAGCAGTATGAAAACAGACTAATACAGCATCTCTTCCCAATCAGTAGGATCACCTCTGGCACTTATAAGCATTCAAATTACAATCATGTAAAACATTGATGCCAATTATATATTCATCAGTGGAAGCTACAACAGTACACTAAACAGACCCAAAGGGTCACTTGCAACAGGGTCACTTAATTTCTCTTTACTGCAAAAATTGCCCAAATCCCATCAGTTGAATTAAGGTGCCCCTTCTTTCCAAGCGGCTGCAAAGACTCATGCCTTGAATAGTTATATGCAACAGCACCATAAAGTTTGAATTTTTTTCCTCCACAGTTCCCCACCATATTCAAGCAACTGCATAAGTGCATAAGTGCATATTGGATTTTTTTTTTTTTTTTTTTGAGACAGGGTCTTGCTTTGTCACCCAGGCTGGAGTGCAGCGGTGCAAAGACTGCTCACTGCAACCTCAACCTCCTGGGCTCAAGCAATCCTCCCACCTTAGCCTCCCAAGTAGCTGGGACTACATGTGTGTACCACCATGCTTGGCTAATTTTTGTATTTTTTGTAGAGACGGGGTTTCACCACATTGTTCAGACTGGTCTTTCACTCCTGAACTCAAGTGATCTGCCCACCTCCGCCTCCCTAAGTACGGGGATTATAGGCATGAGATATTGCACCTGGCTAGGTCTCACTCTTAATTATCTTTCTCCTTAACAAAGCTGAAGTCAGGGTAGGAGGCAAAGAAAAGGTCAAAGGCACAGAAGAAGAGCAGTTTTCTTTGAGAAAATTGAGGCCTTGCATTCAATTTCAAGTGGCCCTCACTCACGGCTCATCTGAATGAGCTTCTGAGGTTTTTGGACCACCCAAATGTCTGTATTGAATAGCACCTCCTCACTGCTCACATTATTTATTTCCATTTTGGGGATTCTTTAGCTTAGTAGCCATAGCTACCACTGCCCCTAGTCCAAGACCATGGCACCTGTTGTCCCATTGTCATAAGATCCCTTTTTCTATCTGCCCAGAAGAGAGTAACAACTGAGGCACAATTTAGGCTGCTGTTTTCATCCTACTTCTCACCACACAGCCCCTAACTATTAATTAACAAGTAGGATATTAGGGATCCTTATTCTCTTAACTCACCCAATACTTAGGCAAATGCATTTACCTCTTGATCCAAGTTGTCCCATCTTCAAACCTAGTTTGTGGGTCCATTATCCCTCCTCTTCCAGAAGACCACATCTGCCAGCATCCCATCCTCATCACCTAAACTATCAAAAACTATGAAGAGTCTGAGATTCTACTCTACTTGCAAGCTAGTCTGACAGCTTTGTAGATGCTAGCAGAAGACAAGAGATTCAGGGTTAGAGACAAAGAACTTTATTACTCACAGAAATAGTCAAAATATCAACATTTTCTTGTTCTGGTTCCCAAGCCCCAGTTCCCACAGGGCAATGCAAAGACCAGGTGATATCTGTATGTGCAGATGGTTGCATTACAGGAAAGGAACCCTGAGCATAGGGAACATAAAGCTTTTATAATGCCGTTTGGTCCAGAAAGAGGCACTCTCTATCTTCCAAGGCTCTAAATATACCTGCCCTTCATTTTGGAGGGAGATACTATCTCTATCTTCTCTATCATATAAACATCCTTGAAAAATTATGCAGTCAGTACCTCTGCTTATAAGATATACAGAAACACTAGTGGTCCATGGAGACTCATCTAATTAGCCATACCTTGTTTTGTTGCACATCACTTTGTTGTGCTTCAGACATTGCATTTTTTACATGATGAAGGTTCGTAGCAATGCTCTCAATCGACCCTGCAAGTCTATGGCACCATTTTTCCAGCCTCGAGTGCTCATTTCATATCTCTGTCACATTTTGGTAATTCCTGCAACATTTCAAACTTTTCCATTATTATTATATCCGTTATGGTAATCTGTGATGTTATTGTTTTGGGGTGCCACAAACCATCCCTATTTAACAGGTGAACTTAATTGATAAATGTTGTGTATGTTCTGCCTGCTCCACTGACCAGCAGTTCTTCTGTGTCTCTCTCTCTGCAGGGCTCCTCATTCCCTGAGACATAACACTATTGAAATTAGGCCAATTAATAACCCTACTATGGCCTCTAAATGTTCACGTGAAAATAAGAGTCACACATCTATTTATTATTTTTTGAGATGGGGGTCTCACTCTGTCGCTCAGGCTGGAGTGCAGTGGTGCGATTGTGGCTGACTGCAGCCTCAACCTCCCAGGCTCAGGCGATCCTCCCACCTCAGCCTCCCAACTTGCTGTGACTACAGGTGTATACCACCATGCCTGGTTAATTTTTTTTTTTTAAGTTTTTGTAGAGATGGGGTCGTGCCATGTTGCCCAGGCTGGTCTCTAACTCCTGGGCTCAAGCAATCCTTCCGCCTCAGCCTCCCAAAGTGCTGAGGTTACAGACACGAGCCACTGTGCCTGGCCACATTTCTCACTTTAAATCAAAAGCTAGAAATATTCCAGGCTGCTGATAGGGAAAAATAATAATAAATTGTTTTAAAGCTAGAAATGCTACTCCTGTGAACACACAAATGGCAAGAAAGTATTACAGACTTAGTGCTGAAAATAAATAAAGTCTTAGTGGTCTGGATAAAACATCAAACCAGCCACAATATTCCCTTAAGCTAAAGCCTAATTCAGAGCAAGGCCCTAGCTCTCTTCAATTCTACGAAGGCTGAGAGAGGTAAGGTAGCTGCAGAAGAAAAGTTTGAAGCTAGTGTAAGTTGGTTCATGAGGTTTAAGGAAAGAAGTCATCTTCGTAAGATAAAAGTGCAAGGTAAAGCAGCAAATGCTGATTTGGAAGATGTGGCAAATAATGCAGCTACGGCTAAGATCATTGATGAAGATGGCTATACTAAATAAGATTTTCACTGTAGACAAAACAGCCTTATATTGGAAGACACCCTCTAGAATTTACATAGCTAGAGAGAAGTCAATGCCTGGCTTCAAAACTTCAAAGGCTGACTCTTGTTAGGGGTTAATGCAGCTGGTAACTTTAAGTTGAAACTAATGTTTATTTACCATTACAAAAATCCTAGGGCCCTTAAGAATTATGCTAAATCAGGCCGGGCGTGGTGGCTCATGCCTGTAATCCCAGCACTTTGGGAGGCCGAGGTGGACGGATCACGAGGTCAAGAGATTGAGACCATCCTGGCCAACACGGTGAAACCCCGTCTCTACTAAAAATACAAAAATTAGCTGGGTGCAGTGGTGCGCGCCTGTAGTCCCAGCTACTCGGGAGGCTGAGGTAGGAGAATCGCCTGAACCCGGGAGGCAGTGGCTGCAGTGAAACGAGATCACACCACTGCACTCCAGCCTGGTGACAGAGACTCTGTATCAAAAAAAAAAAAAAAAAGAATTATGTTAAATCTACTCTGCCTGTGCTCTATTAATGGAACTTTGCAATAAAGACTGGTGACAGCACATTTATGACATGGTTTACCAAATATTTTAAGCCCACCATTGAGACCTACTACTATTTTGAAGATTCTCTTCAAAATATTACTGCTCATTAACAATGCATCTAGTCACCCAAGAGCTCTGATAGAGATGTACAAGGAGATTAATATCATTTCCATGCCTGCCAACACAGCATCCATTCTGTGGCCCATGGATCAAGGATTTACCTTGACTTTGAGGTCTTTATTATTTAAGAAATACATTTTGTAAGGCTATAGCTGCCATAGGTAGTAATTACTCTGATGGACCTAGGCAGTCAATTGAAAAGCTTCCAGAAATGATTCACCATTCTAGATGCCATTATAATAAAAGATTTATGATTCATGGGAGGAGGTCAAAATATTAACAGTAACAGGAGTTGCAAAGTTGATTCCAACTTTTATGGATGACTTGGAGGGGTTCAAAATTTCAGTGGAGGAAGTTAACTGTAGATATGCTAAAAATAGCAAGAGAACTACATATGGAGCCTGATGATGTGAGTGAATTACTGCAATCTCACGGTAAAACTTGAACAGACAAGGTTTTGCCTTTTATGGATGAGCAAAGAAAGTGGTTTCTTGAGATGGCATATACACCTGGTGAAGGTGCTATGAACATTGTTGAAATTACAATGAAGGACTTAGGATATTTTATAAACTTAGTTGATAAAGCAGCAGCAGGGTTTGAAAGGATTGCTTCCAATTTTGGAGGAAGTTCCATTGTGGGTAAAAGGCTATCAAATAGCTTACATGCTACAGAGAAATCTTTCATGAATGAAGAGTTGATCAATGCAGCAAACTTTATTGTTGTCTTATTTTTAAAAATTGCCATAGCCACCCCAACCTTCCGCAACCATGACCCAGATCAGTCAGCAGCCATCAACATCAAGGCAAGACCCTCCACCAACAAAAAATTATGACTTGTTGAAGGCTCAAATAATCATTAGCTTTTTTCAGCAATAAATAATTCTTTAATTAAGATAGGTATATTGGGTGTTTTTTTTTTTTAGCCATAATGCTACTGCACACTTAATAGACTACAGGATGGTGTAAATGTAACTTTTATATGCAGGGGAAAACCAAAAAACTTCATGTGACTCACTTTATTGAGATATTCACTTTATTGCAGTGGTCTGAAACTGAACCCACAATAACTACAAGGTATGCTTGTAAATACCTTATTTTTAACAAAAAGTGAAAATGATTTCCCTGTTATTTACTAACAAATAGACCAGACATTTGCATCAGACAGTGAGCATAAACTTCTCTGATCACCTCTCAAGAGACATCTCCCATTTCTCTTTTGACTCTCCTCAAGATTTCCTGTAAGACCAAACTTTATCTTCCATATGTCTCACAGGTCAGTGTTCATAATAACCATCAGTTATACAACAGCAATTTAATGAATCTCAGAGTGAAGACAAATTGCCGGTTTCTGAGTAGAGGGCCAGGATAGGTCACCTGGATACTCATTGAAACTAATGATTCTCAACTTCTCCTGCCTTCAACTCACCAGAGGAATATTAGACATCCACTTGTTAGTGGTTCTCTATGGGGGATAGTAGAGGAAAGCCAAATTTGGGCATTAATAGAACAAATCTTATGTTAAATCCTCGTATTATTTTTCTTGAGATAATATGACTACAGCTCAGATATAACCATATCCAATTTTTAACTACTTCAAACCAAGTAATTCCATATTATTCTCACTACTCCTATCTAATTGTGGTATCAATTGGCTCTAAAAATATTAAACACATATATATTACTTGAGACCTCTAGACTATAAAATACTTCAAAAGTCTAGTCCTTAAAACGTAGGGCAAAAAATACCTCAATTTTGGCCGGGCGCGGTGGCTCACGCCTGTAAACCCAGCACTTTGGGAGGCCGAGGCAGGTGGATCAGGAGGTCAGGAGTTTGAGACCATCCTGGCCAACACAGTGAAACCCCGTCTCTACTACAGATACAAAAAATTAGCCAGGCATGGTGGCAGGTGCCTGTAATCCCAGCTATTCAGGAGGCTGAGGCAGGAGAATCACTTGATCCCAGGAGATGGAGGTTGCAGTGAACCGAGATCATGCTGTTGCACTCCATCCTGGGCGACAGGGCAAGACTCCGTCTCAAAAAAAAAAAAACAAAAAAACAACCCAGCAACACACATAATTGCCTAATTCTTTTCAATTAGCAATATTTTTATGTTGCAAAACATATAGGATAAGACATACTTACTGCTTATCTGGTCCTCCACAGAAAATAATTCAGCAATATAAATACTAGATCAATATTTAACCATCAAGGAAAAGATATACTGCTACATCAGCTGATTTTTTTTCTCTTTGAATTTAATGTATTTACATCAAAAAATTAGGTAGTCATTTTACATTTAAGGAATAAAAACCTTAAAAAAAACAATACAAAGAGTGAAAGGATTTTAACCAAGTTTACATTTCTTTTTGCTATAATTTTTAACAACAATTCGTCTCATCATAACTTAATGCAATGTGCAAATGCAGCACCCATTACAATCATTAAACTAAATTTAAGGAAGTACATTGTTAATAGTGACCCTCGGAGGAAATGGATTTCTCTTCTATTAAAAACTCTATGGTATATAAGCATTACATAATAATGCTACTTAACCACCTTTTGTCTCAAGAATTATCACCAAAGTTTTCTGGAAATAAGTCCACATAAGAATTAAATATTTAAAAGGTGAAATGTTCCTTATTTTAACTTTAGCAAGATCTTTTCTTTTTCATTAAGAAACACTTTAATAATTTTAAAGCAAAAGCTGTTAGAGTCTAGATAGCTAAAACTGTACTCCTGAGTTCAAGCTTACAGATAAATCTTTTGTTAAGTAGTTCTCAATAAAATATCTTCCCTCCCCATACCCCTACCCGAAATCTTATATTGTTCTTTACAAAACTTTGGTCAAGAGTAGAAATATATCCAGGCAGATGTATATGCCATACAATAGCAAGAACAGTAAAGCCCAACTAATGATTTTGAGTTTTAAAAATAGAAGGCAATTAAAATGTACTCAAAGTTACATTAAGAAAAGCTTTCACGGGGGTAATATTGAAACAGTCACAAAGGTTAAGAAAATACTGATATCAAAGTACAAATGACTACAATGTTAAAATAGACAAAAACTGCTATACAAGAGCCTCTTTGAAAATTAAAAATAAAGAACACAACACATGAGTCAGGATGATTTTCCTGTTCTACTCATGAATTTTAGTCTTTATAAGGTTGGTTATGTTGACATCTAGAAGAGTTTCTTATCACATCTGATGGTCTCATTCCAACTTCGTAGGGTGGGTCTTCCCCAAGGAACCTCTGATCCTGGTCGCATCTTGGTCATTGTACGATTTCAAAGTAGTGCAATATCGCCATGATGTGCTGGGGCATGAAGACGTATCCTGTGTATAGTGCCATCCCCACAATGGAAACCAGCATGGAATCTGAGTTGTAGTTAAGGAAACTTATTATTATTAATTTATTCAAAACTAAATCTCCACATGTCTTCAACAACTCTTTTATGCTGAAGTACCCATTCACTTAGTGCTTTCTCATTTATATCAAGCACTGATAAAAAAAACAACAAGAATGATAATACTAGCCACTAACAACCATGCCTGGCACCACTCTAAGCTGGTTTTGTTTTATTTTGTTTTTAGCTCATTCTATCTTTACTATCACCATATAAAGTAAGTACTGTTATTCTCCCTGTGTAGTTGAAAATATCAGACTGCTTCAAATGTTTTTGTTTGTTTGTTTCTCTTTTTTTTTTTTTTTTTTTTTTGAGACAGAGTTTTGCTCTTGTTACCCAAGGCTGGAGTGTAATGGCACGATCTCGGCTCACTGCAACCTCTGCCTTCTGGGTTCAAGTGATTCTCCTGTCTTAGCCTCCTGAGTAGCTGGGATTACAGGTGCCCGCCATGACACCCAGCTAATTTTTGTATTTTTAGTAGAGACAGGGTTTCACCATGTTGGCCAGGCTGGTCTCGAACTCCTGACCTCAGGAGATCCACCCATCTCAGCCTCCCAAAGTGCTGGGATTACAGGCGTGAGCCACTGCGCCCGGCAGGACTGCTTAAAATGAAGCATAGAATGTGATACTGTTCTACCTAAGAAATAAATATACAGGAATAAAATTCTATTTAATTACTATAAAAGATCTACCAACTTAACTAATAAGAATGTATGATCAAAGAATTTTAGAATTAGACTAGAATGTGGCTAAAAGTATTTTTAGAGTCAGACAAAGCTAAAATCAATCATACACTAGCTTAGGGATGACAGCAACTGCTACTGCTATTATCACTATTAAACATTATTATCACTATTGCTACTATTTGCAACAACTTCAAATAAAGGTAATCTTGATAACCTAAACAATAACCTTTCTGTACCATGTTCCTTTCTTTTTATTACAAAAGGAACTGAAACTGTATATATGGAAGTCAACAAGAGGCCTCTCTCTGGGGCCACACAAAATACTGCTAGCAAAAATTATGTCAAATCTAAGGGCTTTTGGCTTTGCACAGTTACATAGGATGCTAAGAGGAATAACTGTTTTTGAACTGGAGTCATGCTTTATTAATTCATTCATATTCTCATTCTTCTCTCTCTCTCCTCTTTCACTTGCCTTTCCCCTTTCTCAACTCTACATACCTTTCAGCTATACATACTATTATTTTTAAAATAACTTACATTCTTTTATGAGAAGATAGGGTTTAAATAAACAATGTGCTTACTATCAACTAATATTTGTATAACAGGTTAGTTGACAAATCTCTTCCACAATTACATTATCTTACTTAACCCTTATAGCTTTCCTATGAAATGTTTATTATGTTCATCACTAATCAGAAGCTGAGAAAACTGAGTAGCTTGTTCAGGGCCATACAGGAAGCTGTCTTTAGAGCCAGAGGTCAAACCAAGACTGCCTGACTCAAGCCATAAACTCATTCTCTTCATCCAGCAAACAAGAGCAGAAAGTCTTTCACAATCTTTTTTTTACAATTTACTTTTTAACCGCCCTTAATCCAGTTATTCCTTAAACTGCCGCCTTCTATTTACTAATTTCTTTAAAAAAAAAAAAAGAGAGAAAGAAAAATATATACATTTGCTGCTTCTATATCATTGGCATATATTTGTTCATCACCAACACACCATCTGATTCTTACTCCTCCAGACTGTAGGCATTGTTCTAAGATCACTGGTGGTCTCCACCAAATCCAAAGGCTGTTTGAATTGACACTGTTTTAGTCCTTCTTCTTCAAAACCCTTTCCATTTATGCCTGTAGTGCCAGCTACTCTGGAGGCTGATGTGAGCCGGAAGGGCACCACTGCACTCCAGCCTGAGCAACAGAGCCAGACCCTGTCTCAAAAAACAAACAGAAAACAAAACAAAACAATCCTTTCCACTCTTTAAAACTCTACTCTGGGCTCAGGTATTTTCTAAGGCCCTCTTTTAATCTCTCTTACCATTTCCCTGTTTTTCACTGGCTCTTTCCTTTATGATGGATGATAGATAAGAGTGAACTTTGTGCTTTCCTTGCAAACATCCACTCTCCTCCTAGTATAGCAGCCATGCCCTTTTGGTTAGACTAACCCATCTTCATGGATAACCCCTGACTGGTCTTAACCAATTAGAGGGATCTCTTTTGCTTGGTAACAATGCCCTACATCAAAACTGATTAATCAGCTCAAAGCTTAGGACTTCAGCCAGGAATTCAGGAACATAGATGCTCTCTCCTACAATATGCAGCTTGCTGATGGAATCTTGCAATCACTGGAGTCACTTTACCTCCATGAGGAAAGCAAGATTCAGAACAAAGCTGACTCAAGAAGGTGGCAGGACAAAAATAATCACAGAAAAATGGAGTCAGAATCCTCATCAAAAAACCCTGAATCCCACCCTACCACTGGATTTTTACATACTAAACTAATAAATCCCCTTTACTTTTTTTGAGTCAAGGTCTCACTCTGTTGTCCAGGCTAGACTGCAGTTACACAATCATAGTTCACCACAGCCTCGACCTCCCAGGCTCAGGCAATCCTCCCACCACAGCCTTCCAAGTAGCTGGGACAACAAACACGCACTACCACGCCCAGCTGATTTCTTTATTATTTTTGTAGAGATGGGGTCTCCCTATGTTGCTCAGGCTGGTCTTGAACTCCTGGGGACAAGCAATCCTCCCACCTCAGCCCCCCAAAGTGCTGAGATTACAGGTGTGAGCCACCACGCCGAGCTGGCCAATCCCCTTTACTCTTAAAGTAGCTTGCTCAATTTTGTTACTTGCGGCTGAAAACGTTCCAGATGATAAAATGGAATTCCCATCGTTTTGTCTTGGGCCCCATATTCCCTCATAACTTAAACAACTACAGGTTGAGTATCCCTCATCCTAAATGCTTGAGTTGAGAAGTATTTCAAATTTCAGATTTTTTTTTTAAATTTAGAATATTTGCATTATACTTAACCCGGTGAGCACACCTAATCCAGTATCAAAAATGCTCCAACGGGCATTTCCTTTGACTGTCATGTTGTTGCTCAAAAGTTTTGGATTTTCGAGCATTTCAGACTTTTCATTTTCAGATTAGGGATGTCCATTCTGTACCTTCATGTTGTCAACCTGACCTCACCTTCCATACTGCAGACAGATATTTCTACCTACTTACGGTACATTTCCATCTATGACATTCAACAAGGTAACTTAAATTCAAACTGAACTCATTAACCTTCTCCAAAACTACCTCTTCCTACGAGTCCAATTTTGCCGATTAACACAACTATTTGCCAAGTCATCCAGTCTAGAAGGTTTTTTATTCCTTCTCCCCACATTCAAATTACCTATGACTTCTCAGTTCTTCCCCAATCCCTACAAATGACTCTTGTATCTCACCTCCCCAACCTTAATCAATGATAAATGATTAAGGCATTTATCATCCTTTACTTAGATGATAGAAAGTTCCCATCGTAGGCTTCTAGCCACTTTCCATGTCCCTCTTTACTAGAATGATCCTTTTAAAATGCATTAGGTTTCCAATGTCTATAAGACAGCACTTATAGGATTCTAAGGCAAGTATTCAAGGACTTTCCGATCTAGCCCCAAATCTTAGGATCCACAGAAGTAGATAGGGACTGAAGGATTGAGACAGGGATTCTTGTGCAAGCTATTTATTGAGGGAATTTTATTTGAAGGGGAGTGAGTACAGTAGAATAGAGCAGGGGAAATAAGCTAAGTAGGGACAGAGTCTCAGCTCCCACAGGGCACTCTGGAGCATAAATTATACCATATAGTTGGCATTGCTTTGACACAAAGGGCCTGACCTTTTGTATCTTCTTATCTGTCAATCATTGGTTATAGGGTGGGATACGGAAAATCCACCTAACCAAGAAGGCTGCTTGGCAGAGGACAATACTCTAGAGAAAGGGGGCGCTATAGGTCATTAGCAGCCAACACTCACGGAGGCTTGGGGGGTACATCAGCCATTAAAGGGGACTTAAGCTAGGTGCAGTGGCTCATGCCTGTAATTCCAGCACTTTGGGAGGCCGAGGTGGGAGGATTACTTGAACTCAGGAGTTTGAGACTAGTCTGGGCAACATAGTAAGACAATGTCTCTACCAAGAAAAAAAATAAAATTAACTTAAAATAAAAAAAAGAAAGGAGACCTAGGTGAAGACCAACCACGACTACCATGCTACTTTTCCACTGTACTTCCCAACAGTCCAAACCATTCCCTAATATACACATATCCTACTTGCAGTCATATTACAAGAGTCTCAGAAAACAACATTATATATTTCCATACTGCTCTGGCTTTGCTTATTGTTTAATGATAATATAAGAATAAGACTGGCAGCAGCAGCTTTCACTTTGTGAATGTCTAGTGTGTGTCTGGTACTAGTTAAGCACTTCATCAAGTTCCAGTAACCTCCCCAACAAACTACAGGGGCCAGTTCCAAAACAAATCAGTCCAACTCCAAGTATCTGTGTTCTTAACCACTGTACTATATACTTTCCTACATATGAAAAGCCCTACTCCCCCTAGTAAAACCTAATAATTCTAGGAGCTCAGTAGTTATCTCCTCTTGTATTAGGCCTTAGGCCTTCCCTGGCATTCATAATTTTTCCCATTCTTACCCCAACCCCTTGGCAGAACTAATTATTCCTTAATGCTCATAAAGCTCCTTTAATACTTTGTTTGAAAGTGAGTAACACAGCACTTACCACCTGACATTACCTATTTGTAGATGTACTTACTCAAATTATCAACTCCTTAAACAGAGAAATAATATTATTTTTGTATCTCCAGCATCTAACAAAAAAACATGCTAAATAGACATTTGATGAACAGAGATGTTCATGTGACTAGATTCATTATGATGCTTTCTACATATTCCTCACATTATTGTGGCTGAAAAACTTGATAATGACTACAGAAAAGACAAAAACAGTTTCCAGGCAATATTGGACTTAAGAACAAATTTTGCTTTTTCACAGCTTTTATATAAACCTTATAAATACATATACCAAACAAATGAAAATGGTATAGTAATAATCTTAAGGTCATTGGCTCAATTTCAACTCCAGTAGGAGTGATTACTATAAATCAGCTATCTGAATATGTATGTTACATAGTCTTTATGATGCTAATTCTTCAATTTAGTATGGAGAATATATCACTTAAGGAACACGCATATATTAGCCTAACGGGTTATTCCACTATAAATCAAGAATCTGAAACTTGGCTGGGCGCGGTGGCTTACACCTATAATCCCAGCACTTTGGGAGGCCGAGGCGGGTGGATCACCTGAGGTCGGGAGATCGAGACCAGCCTGGCCAACATGGTGAAACCCCATCTCTACTAAAAATACAAAATTAGCCAGGTGTGGTGGCGCATGCCTGTAATCCCAGCTACTTGGGAGGCTGAGGCAGGAGAATCGCTTGAACCCGGGAGGCGGAGGGTGTGGTGAGCCGAGATGGCGCCACTGCACTCAAGCCTGGGCAACAAGAACAAAAATCCATCTCACAAAAAAAAAAAAGTAAAAAAAGAATCTGAAACTTAAGCTCAATTTTGTGAACATTAAATTGTTAAGCTTTTAAATTTTTTACATGCCTATAAAAGCATGATTTTTTAATTCTAAGTGAAACAATAACTTATCAAAACTTGAACAAGTTTTTTGCCTGGTTAAAATACAAGATACTAGAGTTCAAGACTGTATACACACTCCAGCATGGGTAACAGAGTGAGACCCTGTCTCCCAAAAAAAGAGAATGTTGCCAGGCAAGGCAGTTGACGCCTGTAATCCCAACACTTTGGGAACTCAAAGCAGGTGGATCACTTGAGACCAGTGAGGCAGGAAAATAGGGTCTGGAGGCAGGGAACATAAGGCCGATTCACACTTCAGTTATGACAGGAAATAGCCTCCCCATAGGGTGCAGGCCAAGTAAACACTTTGTAACTTTACTTCATCCTCTCCATCTACATACGGCATACCCCAAGGAACCAATGGAATCCTCTAGAGGGTATTTAAACTCTCAAATATTCTGTAACAGGGCCTTTGAGCCCCTATGCTCAAGCCTACTCCTAAATTGTGGAGTGTACTTTCATTTTCAATAAAACCCTTCATTCCTTCCTTGCTTTGTTTATGCATTTTGACCAATTCTTTGTTCATAACGCCAAGAACCTGGACACCCTCCACAGTTAACATATTTTGGCAAGCCAGCCAGGAAGAAGAGGTAAACCTAAAGTTTGGGATTTTTTTTTCTCCTTTCTCCTTTTCTTTTCTGCTCCATACAGGGGACTCTCTCTCTCTCTCCTCTCTCTCTTTTCCTTTCCCACCCAGGACCCATGTGGGTAGCACCTAAACATGGAAGCAACTGCAGGTTTCTGGCCATGGCCAGTGAAACTAAGGGGTTTCCATGTGGAGAAGCCTAACCACCACCGCCCAGTTCGCTTAAACCTGGGTCTTTTTCCATTTTTTTTTTTCCTTTCTTTCTTTTTCAGTCTTTCAGCGGCTGTTTTTTTGTTTTTTGTTTTTGGAGACAGTCTTACTCTGTCACCCAGGCTGGAGTGCAGTGGCACAATCTCAGCTCACTGCAACCTCCGCCTCCCGGGTTCAAGCAGTTCTCCTGCCTCAGCCTCCAGAGTAGGTGGGATTACAGGCGCCCGCCACCATGCCCGGCTAATTTTTGTATTTTTAGTAGAGATGCGGCTTCACCATGTTGGCCAGGCTGGTCTCAAACTCCTGACCTCAGGCAATCCCCCCGCCTCGGCCTCCCAAAGTGCTGCCATTACAGGTGTGAGCCACCTCGTGAGGCCTCAGCATCTGTTTATAGTTGCCGTGGACTCTTTATCTTTTCCGCACACGGTCCCTGATCCCTACATGTGGCGCAGCTTGGAGCAAACTCACCCATTTTTCAGGGGAATTAAATCTTCTTTTCTTACACTAAATTTTTCCTTTATCAAACTCAACTGGCTAAGGAAAAGGCACACCCAGCATCCAGTTCTCATTACAGTTTATGGCTATTCTTCTAAAGCTCATAGTAGGCTCTGGAGGGGAAAATCTGCATGTGGCACCGGTGCCCACCTAAGGTCAGAGACATCTGGCACTCCAAGATTGGACCCCACAGGAGGTTGCTCCAGGGGTCCTGCAGACCTCAACCTGCCCAAAGGGGATGCTCCTGGCAGAGGTTCTGAGGTCTAATACTAGGCCCTCCTTAGAATTTACTCTTGCAGTTGCAATGAATGCTGTTTGGCCCCAACATTGTTTGGAATCTGGAGTTTACTGTTGAATGGGAAAGTGGAATGGTGTTACATGTATGCAGGTCTTTGTGCTGCAGTTCTAAGCAGAGGGTCTGGTTAACAGGTGACACGATCCTTTGCTACTGTTTGGCCCCAGTGCTCCTTGGAGTCTGGGGAGGTTTGGCCTTTAAAACTCAAAATGTCATGGAGACTGCTTTACCCGAAATTTTGGTTCACAGCCTTCCTTGGATTATCTCTTGGGGCAAAGTAAAACCGCCAAGCTTGTATTATTATCTCATGGCTAAGGTTCCAAGCTATTGGATCTTCCTTTGTGTGTGTGTATACATGTCTAGGGGGGTGTGTGTGTGTGTGTGTGTGTGTGTGTGAGATGGAGTTTCCCTCTAGGGGTGTGTGTGTGTTTGTGTGTGTGTTTTGAGATGGAGTTTTCCTCTCATTACCCAGCTGGAGTGCATTGGCAGTCTTAGCTCACTGCAACCTCTGCCTCCCAGGTTCAAGCGATTCTCCTGCTTCTAGGGGTGTGTGTGTGTGTGTGTGTGTGTGTGTGTGTGTGTGTTTTGAGATTGAGTTTTCCTCTAGGGGGTGTGTGTGTGTGTGTGTGTGTGTGTGTGTGTGTGTGTGTTTTGAGATGGAGTTTTCCTCTCATTACCCAGCTGGAGTGCAATGGCACAGTCTTAGCTCACTGCAACCTCTGCCTCCCAGGTTCAAGCGATTCTCCTGCTTCTAGGGGAGGGTGTGAGTGTGTGTGTGTGTGTGTGTGTGTGTGTGTGTGTGTGTGTTTTGAGATGGAGTTTTCCTCTCATTACCCAGCTGGAGTGCAATGGCACAGTCTTAGCTCACTGCAACCTCTGCCTCCCAGGTTCAAGCGATTCTCCTGCTTCTAGGGGAGGGTGTGTGTGTGTGTGTGTGTGTGTGTGTGTGTGTGTGTGTGTGTTTTGAGATGGAGTTTTCCTCTCATTACCCAGCTGGAGTGCAATGGCACAGTCTTAGCTCACTGCAACCTCTGCCTCCCAGGTTCAAGCGATTCTCCTGCTTCAGCCCCCCAAGTAGCTGGGATTACAGGTGCCCGCCACCACACCCAGGTAATTTTTGTATTTTTAGTAGAGATGGGGTTTCACCATGTTGGTCAGGCTAGTCTCCAACTCCTGACCTCAGGGGATCCACCTGCCTCGGCCTCTCAAAGTGCTGGGATTACAGATATGAGCCACTGTGCCCAGCTGAGTATACTTTCATAAATAAAATTTGAGTCATATTTTTCTCTCTCTCTGCCTAATTTCTCCAAAATTTGCAAACTATTTGTGAATATTCTTAATTCATGGTAATGTGTTTGGTTGCATACAGTCAAACAGGGTTGCTAGGGCCGCTCAGGGATAGAGAACCCAGCAACCTGGCATGCCAGCAAAAGGGTAAGAATTTCTTACTGGTCTCTGGCCCGCTTTCTCCCTGTGCAAAATGGTTAGTCTCCTCTGTAAAGTTTTAAATTAATTGGTTTAATAATAATAAGAGCCTAA
Organism: Homo sapiens; assembly: GCF_000001405.40. NCBI lineage: Eukaryota > Metazoa > Chordata > Mammalia > Primates > Hominidae > Homo > Homo sapiens. The sequence continues at coordinate 34,444,128 of NC_000014.9, forward strand.
ATCAAATATTTTGTCAGAAAAGTAGAAAGTGTAATGCCTTTTAGTTCATGTGACTTTAGCAATCTTTGGGAAATAAAGACAGTTTTAAAGATTATTAGTAAAAATGTCTTCAAAATGTAAACATTTGGTCTAAATTATGTTCAAATATTAGGTTTGCTAAATGCTTTAAGGTCATAAACTGCTTCCTTGGCTTTTGAAAATTGTTTAACTTGCCTGCCTTCCAGCTAGGTAAGACCAAGGGACATGTAGCATTGGCCACACCCCTAGCTATGCTAGAAACAGTCAAACCTTATCAGAATATAACTTACCACGTTTTACATTAAAGTTAAAACTGCTAAGAGTCAGGCCAGGCGCGGTGGCTCACACCTGTAATCCCAGCACTTTGGGAGGCCGACGTGGGTGGATCCCGAGGTCAACAGTTCAAGACCATCCTGGCCAACATAGTGAAACCCTGTCTCTACTGAAAATACAAAAATTAGCTGGGCGTGGTGGCAGGCACCTGTAACCCCAGCTACCTGGGAGGCTGAGGCAGGAAAATCGTTTGAACCCAGGAGGTGGAGGTTGCAGTGAGTCGAGATCGCACCATTGTACTCCAGCCTGGGCCACAGGGCAAGACTCTGCCTCAAAAAAAAAAAAAATTGCTAAGAGTCGTCATTGTAACATGCAATTAAGACTACCAGAAACAGGTCAGGCACGATGGCTCATGCCTGTAATCCCAACACTTTGAGAGAACAAGGAGGGCGAATCTGAGGTCAGGAGTTCGAGACCAGCCTGGCCAACATGGTGAAACCCCGTCTCAGCTAAAACTATAAAAGTTAGCCAGGCGTGGTGGTGGGCGCCTGTAATCCCAGCTACTTGGGAGGCTGAGGCATGAGAATCACTCAAACTGGGAGCAGAGGTTGCAGTAAGCCAAGATCACACCGTTGCACCCCAGCCTGGGCAACAGAGCCAGGCTCCATCTAAAAAAAAAATTTTAAAAAGACTACTAAAAACAGTTTTACACGCAAGGTGTCTAAAAATAGTAGAAAAAACTTTTTTTTTCTTTTTGGTAAAAGGTTATAATAAAAAGGTTTTTGCTTCTTTAAAATTTCTAGGCCAGGCACAGGGGCTCATGCCTGTAATCCCAACACTCTGGGAGGCCAAAGCAGGTGGATCACCTGAGGTCAGGAGTTGGAGACCAGCCTGGCCAACATGGCCAAACCCTGTCTATGAAACATACAAAAACTAGCCGAGCGTGGTGGCATGCACCTGTAATCCCAGCTACTCAGGAGGCTGAGGCAGGAGAATTGCTTAAACCTGGGTGGCAGATGTTGCAGTGAACCGAGATCACACCACTGCACTCCAGCCTGGGCGACAGAGCAAGACTCTGTCTCAAAAAAATAAATAAATAAAATAAAATAAAATTTCTGAGTCATCATTTTGGCAAAACGTATAATATATGGTAATCTGGAATTCCAAAATCAAACTTCAGTTTCAAAATTGTCTTTCCTAATGCCTGGCTCTCTGGATGTATCAGAGGGTCCCTGAAAACATCCAGAAAAGAGGTAAACAGGATTATTTGACATGTTTACATACACGGGATTGCCAAAACGATGTTCAGTCTTCTTTAGGTTACATTTTTGTGAATAATACTAATGTATATTCCAAAATTGTATGGGATTTCTAAAATTCTAATGTCTAAGTATACGCTATCAACTATAATTATGCTTATTATGTTGTCATTGTAAACCACAGAAATAACCAAATCAAACCAGTTGATACTAAAATTGTTTAAAATAGTTTATAACCAATGCTTGGTCCCATATTACTGGGAAGACAATTAAAGCTTCACGTACATTTGGTCACCTGGTGGGCCATTTAAATATTTTACAAAGCGATTTCATTCCACTGATATCTGGTTGTATAAAAGCTTTCCCATGCAAGAGGGCTGATGTTGTAACAGTAGATTACTACACTACAGTGTATTTTCACCAGGTAAAAAAAGCTTTTTATCGTTTGAATCTTCTGAGAACATCAGAGAAAGACTGTCCTCCCCATCCACACTACAACAAAACTTTGGGACCTTGGGCTTTGGGTTCATGGTCTCACAACTGAGAGGGGTCCCTGCACACTTCTGGAACTGCATCCATTGGAACCTTTGAGATAAAGCCAACCAGGGAAATTTCTCCCAAGAAGATAGCATCCTTGATGTGAACAGCTTTTCCAAGTTCACAGGTTAAGACTTTACTATCATGAAACTCTTATCTTTGAATATTTTTTTCTTGCCTACATCTCTACAAACAATAGAAGTGGAAAAGGGGTCTGTTATGTGGATTTATGGAGTGTACTTTTATTTATGAAGGGGTCTGCAGCCAGCCTTCTACCTGGGTAATCTTATACTTTGACAGATAAAAAATGAAGGCCCAATGTAGGTAAGAAACCTTAATGGTATATACATTGCCTCATAATCAGTCAAAAATAAAACACTGGTTCACTCCTCTTAACCCACATCATGGGTTAAAGAGAACATTGCCAGGAGGCCTTCCCTCTTCTAGAAGGGCATCAGTTATTTGGCTCTTTTTCCATGGTTTAAAGTGAAAGAAGCAATGATTAGAAATGTATCCCTCATGATAGGCTCTCTAGCACATTCTACTTTAAAGGCTATCATCACACAACAGATTTTAAATTCTCTTGTGAAAGTTATGCTAAATAATAGAATTGGCTAAACAGACATGTATCTGTGCAGCTGCTGGCACCTGTGGCCTATCGAGAAATACATAGAATGCAGGTTATAAAAATTCAGTTGTAGGGGATTAATGAAAAGACCACTTACTCAGCTGGGCGCAGTGGCTCACACCTGTAATCACAGCACTTTGAGAGGCCGAGGCAGGTGGATTACCTGAGGTCAGGAGTTCGAGACCAGCCTGGCCAACATAGTGAAACCGCGTCTCTACTAAAAATACAAAAATTAGCCGGCCGTGGTGGCAGGCACCTGTAATCCCAGCTACTCTGGAGGCTGAGGCAGGAGAATCGCTTAAATCTGTGAGGTGGAGGTTTCAGTGAGCCAAGATTGTGCCATGGCACTCCAGTCTAGGTGACAGAGCGAGACTCCATCTCTTAAAAAAAAAAAAAAAAAAAAAAAAAGACCATTTGGTCAAGCAAGCAGACACTTCATCCAGATCATTCTTTAATCTACATAATTTTAGGTGGTTTGGTATGGTGACCCGGGTAAGGAGCATACTCCGAACTCTTGGTATTATCCTCCCAACAGTCATAATAATCGTCTCCCTGGAGTGCTGTATTCTCTCAAAGGTTTTAAATGCTTCCATGCAGCCATCTCTAGAATGTCATATGATTGCTCTTCAACTGGAATGACAAGAGCTGAAGGAAATGTGCAACCATGAGGACTTAACCTATAAATGATGTGCTGAGACTGGAAACGAAAATGATGGTAACTGAGAGTGGTGCTATGGCCCTAAGTTTTGCTCATACTCTCACCTAAGTAAGAACCTGAACAAAAAGGGGGAATTTTTTCAACAAAATTCTGGAAGCCCATTGTTTTGGACTAAGTTCATGCACTGGGCCCCAACAGACCAAACCAAACCAAAACGGGGTTGTTTGTGCTAAGACTTTAGGGAAACACATGGGTTCTAGAACAGACAAGGTTTTGTTTTTTCTTCTGCAAATCTCTGTAACAAACATTTCTGACAGCATAGGTATCCACCTCTGAAGTTCCCATTAAATCTTTTAACCAAATTCATTCCCTCTCGCCTAGAAACCATCAAGCTTCAGATGATCATGCAACAAAGGTTCCAGCCAATTCCAGGTGAAGACACCACCCCTGGCCATCAAGAAGCTACCCTGCTGGCAGGGCATGGTGGTTCACGCATGTAATCCCAGCACTTTGGGAAGCTGAGGTGGGCAGATCACTTGAGGTCAGGAGTTCAAGACCAGCCTGGCCAACATGGTGAAATCCCATCTCTACTAAAAATACAAAAATTAGCTGGGCATGGTGGTGGGTAACCTGTAATCCCAGCTACTTGGGAGGCTGAGGCAGGAGAATCGCTTGAACTCGGGAGGTGGAGGTTGCAGTGAGCCAAGACGATGCCACTGCACTCCAGCCTGGGCAACAAGAGCAAAAACTCCATCTCAAAAAAAAAAGCTACCCTACCTTCACTAGACAGAGCAGGGCGAGAGTTCCATGGTCCCCAATAGGTAGGGACTAGGCCTCAAGGCAGCATGAAGTAGTTACAGAAAAAGAACATTGGTCCCTCTGCCTCCCATAAAGATTTATGGGGATCACATCTCAAAGTGGGGAGATGAGGCAGGAAAATAGGGTCTGGAGGCAGAGAACATCAGGCCGATTCACACTTCAGCTATAACAGGAAATATCCTCTCCAGAGGGTGTAGGCCAAGTAAATGACTTTGTAACTTTACTTCATCCTCTCCATTTACATAGGGCATACCCCAAGTAACCAATGGAATCCTCTAGAGGATATTTAAACTCGCCAAAATTCTGTAACCGGGCCTTTGAGCCCCTATGTTCAGGCCCACTTCCATACTATGGAGTGTACTTTCATTTTCAATAAAACCCTTCATTCCTTCCTCGCTTTGTTTGTGCGTTTTGACCAATTCTTTGTTCAAGATGCCAAGAACCAGGATACCCTCCACCATTAACACCAAGAATATGAGACCAGCCTGGGCAACATGGCAAAACCTCATTTTTTACAAAAAAATTAAAAAATTAGCTGGGCATGGTGGCACGCACCTGTAGTCCCAGCTACTCTGGAGACAGAGGTAGGAGGATCACTTGAGCCTGGGAGGTTGAGGCTACAGTGAGCTGAGATCACACGGCTGTACTCCAGCCTGGATGACAGAGTGAGACTCTATCTAAAAAGATAAAAAGTTTTTTAAAAAATAATAAATTAGCTATACAGGGACACAGTAAGTGAACAAGCACATAACAGGACAGTGAGGAACTTCTAATAATCAAAAAATGCAGGCCAGGTGTGGTGGTTCACACCTGTAATCCCAGCATTTTGGGAGGCCAAGGTGGGAGGATCACCTTGGTTCAAGACTAAGAGTTCAAGACCAGCCTGGGCAACAATAGTGAAACCCCGTCTCTACAAAAACAAACAATTAGCCAGGCATGGTGATATATGCCTGTAGTCCCAGATACTCGGGAGGATGAAGCAGGAATATCACTTGAGCCCAGAAAGCAGAGGTTGCTGTGAGTTGAAATAACACTACTGCACTCTAGCCTGGATGACTGAGTGATACCCTGTCTTGAAAAAAAACAAAAATTTTAATTTCTAGATCACCTGACCTGGTGATCCACCCACCTCGGCCTCCCAAAGTGCTGGGATTACAGGCGTGAGCCACTGCACCCGGCCTCCCTTTTTTTTTTTTTTTTTTGAGACAATTTCTTGCTCTGTATCCAGGCCTGAGTGCAATGGCACGATCTTGGCTCACTGTAACCTCCACCTCCCAGGTTCAAGTGATTCTTCTGCCTCAGTCTCCCGAGTAGCTAGAATTACAGGCACGTGCCACCACGCCCAGCTGATTTTTATATTTTTAGTAGAGATGGGGTTTCACCATGTTGGCCAGGCTGGTCTCGAACTCCTGGCCTCAGGTGATCCGCCCACCTCAGTCTCCCAAAGTGCTGGGATTATAGGCGTGAGCCACCACACCCGACCTAGGCATTGGTTTTATTGTCACACTTCAAAGTGCTCTCACAAAGCTAAACATATACATAACAGAGTATACCGGCTATAATTTGCTATCTGGTATAGATTTCTCAATCCATCTCATTCTGTAACAAGCCTCTCAAAATTTAAAGTACCCTTGACACACTGTGAGTTTTAAGAAATGGGTAGGAGAAACAGTACAGCACTGTAGGAGACCCAGGTTTGAGTCATAACTCTGCCATCCCTGTTTGTGTCAAAAGCTCTCTAACACTAGTCTCCTTATCAATAAAATGTGGACACACATCACCTATCTTTCAGGGTTGTGAGAATTCAGAATCGAACCTATTCTGCAAGAGAAGGCAATGTAATCCTCATTAAAACTGTTCTTTGAGGGTTTGAGCATTTAACATCATGACTGTCTATGTTTGCCCAAGTTCATCCTGCTACTAATTTGTTATTAATTTACAGTGTAATCCTGGGATGACACAACCTCTCTGGACCTGAGTTTCTTCATAAAATGAGGTCCTTTCTTTCATTAACATTTTAGGATCCCACTTGTTTGAAGAGGACGTTTCAGTACCACCTGTCAATCGTCCATAAAGCAATCTTCTGTTTCACATGTACACAAAGAAAAAATGTAAAAATTAATCCGTTTTATGCAATACACATATATTGGAAGGTAATATACAAAGTAATGGAGTAATCTTTCTATTTACCGAACTCTTCTTGTTGTTTGCATAAGTGCCAGTAGCTGTATACAAATTAATCAGGTCTATATTCTAGAGGGGGTTCCATGACTCAAGCAATAGAGAACAAGAATAGAATACAACCTCAAAAACTAAAAAATGGGCTGTTCTGTTTTGTGTTTATAACTTGTCTCTAAACACTGACTTTTAAGTGTTTGACAGAGCACCCCTACTGAGCCTTTGCTTCCAGCCATAGTACATTGCTTGGTAAAGCAGTTGCTTCATGAACCATCCCAGAATTGAGCAAATAATGTGACAGGATACTGTGCAGGTGCTGAAGATAAATGTTTGTTCAAGGGCTGAATGAACAATCAGAGGTTATTCATAACCTGGGCATAACATAAATATTTTATGGGTTCCATGGACATAAAAGCAAGTAGATGTGAAGCCATATATAGAATCTGTATGTTGTTTTCTCTTTCTTTAAGAGGAATCTCCTAAACATAAGCTAAGTTTCCAGCAAGCTAGGAAAGAAATAAAGATTTTTTTTTTTTTTGGCCCATAAAAAGACCATTATCAGCAACTTAAAAAAAAAAAGTCCTATAATAAAGAGAGGAAATGCTTTACATATAAATACAGTACATTAGAAACAAAACCATAGCAACTAACATTTCCTGTTCCAATCAGTAACTCTAAACTATCATCACCCACTTTAGTAATCTAATCACAAGACTTTGGAAAACTTAAAGGTAGTTTCTCACCGGGAAAAGGTCATAGACCTTTGTTCCAGTGGGTATGACTTATACATCTTCACTAGTCTAAATAATTTCAATTATTTAAGTCACATTAAATCACATTAAATGTGACTAAATGATATAGTCACATTAAAAAGCAAAGCTAAAACAACATTTAAAGCAATCCAATCCTATATTAATCAAATTTCTTTTGTAAAATCAATTCTAGGCTGGGCGCGGTAGCTCACACCTGTAATCCCAGCACTTTGGGAGGCCAAGGTGGGCAGATCACGAGGTCAGGAGATCGAGACCGTCCTGGCTAACACGGTGAAACCCCGTCTCTACTAAAAATACAAAAAATTAGCCGGGCGCGGTGGCGGGCGCCTGTAGTCCCAGCTACTCCGGAGGCTGAGGCAGGAGAATGGCGTGAACTCGGGAGGCGGAGCTTGCAGTGAGATCGCGCCACTGCACTCCTGCCTGGGCGACAGAACGAGACTCTGTTTCAAAAAAAAAAAAAAAAAAAAATCAATTCTAAAATGCTATTTAACCTTAGAAATACTCAAGAGTTGTGATAAATCTAAGAAATCATCTTAATGAAAAAAGAAAACAAAGCATTTGACGAAGTATTATCATATGCTGTTTACTGAAAAGCAATCAAAGCCCTAAGTGAAAGCAGCTGCAGGCTACTGAATGAAGCCCCAAACAGGAAAGCTTCCTTATTACTGTAGTTTTCTTTTCCTTTGACCTCAAAAAACTGCAGATCATCACCAACAGAAATGTAAAGAAAGTGCCTAGCGTGGTGGCTCACGCCTGTAATCCCATGCCAGCACTTTGGGAGGCCGGGGCGGGCATATCACCTGAGGTCAGACCAAAAAAAATACAAAAATTAGCCAGACGCAGTGACGCACACCTGTATTCCCAGCTACTCGGGAGGCTAAGGCATGAGAATTTGAACCCGGGAGGCGGAGGTTGCAGTGAGCCAAGATCGCGCCACTGCACTCCAGCCTGAGCAACAGAGTGAGACTCAATCTCAAAAAAAAAAAAAAAAAAAAGAAAGTTAATTTTTCCTAGATATATCAACTATCTCTTGATACTTTTCCAGTTTTCTTACATTGAAACAAGTGGAAAATATTATACTGTCACAATATTATACTGTCACAGTCCTCTGTATGTTAACCAATTTGATATTCAAGGGTCATGTTAAAGGATAGCACATCACCATCAGAAATTAGTGTTTAGCAAGCAAAATCCATTCTCTAAGCTTTCTATAGTGTGCTGATTATACAAACCTAAGTATGAAAATTGTTTTTAGAAACTACAACTTGATGACAAGCTCTTTTAAAACTAAACAAACAACAAAGCATGCTGCTGAAATGAGTAATGATCACGGACTGAAAATTTTTCACTGTGGACTAAAATCCTGGAAATGGTTTGTAGCTCTAATCCCAGAGACACTAAGGTTATAGTGTCTCTGGCACACATTTATTGATTTGAGCTTCTATTACCCTCAGGAAGATTTGAAGTCCCAGTGTTATGGGGAAAAATTTCCCAGTCTGCTCTGAATTATAATCTGTTCTGCTACAGTACATGTTTCTGTAACATCAGATAACTCACATACGACTAGTACAGTACAGGAGCTATATTCCTTCATATGGGATATTTCATCATTTAGGGGAGCAGATTAGTGGGAAAATAATTAGGTGACCCTTGAAAACATGGGTTTGAACTGTGCAGGTCTACTTATACATGGATTTTCTTCTGCCTCTGCCACCCCTGAAACAGCAAGACCAACCCCTCCTCCTCCTCCTTATGATTTTCTTCCCTCTAGCTTACGTTACTATAAGAATACAGTATATAATACATATAACATACAAAATATGTTAATCGACTGTTAATGTTATCAATAAGGCTCCAGTCAAAAGTAGACTATTAGTAAAGTTTCTGGGGAGTCAAAAGTTGTACACAGATTTTCAACTGCCTGCAGGGTGAGGATGAGGGCCTGGGGGCAGTACTCCTAACCCCCAAGTGGATCAAGGGTCAACTGTATCACCTTCTGCAGGAAACATCTCTCAACTCAGCTGCTATACAGGCAGAAGTCCTTTTAACTCTATTTTAAGAAAATCAGAAATTCGCATTTGTACCCAGTCTCCCTCTTCAGAGAAAGGCACCTCCAGGGTAGCACAGCTCTCAGCCAATGTGGCAGGTGGCACTGGCCCTACACTGCCTCAATGGCAGCCCACACTGTCTGTATTACATCAGCACCTACTGCTGACATTTCCATTCAACTTTGTCCATGCTTTGTTCATGTCCCCTCGGGCAGCTTCCAGTGAAGCTGAGCTGCCTGCCTGTCTGGGACATCCAAGTTATTCCCTCAAGATGCCAAGTATTGTGTTTGTTAGTGCTTGCTTACTAAATTGCATACATTTTAAGTGGTCTGACTCAATAATATTTTCCTATAAACCATATTATTTTGCAGTTTTTCAGAAACATATATAATACATGCTGACCAAAACGCTTGTATTAGTAAAACTTCTATTTCTCATAACTATTGATCATAACTACTATTTTTTCAACATTCCAATTTATAAAAAGTATATATCCTCTATCAAGTACATCTTCTAGAACACATAGCTTAAATTACTAAATTTGAGCATTTGGGGTTTGTTCTTTTAAAAAAAAAAAGAGGCCAGGTCCGATGGTTCACACCTGTAATCCGAGCACTTTGGAAAGCTGAGGCAGGAGGACTGCTTGAGGCCAGGAGTTCAAGACCAACCTAGGCAACCTAGTGAGACCCTGTCTCTACTAAAAATTTAAAAATTAATCAGGCATGGTGGTGTGTGCCTGTAGTCCCCACTATTTGGGAAGCTGAGGCGGGAAGATCACTTAAGCCCAGGAGTTCAAGGGTACAGTGAACTAAAGATCATGCCAGCCACTGAACTCCAGCCTGGGCAACAGAGCAAGACCCTGTTTTAGGGGGAAAAAAAAATCTATCTTAGCTCCTATGTGCCATAAATGTTACAACACTCATAGTCTGGAGGAATCACAAAGTCTTTAAGAAAATGGAGACAGGACCTATAGTGATCACTACTCACAAATCACTAGAATCACATGCTGAAACACTGCTGCAGAATATCAATGTGTGGTCTGTTCCCACTGCCATTAACCCAACCATGACTTTCTCTGCCTGTCCTGGTATAGACCATTTAGTTCTTGTTAAGCACAGTTTTCATTATTTTCAACCTTTACCAACCAAAAACTACTAAAGAAAAAGTTAATATTCTAAGGAGTACAGTTAAGAGATATCCTAACATTCTCACTGAATCAGCCAAATATAAAGGCTAACATGTTAAACAGGCTAGAGCAGTTTTCTTCAAACTAAAGCAGTAGGGCCCTGGAGTTAACAAGACAACTTTCCAGGAGGTTAGGATAGTTTAAGGAGAATCCGGTTAAAGGTGGTCTGCTTCCACCGTACTCCCAGAGCTTGATCTGTCTGAGAATTCTTGTGGTTTGCTGGTTGTCCTTCCCATCCTCCCTTATAAATGTATTCACTTCTCCCACATTACTTCCTAATCTTACAATTGTTCATTTCCCAGACAGGTGCAGTGGCTCATGCCTGTAATCCCAGAACTTTGGGAGGCCAAGGTGGGTGGGTCACCTGAGGTCAGGAGTTCGAGACCAGGCTGGCCAACATAGTAAATCCCCTTCTCTACTAAAAATACAAAAATCAGCCGGGTGTGGTGGCAGGCACCTGTAATCCCAGCTACTCGTGAGGCTGAGGCAGGAGAATTGCTTGAACCCAGGAGGCGGAGGCTACAGTGACCCAAGATTGCGCCACTGCACTCCAGCCTAGGTAACAGATCAAGACTCCATCTTGAGAAAAAAAAAAAATAGGAGCCGGGCTAGGTGGCTCACACCTGTAATCCCAGCATTTTGGGAGGCCGAGGTGGGCGGATCACGAGGTTGGGAGTTTGAGACCACCCTGGCTAACATGGTGAAACCCCATCTCTACTAAAAATACAAAAAATCAACAGGGTATGGCGGCGGGCACCTGTAATCCCAGCTACTGGGGAGGCTGATGCAAGAGAATCGCTTGCAACCAGAAGGCAAAGGTTGCAAGGAGCCAAGTTCGCACCACTGCACTCTAGCCTGAGGAAAAGAGCGAAACTGTCTCAAAAAAAGAAAAAAAAAAGGAGTATATTTTTTATATATTCACAGAATATCTCAGGAGAGATGCATAGGAAACTGCTGACACTGGTTGTCCCAGGGTGGCCGAGGCAGGGGTGGAAGGAAGACTGTGTCACCAACTACCTTTTTGTATCTTTTGTGTTTTCAACCATAAGGATGTATAATCTATTTTATTTACAACTTAAAATTCATATTTTCCAAACTCCCAAATACTTTAATTAGTATATTGAGATGCAAAAAAAGTCCTTTTAGGCCAGGCGCGGTGGCTCACACCTGTAATCCCAGCACTTTGGGAAGCTGAGGGGAGAGGATCACGTGAGGTCAGGAGTTCAAGAACAGCCTGGCCAACATGGTGAAACCCCGTCTCCACTAAAAATACAAAAATTACCTGGGCATGGTGGCGTGCAACTGTAATCCTAGCTATTCAGGAGGCTGAGGAATGAGGATTGCTTGAACCCAGGAGGCAGAGGTTGCAGTGAGCTGAGATCATGCCAGTGTACTCCAGCCTGGGCAACAGAACAAGACTCCATCTCAAAAAAAAAAAGTCCTTTTTAATTCTAAGTTGTAAGTATCTGAGGATACAGCAAAAATCTAAGAAAATAATTTAGTTGCTACTGAAAATAACATACAGCTTAAAATGTGTGGCTGGGCGCGGTGGCTCACACCTATAATCCCAGCACTTTGGGAGGCGGAGGCAGGCGGATCACGAGGTCAGGAGATCGAGACCATCCGGCTAACATGGTGAAACCCCGTCTCTACTAAAAAAACAAAAAATTAGCCAGGCGTGGTGGTGGGTGCCTGTTATCCCAGCTACTTGGGAGGCTGAGGCAGAAGTATCACTTGAACCCTGGAGGCAGAGATTGCAGTGAGCTGAGATCGCGTCATTGCACTCCAGCCTGGGCAACAAGTGCAAAACCCTATCTCAAAAAAATAATAAATCAATAAAATAAAATAACAAATCAATATATAAACAACTGTTTTTTAAGCATTATTTGTGTGCCCAGCACTGTGGTTTAAAAGTGGGAAAAAAATGTTTTCAAGACACATGAACTGTCTTTCAGGGTGAATCTAATTCCTAACATAAACCAAAAAACTGCCCACATTTTGCTGAAAATAACATGCCATGGAAACATCATCAGCAGCAAAGAGATGGGCAAATATAGCCCAGTGATTATAGACTAATATGACTTTATTTTTTAATGAATAAAACAAGATTAGGCCAGGCGCGGTAGCTCATGCCTGTAATCCCAGCACTTTGGGAGGCTGAGGCAGGCAGATCACCTGAGGACAGAAGTTCAAGACCAGCCTGGCCAACATGGTGAAATCTTGTCTCTACTAAAAAATATAAAAATTAGCCGGGCGTGGTGGCACACACCTGTAGTCCCAGCTACTCGGGAGGGCAAGGCGGAACAATTGCTTGAATCCAGGAGGCAGAGGTTGCAGCGAGCCAAGATCGCGCCACTGCACTCCAGCCTGGGCAACACAGCGAGACTCCATCTCAAAAAAAAAAAGAAAAGAAAAAAGATTAAAATAGCACACTTCTGATTCAAATTATTATTATTATTATTATTATTACTATTATTATTATTATTATTTTGAGACGGAGCATTTGCTCTGTTGCCCAGGCTGGAGTACAATGGCACAATCTTGGCTCACTGCAACCTCCACTTCTTAGGTTCAAGCAATTCTCCTGCCTCAGCCTCCCATGTAGCTGGGACTACAGGCGCCAGCCACCATGCCCCACTAATTTTTTATTTTTAGTAGAGACAAGAATTCACCATGCTGGCCGAGCTGGCCTTGAACTCTTGACCTCAGGTGATCCAGCCACCTCAGCCTCCCAAAGTTGATTCAAATTATTTTAACAATCTATTTTTAATTTTCTCAACTCTCAACAGGAATGGTTACAACGTTATCCAAGTGAGGTACTTCAGGGCGTGTCTCACTGTTACAAAAGCCTATCTTGGTTACAAAACCTGGTCTTTTCTTTCCCACCTTGGGATGCCAGTAGGGAAAGGATACTTTTGAAAGGTATGTTAAAAATGTCTCCTCCTGAGATAAGGTCAGTGGTTCTCAGTCTATGGTAGGTCTCCTTTTGTAGTATATACTGTAATACTAATTGGCACTTATCAGATTCTTCTTTATTGTTACCTTTTGTCTTAATGCAGGTGTCATGTCCCATTTCTCTGTAAGATAGAAACATGTCTGCACATGGAAAAAGTTCAAATATTCCTTGACAAACCAAAAGCCAATGTATCACTTCAAATGTCTCATCAGAAGACAGATGGTAGCCCAGGCATCTTGGCTCATGCTTATAATCAATCCCAGCACTTCGGGAAGCTGAAGTGGGGGGATCACTTGAGGTCAGGAGTTCAAGATCAGCCTGGCTAACATGGTGAAACCCCACCTCAACTAAAAATACAAAAATTTAGCTGGGCATGGTGGCACGGCCTGTAGTCCCAGCTACTTGGGAGGCTGAGGCAGGAGAATCGCCTGAATCCCAGAGGCAGAGGCTGCAGTGAACCGAGATCGCACCACTGCACTCCAGCCTGGGTGACAGAGCAAGACTGTCTCGGAAAAAAAAAAAAAAAAAAACAAAGAAAAGAAAAGAAAAGACAGATGGTATATAGGCCCTAGTGAGGAAGAATTTACAAAACTTACTTATAAATCTTACTGTTTCAAGAACTATTCACAATGTGTCTGACTTGACCCAATAGATGCTTTTCCTTAAAAACACATCTTAAAATCTTTTTTACAAATTGCAATTTCCTTACATAGGTAAGTTCAAAAATACTTATATTCAATTGAGATTTTTTTTTCTTTTGAACAGGCTGTCACCTAGGCTGGAGTGCAGTGGCGCCATCTCAGCTCACTGCAACCTCTGCCTCCCAGGTTCAAGAGATTCTGGTGCCTCAGCCACCAAAGTAGCTGGCGTACACTACTACACCCGGCTAATATTTGCATTTTTAGTACAGACTGAGTTTCACCATGTTTTCTAGGCTGGTCTCACATTCCTGGACTCCAGCTATCTGCCCACCGCGGCCTCCCAGAGTGCTGGGATTACAGGTGTGAGCTACCGCGCCAGGCCTAAGATCGACTTTCTTTTTATTTTTTTTTTTGAGATGGAGTCTTGCTCTGTGGCCCAGGCTGGAGTGCAGTGGCACGATCTCGGCTCACTGCAACCTTTGCCTCCTGGGTTCAAGCGATTCTCCTGCCTCAGCCTCCCGAGTAGCTGGGACTACAGTCGTGCGCCACCACACTCAGCTAATTTTTTTTTTTTTTTTTTTTTTTTGGTAGAGATGGGGTTTCACCATGTTGGCCAGACTGGTGAACCGCCACCGCGCCCGGCCAAGATTGACTTTCAATTTACAACAGCTTTTAACTAACTTCTAGCTATTTGACTTGGGAAGTCAAGAAGCAAATAATTTCTAAACATCCATTCAGATGCTCAAGGATGCCCCTGGAAAGTACAGTGATAGTACGTTATCAATTTCCCCTGAAATTACAACTTTTTTTTTTTTTTTTTTGAGACGGAGTCTCACTCTGTCACTGAGGCTAGAGTGCAGTGGCGTGATCTCGGCTCACTGCAACCTCCGCCTCCCGGGTTCAAGCGATTCTCCTGCCTCAGCCTCCCGACTAGTGGGATTTCAGGCGTCCACCACCACACTCGGCCCACAACTTCAAATTTTTAAAAATGCATTATATAGCAGGAAATGTAAACTAATGCATCTATCCTCTTTAAGAAATTAATCTGGGCCAGGCGCGGTGGCTCACACCTGTAATCCCAGCACTTTTGGGAGGCCAAGGCAGGCGGATCACTTGAGGTCAGGAGTTTGAGACCAGACTGGCCAACATGGTAAAACCACCCCACCCCCACCCCACCCCCAACTCCGCCTCTATTAAAAATACAAAAATTAGCTGGGCGTGGTGGTGGGCACCTGTAATCCCAGCTACCTCAGAAGGCTGAGGCAGGAGAATCGCTTGAATCCGGGATGCAAAGTTGCAGTGAGCCAAGATTGCACCACCACACTCCAGCCTCGGCAACAGAGCGAGACACCGTCTCAAAAAAAAAAAAAGAAAAAGAAAAAGAAGAAAATTAATCTGGCCAGGCGTGGTAGCTCATGCCTGTAATCCCAGCATTTTGGGAGGCTGCAGTGGGCAGATCACTTGAGGTCAGGAGTTCGAGACCAGCCTGGCCAACATGGCGAAACCCCATCTCTACTAAAAATACAAAAATTAGCCAGGCGTGGTGGCAGGCACCTGTAATCCCGGCTATTCTGGAGGCTGAGGCAGGAGAATCGCTTGAACCTGGGAGGCGGAGGTTGCAGTGAGCCAAGATGGCGACATTACACTCCAGCCGGGCAACAAGAACAAAACACTGTCTCACACACACACACACAAAGAAAAGAAATCAATCTGAAGTCTTCCTCTGTTCAGGACTTCTAACTCAGAGACAAATTTTCAGACAGGCAGAGGCAAATTTCTCTAAATTTTAGGTTTCTAGGATTGATGATTAAGTTGAATGTAATGTTTAAGCTGTAGAAAGTATGCCTCTTTCCAAAAGCCTGTAGCTGGCCACAGATTAGTTCTGGGTGAAGCTTACTAATCATTAATGGATTTATGAAATTCAAACTACTTCAGAGTAAGCCTCCTGACAAGTAGGGAAAAAAATCCAGTTTTCTCATTCAGTTCTTTCCACCAAGCTAAAATGAGGATTCAATCTCAAATTGATGTTCCAAACTATCAGATAGTTTTAAATGATTCTAGAAGTTGAAGTGGAAAAATATAAATACAACAGCTGA